>NC_000002.12:77917625-78542625 GCF_000001405.40 Homo sapiens | reverse complement strand
GTTAGTGTGATTTGGGGCGGGGGTGGATGTTAAAGAGCCTTGTTTTGTCATTATCAGAGTTGGTTTACTTGTTCCTTCTCATTTGGGTAGGCTCTGTCAGAGGGAAGGTCAAGGGGTGAAGGCTGTTCAGATTCTTTTGTCTCACAGGGTGTTCCCTTGGCGTAGTACTCTCCCAATTTTCCTATGGATGTGGCTTCCTAAGAGCCAAGACCCAGCAAGTTTACCAGGCTCCAGGACTGGTACTGGGGGTTGTCTGCAAAGAGTTCTGTAATGTGAACTGTCTGTGGGTCTCTCGGCCATGGACACCAGTACCTGTTCCAGTGGAGGTGGCAGGGGAATGGGATGGACTCTGTGAGGGTTCTTAGCTTTGGTGGTTTAATGCTCTATTTTTGTGCTGGTTGGCCTCCTTACCTGGAGGTGGCGCTTTCCAGAGAGCATCAGCTATGGTAGTCTGGAGAGGAACCGGCAGTGAGTGGGGCCCTAGAATTCCCAAGAGTATATGGCCTTTGTGTTCAGTTACCAGGGTGGGTAGGGAAGGACCATCAGGTGGGGGCGGGGCTAGGCGGGGCTAGGCGTGGCCGACCTCACACTCTCCTTGGGCAGGACCTGCTGCAGCTGCTCTCGGGGTTGGAGGGGAGGTTCCTAGGTCAATGGAGTTGTGTACCTAGGAGGATTATGGCTGCCTCTGCTGAGTCATGCAGATTGTCAGGAAGTGTGAGAAAGCCAGCAGTCACCGGCCTCACCCAGCCACCCTGCCGCCATTAACAGCACTAGGCAGGCAGTGCGCAGAGCTGAGAACTTGCCCCAGGTTACCCGCCTCCCAGCTGCTAAACAAAAGGGAGGCTTTTCAGCTGGTTCAAATTGTTACAAAGTTCAGCTAGAGATTTGCTTTTACCTGCGGCGTTTTCCCCATACCACTGGCTGCCCTCCCGAAGAATTCCTGTGATGCCAGGCAGGAATGGCCTGGTTGGAGACCAGCTAGCTCCCAGGGCCTTTCCCGCTGCTTCCTCTACCCCTGTATTTCGCTGGGCTCTCTAAATGGATTCAGCTCCAGGTAAGGCCAGAATCTTCTCCTGCAAACTAGACCTTCTATTTACCCAGGAGGTGTGTGTGTTGGTTTGGGATGGTTGGGGAGGGCAAAAGCTCTCCCTTTCCCACTTCCGCAGTTTGGGCACTCACAGTATTTGTGGTGTCTTCCGGGTCCTGCAGAAACAGTCTGCTTCCTTAGAGGGTCTGTAGGTCCTCTTAGGATTCCTGATTTATTCCTGTAATCGTTCTGGAGCTAAAATACACTATGCGAACCCCCGCACACTGCTCTGTCTGTCAGAGTCAGAGCTTCAATCTAGTTCTGCATGCCGTCCGCCATGATGGACCCAAAGTGAATGGCACATATATTTGAAAAAAAAAACACAATGATTTCTCTTCACTCATGACATGATTATCTATTATAAACTTTCAGTGTTTTTTTTTTTCTAAAAAATGTCCTAAAACTAATAAGAGAATAATAAGATCACAAGTTACAAGTTTGGCATACAGGAATCAATTGCATTTCCACATATAATAATTTTGACATAATAAGCAATTAGAAACTAAAATGTCAGTATTATTTAGAATAGCTCTGAAATATAACAAGAATAGTTGTGAAAATATGAAATACAAATCTCACAGAAAATGTACAAGATCTGTCAGCTGAAAACTATGCAATATTGATGAAAGTAATCAAAGACCTAAATAAATGCAGAGACATAACAGGTTCCCAGTTTCGAAGTCTCAGCGTAATAAAGAAGTCTATTCTCCTCAAATCAGTTTATGAACTTAAAGTTAGTCTAATCAAGGTCCCAGTAGGTGGTTTCATTGATATTGACATGGTAAATCAAAAGTTTATATGCAAAAGTAAAGGAACTCCAAAAGATGAACAATTTTGGAAAGAAGAATACAGTTGGAGAAATCACAATACTGGATTTTAAGCCTTACTAAAAACCTGCAGTAAAACAGACAGTGTGAGATAGAATGATAGATCAATGGATTAAAATAGAGATTACATAAATATACTCAAATGTACTTGTGCTTCTCCTATACTTCCCCCAGTAGAAGTCTACTGTTACTTGTTTTTCAAAAAGCTAGATAGCCTAGTGGTAGGAAGAAATAAGCTGTGATCTCTGTTGTTCTGGTTGAACCTCTGTCTTAGGCATGCACTGTTTTCTTGTGTTTAGGGACTTCTTTAACTCTGCCCCTTCTATGGCTGCAGATACGGGGTCAGTGCGTAATCCTGTTTCTCCCACAGGACTACAAATTTCTTTTTCTTGTTCCTTTATCCCTTATTCAATGAGATTTCACCAATGTCCTTATAGGTTTTCCCCTATAGATTGAGGCTTTTGTTTCATGGTGGGGATAGTGAAGAAAATCCAGGCAAAATTTTTTGCTGCTTTTGCATAGGTGTGTTCTTTTTGTCTTCCAGGTCTGTCCTGCTACTTAGAGCTTTTTTTTTTTTTTTTGAATAGTATTTTCTGTAAGCATCCAATGGAGTTCATGGAGGAAAACAACCTAAAAGAGGTTACATATTGCCCCAGTTTGTTTGCTTGTTTGTTTGTTTGCCTGCATCCTAGGTATTTCATATTTCTGCATCAGCCTGCACTCCATTTTCACTCATTTTTTTCAATTATTCTATATTCTAACTGTTCATACCCGTAACTGGTTGCATTTACTCCAGATGTGCACATCCTCTCTTCTCTCTCCCCATGCAGACACCTCCTTAGGTTTTGGGTTGCTGGTTGTTATGGTACCTCAGCTTCTTTTTGTTAGATTAAAAAAAAGTCATAATTTGAATTTAATCCAGCTCTTTGTCTAGGTCTTCATGGCTGTGAAGATGGGAGTAATGCTTCTTCCAACCTGGGATGGAAGGTAGAATTCCCTTGCAAGTTAAAATTTTAAAAATAATTTACCAGTTAATGTTTTTAAAAGTGAATTAGTCTCATTCATCTTATTTTGCCTTATTTTAGAATTTTTTTTTTTAATTGAGACAGAATCTTGCTCTGTTGCCCAGGCTGGAGTGCAGTGGCACCATCTCAGCTCACTGAAACCTCTGCTTCCTGGGTTCAAGCGATTCTCCCACCTTAGTCTCCCAAATAGGTGAGACTACAGGTGTGCACCACCACGCCAGGCTAATTTTTGTATTTTTAGTAAAGACAGGGTTTCGCCATGTTGGCCAGGCTAGTCTCGAGCTCCTGACCTCAGGTGATTTGCCCGCCTCAAGAAAAATGTTTTGAGAGAATCATAGGTTCATGTAGAGTTGTAATAAATAATAAGATTCTGCATACCCTTCACCGGGTTTTTTCTGTGGTAATATTTTACATAAGCATAGCGAAATCAGCAAATTAATATGGATAAAAGGCACCAACATTATTTAGAATCCACAGTTTTACAAGCACTGATTTGTGTAATTCATGTGCTTGTGTGCACATATCTGTATGTGCATATATTTATTTCTATTCAATTTTATCGGATGTGAAGATTCACGTGACAACCACAGTCAAGATACAGAACAGATAGTTTCATTTCAGGGATCTTTCCTGCTATACTTTTACAGAAACATCCATCTTCCTTCCATCATTTCCTTCTCCAGTTCATAATCCCTGGAAATATCATATCTCTTCCTTTTCTCTCTAATTTTGTAACTTCAAAAATGTTCTATAAATCGAACAGGTATATCTAACCTTATGATTGGAGATTTTTACTCAGTAGAATTATCTTTATACACAAGTTGGTCTGTTTCTTCTTATTGCTAATTAGTGTGTATTCTGTGGTGTGATTGTACCACATTTTGTTTAACCATTTACCTGGTGGACATTTGAGTTGCTTCCATTTTGGAGCTATTATGAATAAAGTGACTATGGGCATTAGTTATATACAGTTTTTTGTGTAAACATCAGTTTTTCTGTCTCTGATACAAATGTGAAGGAGTACAGTTCTGGGTTGTGTGGTAAGCGCATGCTTAGTTTGTAAGAAACTGACATACTCTTTTCTAGAGTGCCTATGTGATTTTGTATTTCCATTAGCAAATGTGAGTAATGCAGTTCCCCTACATCTTCATCAGCATTTGGTGTTATCATATTTTGTTTATTTGTTAATTTTTAATTTAGTCATGCTGATATGTACATAGTGATATCTCATTTGGCTATTGATTTGCATTCCCTGAGGCTAATGATGTTGAACATCTTTTCATGTTGTCATCTGTTTATACTTCTTAGTGAAATGTCTGCTGCTTCTGCATAATTTTAAATTAGATTATGTTTTTATTGCTGAGTTTTGAACTTCATATATTCTAAATCAAGTGCTTTCTTGCTAGTGTAATTTGCAAATGTTTTCTCTGTCTATAGCTTATTTTTCATCTTCACAGAATCTTTTGAAGAATTAAAAGTGTTAATCTTAATTGTGATTATTACATTTTCCTTTTTTGAATCATGCTTTTGGTGTTAAGTCTAATACATCTTTTCTAAATCTAAGCTACAAAGATTTTCTCTTTTTTTTCCTAAAAAGTTTATAACTTTACATTTCACTTTTAAGCCCATGATCTATTTTGAGTTATTTTTTATTTTTTTTTTTTTTGAGATGGGAGTCTTGCTCTGTCGCCCAGGCTGGAGTGCAATGGCGCGATCTCCGCTCACTGCAAGCTCCGCCTCCTGGGTTCACGCCATTCTCCTGCCTCAGCCTCCGGAGTAGCTGGGACCACAGGCGCTTGCCACTGCGCCCGGCTAATTTTTTGTATTTTTAGTAGAGACAGGGTTTCACTGGGTTAGCCAGGGTGGTCTCAAATTCCTGACCTCGTGATCCACCTGGCTCGGCCTCCCAAAGTGCAGAGATTACAGTGGTGAGCCACCAGGCCCGGCCTTGAGTTAATTTTTACACGAAGTGTGAGGTTTTTAGGTTGAGGCTCTTTCTTTTACTTCCCATAATTTTTCAATTGCTCCAGCACCATTTGTTGAAAAAAACAGTCCTTTCTATATTTAATTGTTGCTTTTCTTTTTCAAAATTTGTTTGACCATATTTATGTGGTTCTATTTCTGGGCTTTTTATTCTGTTCTATTGATTTATGTTCCTTTTTCTCCACCAATAAAGCATTATATTGATTACATAGTTATATAGTAAGCCTTAACATTGAATTGTATGAGTCCTCTACTTTACTTTGGTCTTCATTAAAATTATTGTAGTTATTATACAGCCGTTTTGCCTTTCCATATATATTTCAGAATAAACTTGTCTGTGTCTATTTATAAAACCTTGCTGGGATTTTTATAGGATTTGCTTTGACTCTGTAGATCGATTTGGAGAGAATTGACATTTTTGCTATGTTGAACCTTCTAATTCATGAACATAATATGATTCCACATTAAATTGTCTTCTTAAATTTCTTTAATCAGTGCTTTTAAATTTTTAAATAAAGATTCTGTACATATTTTGTTGCTTATATATGAGTCATTTTTTGGAATACTTGAAAATGATACAGTGTTTTCAATTTTGGCTTTTGCACATTTATTGTTGGTGTAGAGAAATTTAATTGAATTTTGTGTGTTAATATTATATTCTGTGACTTCTATGAATTTACTTATTACTTTTGGAACTGTTCTTTATAGATTCTTGGAATTTTCTATGTAAGCAGTCACATAATCTGTTAATAGGGACAATTTTGTTTCTTCCTTTCCAATTGGCCCTGTCCCTCTTTCCCTCTTCCCATCCCTCCCTCCCTCCCTCTTTCCCTCCCTCCCACCCTCTCTCCCTTCCTTCCTTCTTTCCTTCCTTCCTTCCTTCCTTTCTCTTCTCTTTTCTTTCTTCCCAATTGAGAAGCCTAGAACTTCCAAGAGTGACGACAGAAGACATCTTTGTTTTGTTTATGATTTTTGAAGGAAAACATGCAGTCTTTCCATTAAGTGTGTTAACCATCAGAATTTTTAGAGATGCTTTTTATCATATTGTAGAAATTACCCTGTATTTTTATTTTTTTGAGAGTTTTTTTCATGGGTAGGTGTTGGATTTAGTCAATGTTCTTTGGTATTTATCCTGTTTATAGAACAACAAGCACAGCCAGCTATCTTAAAGTCAAAAAAATATATATTTTCATCGGTGTGAAAAAACTCTCTGTCTCATGTCTTTTGACCTTGTTTCTTGATTTGGTAAAGAGATACATAAAGGAATTTAGAAAATCCTTTCTCAAGGCAGTAGCCCATCTTACGAGACTCTAGTCTTGCTGCAAAATTCTATGTTAAATGTCTGAAACTAAACATTTATTCTTTATTTTTCATTGTATTCATTTGTAATGATCATTTTTTAATCCTTCAGGTTAATGCCTTGAGTCAAATAGGCAGAAGGTCCTACACTAAGAAAAAAGAGAAAAACATGTTCATATTTTCCAGATATCAACCTTTTCACATTCAAATAGTTGCTTGAAGGAGCTTAAATTTTGAGGCTTTAAGGTCATGAGAGACTACATTGATTTAGGATCTTTCTTAGGGTGCTTTCATATCTGGTTTTCAACCAGAAACTGAAGAAAATTGATTCATTGACCTCCTTTGTGTCCTACTCTCTGTCTCTGCCTCCTTCCCATCACAATCCTGAATTCAGTTGAACAAAAGAAACCCCAAATATAAAAACCTCGAATTATTTCTAGAAATATTTTGTGGTTGTAGTGATAGGAAAAAGCAAGGTTTTCTAAATAAACATTTTTGCCTTCATTTTCAGTGAACTCTTTTAGAAAATTTGCCTGCAATTTAGAAAAAGCCAATATATTAGTTTTTAAAAAGTAATTTTCCTATTGGGTAGATGCATTTTACAAGTATTATCTGTGACTAAAATTAATTCATAAATATTTTTAGTTACTAAAGTAAGAAAAATACTATGGCATTTTCAATTTTGAATATTTACTTTTTTCTCTACTCTTTCTAGAAGGAATTATAGTACAGTAATCAATGACTGAACAATGGAAATACATCTGAGAAATGCCTCACTGGGTGATTTTGTCATTGTGCAAACATTATAGAGTGTACTTACACAAACCTAGATAGTAGAGCCTACTATACACCTAGGTTTATGGTGTAGCCTGTTGCTTCTAGGTTACAAACCAGTATAACATGCTGCTGTACTGAATACTGTAGGCAATTGTAGATAATGGTAAGTATTTCTGTATCTAAATATGTCTAAACATAGAAAAGGTACAGTAAAAATATGGTACAAAAGAAAAATATTTTGTACATAAAAATAAACCTGTATAGGCCACTTACCAGGAATGGAGCTTACAGGACTGGAAGTTGTTCTGGGCAAGTCAGTGAATAAGTGGTGAGTGAATGTCAAGGCTTAGGACATTACTGTACACTACTGTAGACTTTATAAACACTGTATAATTAGGCTACATTGTTTATTTCAAAGTTTTTCTTCAGTAATATGTTAACCTTAGCTTACTGTAACTTTTTACTTTATATACTTTTTCTTTTTAAAACTTGTTTATTCTTCTGTAATAACAGCTAGCTTGAAACATAAGTGTAATGTACAGCTCTAAAAAATGTTTTCTTTTTTTATATCGTTATTCTATATATTTTGTTTGGGATTTTTTTTTTTTTTTTTTACTTTGCACACTTTTTTTGTTACAAACTAAGGCACAAGCCCACACATTAGCCTAGGCCTACACAGGGTCAGGATCATCAATATCACTGTCTTCCACCTGCACATCCTGTCCCACTGGAAGGTCCTCAGGGGCAATAATGCATGAATCGGTTATCTCCTGTGATAACGATTCCTTCTTCTGGAATACCTTTTGAAGGTTCTGCCTAAGGCTGTTTTACAGTTAATTTTTTTAATAGGTAGAAAAAGTATACTCTAAAATAGTAATATAAAGTATAATATAGTAAACACATAAACCAGTAACATAATTGTTTATCATTATCAAATATTATGTACTGTACATAATTATATCTGCTATAAAGTCAAACACCAGATAATGGCATTTTGGTCTACAATGAACCATGTGTACAATGACAGTGGTCCCATAAGATTATAATGGATCTTAATCATTTCTATTGTCTATTGATGTTATAATGTCACAACACACTTTATTTTTTAAATTAATTTAGTGTATCCTAGGTGTACAGTGTTGGTAAAGTGTACAGTATCATAAAGTAATGTCCTAGGCCTTCACATTTACTCAGCACTCACTCACTGACTCACTTAGAGCAACTTCTAGTCATTGAAGCTCCATTCCTGATAAGTGCCCTATACAGGTGGACTGTATTTTTATACCATATTTTTACATATAATTTCTATGTTTAGATACACAAATATTTATAATTATGTTACATTTACCTATAGCATTCATTACAGTAAAATGCTGTACAGGTTTGTAGCCTAGGAGTAACAGGCTATATCGTATAGCTTAGGTGTGTAGTATACTTTACCATCGAGGTTTGTGTAATTACACTCTATAATGTTTGCACAATGCCAGTCACCTACCATGATGTATTTCTCAGAACATATCCCGTTATTAATTGATTATACTTTTATACATCATTAATGATACTTTTATGCAAGTGGCAGTGCATTAGGTTTGTTTACACCAGCAGCACCACAAACATGAGTCATGTGTTGCACGATGACATTACCATAGCTGTAATGTCACTAAGCTCTACTACAATGTTAAGGGACAACCATTGTATATGCAATCCATTGATGACCAAAACCACATTTTGTGGCATATGATTGTACTTAAGTTAAAGAAGGAATCTATTATCTAATTCTGAGAAGAAATTACAAAAACGTATAATGTTAGTAATTGAAAAGATAATAGAGATTATCTAGTTCAGGGATAAGCAAGTTACAGCCTGTGGATTAAAATCTTTTTTGCCTATAAAGGTTTATTGGAACACAGATACACTTACTCATTTACATATTACCTATGTTTGCTTTCATGCCACAGAGGCAGAGTGTAATCGTTGAGACAAGGATTATATGGCTCACAAAACCAAAAATGTTTACTTTCCGGCTCTTTATATAAAATGTTGGCTGCCTTGGGTTTAGTTTAGCCTTTTATTTTTGTAGATAAAAATTGGCCCTAAAAGACAGATTTTCGAATCACAGAACCATTGCATTACTGAGCTTAAAATAAAGTGCAAGATAATTTGTATTTGTATCTTTTTTTTGTAGACTAATTTACAATACTTGATTTTTGTGTGTCAGATGGAGACAGATAGATAGATATATACACTACTTGAACTTTGGTTTATAGTGAATGCTCCACTCAAACTCCCCTTCAGAAAAGGACTTATTTCCCCAACTACTGGAAGCTTTGCCAGAAGAAAAGCTTAATTAGTTAGAAACCTACAGGAATTCAGTTGAAAAGAGCTGCCTCATTGACCAAGATCACACCTGCTTCGCAGGTGGTCAGCCAGAAGTGGGTATAAAAGTCTGTCCCCATGAACTCAACTCAGGGCAACATTGAAGGGATTTTTCTGCTATACATCTCCTCATGGATGGGCTAAAGAGCTTTCATTGTGGCTCAATTTCTCTCAGGACCTAACTTTTTGATTCCTTTCTTTCTTACTCTGTCCTTCCACGGGTATTGATCCCAAGAACATTTTCTAATAAGCCTCCTGCTGGCTGCTTCCCAGGGAGCACATCCTGGATAAACTACCATTAACAAAATAAAGACTAAGAGCACTTCCAATTCAGCGTCTGAGGATCAACTCTCAAATCGTTAATTCAACAGCGCCTAGTTAGTAAAGATACACTACCTTTCATAAATGTCAGCTTTTCCTGTTTCTTTGTTGAAAGGTTTCATTAGTTGTTGGTGGAGCTCATTTTCTGATGTGAGCTAATGGTACAATTATTGGAGCTAATTCCTTCAGAAGATAAATTCTAGAATGCTGCAAATTGTGGAAAATCTTTCTACCTTTTATACTGGTAAACAAGAGAGACATCTTGGCCCCTTTTAACCACCATGTTGCTAACAGCACAGTGATTAATGAAAACTGAGAACAGATCATTGTAATGGTGGAGGAAGGAGCTCAATAACGTCCCCACTGCCCACCAGCTTGCAGTTTATCCTTTGTGTCTTTTTTTTTCAGTCTTTTCTATTTTAAGCCTTTAACCATACAGAGAGAGGAAAAAAAAAGGTGATTAGCTTAAATTTGATTTAAATTATGGTTTTACTTAGATACTAATGATTACTGATTCAACTTAAGTGAGAATTAAAGGGTTTAAACTACTGAAGTGTGCAATAATAATGGAAAGTCTGCTTGAGGAAAAAAATACAGGTTATTGTTTTTATTTCTGCTATCTTCTGACATTTTTAGTGGCTTATGCCAACTGAATGGCTTTACAAAGTGAAACTAAACAAATAAAAGTGAATGGGGATATAGAGAGAAATGCTTAAGTATCCCTGTCAAAGACAGAATGATGAACTATTATAAATATTTGGCATGTTCTGTAAATATGTGGCACTCAATCAAAAGCCATTTAAACCTTGAAAGGACAAGAAACATAATGAAACTGAATGAGACTATTTCAGTTTTACCTGTTTTCTTAGAATGCTTTATTGTGTTGTTTTCTTTTTCAGGTATGGATTTTTAACTTCCAAATTCACATTGAAGCATTAGCTTTTAAATGTGTAATCAAAATGCATGCTGCTGACACACACACACAAAGGATTAATAGTATTTAGATTTCTGTCCTTGCTCATACAGTTTACACTGAAAGCTTCCTGGTAAATCATTGCCCTTTCATACTATCCCAAATAAGTGGAAATTCACTGCAATTTACTGATTGAATTGACATTATGACTCTGAAATACATAAGCAACAATCTGAGAAAACTAACACTGTTATGAAATGCACAGGCCGACTAATGCAATGAAACCTCCAGTTTGTGGTACTATTTGTTAGTATTTTTTAAAAGCAAACAAAATTTTAATAAAATATGTCCATTAAAAACAGAAAGGCAAACTCAGAAACTGCTGAGATTTTGTTTAGAGAAAGGTGGTCTTGTTTGAAGATTGTTATTTCAGCTGACCAGGTTGATATTTCTATGTATGTTTGTATATATTTAAATGGATGGCATTTCAGGGCAAATCTCAGAATTTAGCAATGATAACTGCTACTAGATGATTATACTAACATTATTACAATAGCTAATGCAGAAACAACAGATCATCCAATTTCAGGCAGGAGTGACTGAGAAAATGATAAATATTAGTATGCTCACATTTCATTTAAAAATATAAATCTATTTGTTTATTAGACCGATGACAAGCTACCTTAAGATCCTTAACCTAATTTTATATTCTAGCACCCAATTTATTTTTAAATGCAACTGTCCAGTTTCTCCAAAGCAAAAGAGTGAGAAAAAGCAAAAGGCTTCCAGGGCAGTGTTTCTCAAAGTATAGTTTCTATGGAATACCTGCATCAGTGCTTCTGGGTGATTGGCTACACTTCAACTCCTGAATGGGAAGCTTTGGGGATAAGGCTTGGAAGGTAAATTTCCTGGAGGATTAGCCTCTTTAGAATTACCTGTCCCCAATATTATGTCCTGAAGCCTGGTATAAATGACAGTGGAGCTAGAGGGATTTTTGGCTCTAATTCAGACTGTGATTTCTAAATGCTAGAGTGTAGCCTCCAGATGTACTCGAAACAGTCCATGTGCAGGAAGTATTGTGCGAGCTGCTGAAGTACCCAAACACTCATCACTGCTGTCACTTCAGGGGGGCAAGTGTGATCATGCCTTGCCCAGTCTTAAGTGATAAGAGGCTACAATACCTGGAGAAGGGATAATTGGATGCTTTTTAATTTTATCTGTGGCCGTCAGTAATTTCCAATTTATCTGGCTTATGGTGGATGCTCAGCATGTTTTGCATTGAATGGGATGAATTCATTTTAGTCCCTGCTTAGCCACAGACACAATTAGCAACAGACTTCACTTCTCTGAACTTCATTTTCCTCATCTGTAGAATGAGATTGATAATAATATCTTTCCTTGGAGGTTGTTTTACGGGGAAATAAAATAATAGGCATGAACTTTCTCTGGAAATGAAAAACCTTCAAGTGATATTAACAGTGAAAGATTTGAAATGTGTGTATGTATTTCACTTATTTTCTCATATGTTCATATAGAAATATTTTACTAGTAAAAAAAGCAGTGCCAGTTTTCTCATTCACATAGTTTTAGTTAATAAAGTAGATAATCTTGATTGGAGAAATATATTTTTATAAGATACAAACTCTTTTTTAAATGTATAGCCTGTAAATACTAAATTTTTTACATATTTTTCTAGTTTTTCATGCAAAAAGATGTATGCAGATAGTGAAGTGGTAAGATACTCCTGTACATTTGGGATACTGCTAACCTCTCCATATTTAACTGCATTTATTCTTCTGTATATTAACTAAACTACTATCAAATTCTAACCTCTTCTCTGAGCTTAAAAAGAAAGATAAAATTTACTACATGACTTCTCACTAGAGTGTCTTTTATAAATCTCAGACTTATACAGAAAGTTAAAAAAAAATCAATTCTAGCTCTCTTCCTTTCATACACAAATACATAATCCTCCCCCATTCTTCCCATTGGCTGAGTAATATACCATTCATTATACGGATGTATGAGACTTTGCTTTTCTATTTACCTGATGAAAAATGTTTGATTTGTTTGTAGTATTTAGCAAAAAACACCATAAGCATTTAAATAAGTATTTTATGTGTATGTGTGTGAGAACATTAGTTATTTTTTCTTGAAGAAAAGAAAGAGGCACTGAAACTCTCCCTGGGGCTTTGGGAGAAGGCATCAATAGCGTCCTCAGCACTGTCTGAATTCTGACCATGTGCATGTATTAATTTTTTGATTAAAAAAAGTTTACATTGGCCAATAACAAGTCAACCTTATGGCCTAGAAAGTTTCTTTCTCCCCAGTATTATCACATTTTTTTCGCTCTTTCTATATATCCCATTCTTCAATTTGTTTCTTAAATGTTGAAGAAATCCTTTACACAAGTTCTTCATTCCATTTGGAAACTTTTCCTCTGCTCCCATTTTTTCTCTTTTGCGTGGCTTATTCTTACACACCTTTCACATCTCAGTTTTGATATCATTACTTTTAGGTAACTCTCCTTCTTTGATCCTTTAGGGCAGGTTAAGATCCTTGCTCATACACTCTCATGACAGCTGCAGCATTTTCTTTGCAGCAATAATGTGTTATTTAGGAAAGTTCCTGTTATAAGTGGGAAAAACCTACTCAATAAGAAAAGAGGAAAACTAAATGTCCTCTGCAGTAGAAAAGTCCAAGTTTGGATACTGATTCGGAAACAGCTGCCTTCAGAAACAGGTTTCCAGTGCTGACTTGCCTTCTGTTCTGTTGCCCTCATTTTCAGGTGTCACATGGTAGTCTCCAGCAGTCCTAGGTTCCCATTGTCCACAGTGAGAATCCACTGGTAAAGGAGCATTCTTCTCTTCATACATGCAGTGAATGTCTAATTGGTTCTAATTGGGTCATATGCTCACCTCAAATTAATCAGTGGAATTAGGGGATGAAATGCTGTGGGAAGGCCATCTACAAATATGTAGGACCTACTTCAGCAGTAGAAAGGAGGCTTGCCTTCAAAGCAAGACCAGGGACAGAAAGTCCATCTTTTGAACTGAGTAAAGGGGCATTCCTATAACTGATCCAGGGAATGTTAAGACTAGGCTTAGAACCAAAATGTTATTTAGTAAACCCTCTCATTTAGCAAGGTAGACAGTATTCAGTAATTGTAGCAGGGCAATCGTAGGAGAAAACAGGAACTATAAAATCATAAAGACTTTATATTCTAAGAAATCTTTTTAAAGAATCAACAATTATAATTTAGGAGAAGCAAACTGACCCTGGAATAAGGACCCTACGTATCCACAGAGGCTGAAACACTCAGAAACCTTTTTATTGCAAAATAAAAGCAAATATACCTTACACAACACATTCATTCTATCAGAACTTAATAAACTGTTAATGTAGTTCAATTATTTGTTCCATTGTAAATGACAAGTAGCAAACTCAATATTCCCAGAAAAAAAAATAAAGAAGCCTAATAATTTAATTCTTGAGAAAGGAATTTGTAGATATCTACAACTAAATACAGGCTTGAGAAGGATAAGGAGATTTTTAGACAAGCTTGCCCTGTCAAACCTTTGTGCACCTTATTAAGTTGAAAATAGGGGACTGAAGTTAATGTTTTATGGAAATTTCAAGATAACTTTGAAAGAAAACATTAAGCAAAGAATAAAAATGCATATAATTCTTAAATAACCTTAAGTATTTTACCTGCATTACATGCATTGATTAATAATAATAATTATTAATTATTAAATAGTTATCAGTGACTACTAATTATTTGCACATCATTGCCTGCAGTAGCCGCACAAAAACAACTCATCTTGAGGAAGCATACTTAAGTATTTCAAATAACCAGGTGAACAAGAATTCAGATATTGGTCTGATGAGCCCTCATAATAATGTCAGTGTGGTTCCCTTATTTCAATCTTAAACTGACCAAGTGATTCCTAATATGTGTTCACATGAGTGTATTCGCATGATTTTGGCAAAAAAATCAAGATGCCCAAAGAGTTTGGTGTGTCTGGAGCCATCCCTGTGCATCCTGTTATCAGTGTGTTGAGCTTCTCAGTGTGTGAGAAGTGAACATGTCTGAAGTAGACTCTATGTCCATAATAATTTGTGTCCAAAGATACCTGTGGTTTTGGAATGATCCATTTGTCTGGCATACTCACGTTTTTCAAATTATTAAGTTTGTTAGTCATAACTACATATTTGCAGAGGCAAATCTGTCTTGGTTATTTGTATGTACAGAGTGACACATTTGCCTGGACTAGTTTTGTTGTTAGCCATACTGTTGAAATTATCACCACTCCCAACATCTTCAAAAGCTTGAATTCAGGCCTGTTCTTCTAGCTAATAATTCTACACAAGACACATGTGGTGGTAGGTATTTCTGGGAATCAGGTCTTCAATGCTACAGCATGATCTCTGGCTCAGATACTCAATCTATTAGAAGCAATCCAGCCCCAAAAGATGGAGAGTCCATTACCAGCTGTCACCCTACTTGCCACAATTCTGATGCACACACCCAATATTCCCATAGGAAGGACAACCATTAAGTCTGCCCTTGAGCAGACTCTCACCTTCTTTAGCATCTTATCCTCTCATCATAGCACTGTTACCTAAGACTGAGGGCTTCTAAACAGGTATGACCCCAATAATTATCTTCTTACCTCTTTATCAACAAATAGGGTTCTATGAGGCTTTAGATAGCTTATACAGCAGGAGCACAGACACCAGTGTTAGAGAGTATGCACTTCAGCAGTCTTTGCCCCTCAAACGCTATGTGACCTCTAGCCAACCGTTACACCTCTAAATTTTGGAAATGATGATGTCAATAATACTTAAAAAATAAGGTTGTTGCAAAGATTTAATTAGTCTCTGATCACAAAGTAAAATTCCTGGAATAGAGTAAGGATAAAAATAAGTAGTAATTATGATCTTAGTCATATTTCCCTAATTTTCAGTTCTGTGATTTTTTATGTAATTGATAGTAGCTTATGTCTCCATTGATTGACTAGACTATTGTGGTAGGCAGAATTCTAAGATGACCTAGAAAATTTTTCCCCCTGGTCTGTTGCCTCATGTAATCCTGTTGGTTTGTGTGTGAGTGGGATTTAAGAATATGGTGGGATTTTATTTCCATTATTATTGTTATATTGTGATATAATAAGAAATATATATTTGGTTTTTATCCCTGTCTCCTGGTGCAGAATTCATAAAGCTCTTATAATTTTCTGAGTTGTGGAGGTGAGGGAAACATCTTTTGTTATTTATAATATTACCTTTCAACCATGCCTGAGTTTATGCCAATGAGGTGACTCTTGGTGGATCCCTGCCTAGCTTTAGGCTAAGGACTGGTTACCAGAGGAACCAACCATGTTATTAGAACTCCAGGGAGGGCAGAAGGGTGGAGATTGAGTTAGTCACCAATGGTCAGTGATTTAACTAATTATGCATATGTAATGAAACCTTCATTAAAAAAACCTAAACAAGGAGGTTCAAAGACCTTGGTTGGTGAATACATCCACATGCCAGAAGGGTGGTGCAGCCAAACTCCACAGGGATAGGAACTCCTGTGCTCAGGACCCTTCTGGACCTCGTCCCAGGTACCTCTTCAACTGGCTACTTATTTGTATCCATTAAGAATAAATTGGTAAGAGTAAATAAAGCATTCCCCTAAATTCTGTGATACATTCTAGACAATCATCAAGCTTGAGGGTGGGGTTGTGGGAACTGCACAACTTTATAGCTGATCAGTCAAGAGTACATAAAGATCAGCACTAGTGATTGATGTCTGAAGTGGGTGCAGTCTCGTGGGACTGAGCTCTGAATCTGTGGAGTCTGTACTAACTCTAGGTAGTTAGTGTCAAAATTGAATTTCATTCTATATCCAGCATTTGGCCTCTGGAGAGTTGGCAAATTGGTTGGTAAAGTGTGAGGAAAAAAACCCACATCTTCAGTGTCAGAAGTGTTATGGTTAACAATGCCATTGAATTGTGTTATACTGCCGAAGAGGTTTTGCATATGTAGTTAAGGTCCCTAATGAATTGACTTTGATTTAAGCAACATAGAGACTATCCTAGATGGGTGTGATGTAACCAGATAACTTCTTTAAAATGACTTCTTAGAAGTCAGAGAGATTAAAAGTCAAATACATTTTCCTGATGTCCTGGAAAAGAAGCAAACTGCTATGCTTTGGAGAGGGCCATGTGGCAGAAAATGATAGGCAGCCTCTAGGAGGTAAATGACCTAGTCCTACAGATTGAAGGAACTAAATTGGGCCCCAAACCACTGAACTGACAGTAAAGTCTGAACTTTAGATGGGATTAGAGCCCTAGTCAACACCTAGATTTCAACCTGCTGAGAAACTGAACAGAGGACCTAGCTAATCTGTGCTTAGATTCTTGACTCATAAAATCTGTGAGTTAATGAATAGGTATTATTTTAAGCCATTAGGTGTGTGAAAAGTTGCTAAGCAGCAATAGAAAACAAATACAAGAGATTATATAAAAGCTATGCTAAGATGAATTTTATATTACATGTACAGATAAAATTATTTCAATACAAATAATATCCCAACCTATTGATTTTAATTGAAGATGAAAATAGAAAAAATATGCTGTATATAATAAGAAAGGGACTATGTTAATTGTGTTTCCTGAAATAATGATCAAGATTCTATTAACCATGGAGATATTTGTATGTAGCAGTTTCAAAAAGAAAAATTGCTTTGTTATGCAATGTCAACATTACAGGATAATTCCTGCTGACTTTCCAGGGTCAAATATATGTTCAGAATTTATTTGCAACTCTTAAAAAGAAGGGCATTTACAAGCATTTATCTATATTGCTATTGCTTTATTGTTTAGGACATCATAGGAAAAATAAAATGGGAGCATTTTGGTTTTGTTTATTATCCTCTTTTCATATGGAAGAGAGAAGTCATCAGAATGTCTGTTTCATATAGGTAAATCTCAGAGGCTTTACTGAAAATCAAAGAACAATAAAACCAGATGGTAGTTTTGCATGAGAAATGTTTATCTTAACTCCACTTCTGAGGTTGTGTAAACATATAGGGACATAAAATAACCTAGGGCAGTACTGAATTATCTCACATCATTTAAATGGTGGCACCCCTAGGAAAAAAGCTGCATATACAATCAACGTCATGATTTGTACCCGTTTATTTAATTTCCTATTCTGGTCAAATTTTTATTTAAATGTCAAAGAAATACAAATCATTAGGAAACATATGTATCATCATTTCAGGATGGCAAAAGTTAACATCCACAAGAGAGAGAACTTCAAGACATTCCTTCAGGGTATCATAGTACAGAAATAATTGAAGGATAGAGGTGAGCATTGGATTGAGTGTGATTTCTAAAACAATGGAGAAGATGTATGCAGACTGGATTTCCAAAATATTCTTATTATAAGAGAATCTAGGACCATAGACATGATGTTTCAGACTGGTACAAATCTCATGCTGGGAATAATTTGAAGAAATACAATGAAAACCTGTTTGTGGATATCCAGCATGCATTTTGTTGAAACAGGTTTTTAAATAAAGCAAATACTTGGCCGGGCGTGGTGGCTCATGCCTGTAATCCCAGCACTTTGGGAGGCCGAGGCAGGCAGATCACGAGGTCAGGAGATTGAGACCATCCTGGCCAACATGGTGAAATCCCATCTCTACTAAAAATACAAAAAATTAGCCGGGCATGGTGGCGCACGCCTGTAGTCTCAGCTACTCAGGATGCTGAGGCAGGGGAATCACTTGAACCCAGGAGGCGGAGGTTGCAGTGAGCTGAGATCATGCCACTGCACTCCAGCCTGGCAACAAAGCAAGACTCAGTCTCAAAATAAATAAATAAATAAAAATAAGAAAATAAAGCAAATACTGTATAACCCAGTTTCAGTGAGGGAAAGGGCACCAGCTGCAGAAAGGAGTTAAGTTCTAGATAAATTTGGACTATCCCAGCAAACATAGAAAAGTGAAGTTATTATTATTATTATTTGAGATCAATCTTGGTCTTGTTGCCCAGGCTGGAGTGCAGTGGCGCAATCTCGGCTCACTGCAAACTCCCCCTCCTGAGTTCAAGCGATTCTTCTTCCTCAGTCTCCTGAAGAGCTGGGATTACAGGCGCTCGCCACCATGCCAAGCTAATTTTTTTGGGTGTTTTTAGTAGAGATGGGGTTTCACCATGTTGGCCAGGCTGGTCTGAAACTCCTGACCTCAGGTGATCCGCCCACCTCGGCATCCCAAAGTGCTGGGATTACAGGTGTGAGCCACTGCGCCCAGCTGAATAGTGAAGTTTTATATAGTAGTGAAATTTCTGGCCACAAAGCCATTTGTTAAAACAAACAATAAATAAAGTATTAGGAAAAATATTCTAGCTATCTAGGAAAATAATAGTAAAAAATTAAGTTTTTTTCTAGGAATGCATAGATATTTCCAAATTATAATTCCTCAAGATTATTTATTTCACCAATGGGCAAGATTATAATTAGTAAAACTAGGATAGCTACCCAACAGTTTTGCAGCACCTAGTTTAAGTCAGCACCTCTAAAATAAAGCAGAAACTGCAGAGAGAGAAATCTGGCCACATCTCCAATGCTCTGAATCCTTGCTTCAGTTCAGTAAGTGTGGCATATAAATAAAAATATATACGCAAAACTTATTTGGGATGCTTATGTAGAAAATGCCAAGCTTTGGTGAAATTTTAGCAATTTTCTTACAAAGGCAAATACATAATATCTGATTATGGTGTCTTTAAAAATACATTTTATGAAAAATCTTGATCTGTACTATCCTAGTCTTTCTGACAAATCTCTTTAACTTGTCCTCCCAGGGAATAGTTGGCACCTCCCCCAGCTCTCACCAGAAGGCCCCTAGGTCCTTGGGCGACATGGTATGCATATATCCTCTTCAGTTTAACACTACATGGTTGCGAAATTCTGGACACTGTCAAGAAAGGAAAGGGAGTGGGGAAGGGATTAATGCCAGATGGGCAATTAACAAATGCCCACTAAAATAATTAAATTTAGAAAGCCTATTGTAATAACACAATATTTATGTTGAAAAAATACACAAAATTTTCAACTCAAGAATTTAAAAAATGAATAACATACTAAACCAACCAATGAAAACTAATGACAAGAAAAAAATACAGTTGAGATCTAATTTAGATGATCGTTTTAATGATAACAGTACAATACCAAAATTGGCTAGAATCTAATTATGGAAATAACCAGAGGTATTAAGTTAATTATCAAACAATCATAAATAAAAAGAGACAGCCAATATAGTTCTGCAGGAGGATCATTAAACTCCTCAAATAATAGATGATTTAAAAATTGTATTTCCCTTTGATGGAGAAAACATATTTATTGATGCAAAATCCAACAACAGAACCAAAACCCCAAATCTAGTGTCACAATACCAAAAATTTATTCACACTTGGTACATAAGCACTCTTACCCCTGGGTATTCGAATAGGATGGTGGTGGCTTGGAGTTCTAAGTTTTATTTACAGTATGGGAAGTTTAGATCCATCAGGGAGTATAATCTGTCTCTCGCTGTAAACAGTCACTTTTGGACAAAATGCTGTCTTTTCATGTTCCACTCTCCTTCTCTTCCTCTCCAACTCTCCCCTCCAAGGCTTGGACTAGGTGTTTAGAGAGGGCCTATGACCTCAGATTAGCAGAGAAAGCCTTAGGTGTTTGTATGAACATGTTGTCCTCCGTAGGCTTGCTAGACTTTCTCCAGGGTGCCTGGTCTAGTTTCCTCCTGGATTGGTAGCTTTTGAAGTGAGACATAAAAGCGTCTGGCTTTTTGAGGTTATGATGCTCCAGTCAGCTGTGGCTGAAGTCTTTGATCCTGGCCATTTTTCGCATGATTCAAAGTCCCCACAGCTCACATGCCTTTATTTTTAACCCCAGGCCTCTGCTGGTGCAAAAACTTTCTTAACACATCTGTGTTTCCTTACTGGACACATGGACACTTCTGGGTCCCTTTCTCCCAACTTCCAGCACACAGAGATCAGAATGACTTCCAGCTCACCTGTGTAGCTGCTTTTTGCCTATTTTACTGCACTATTACCCTGCAATTTTGGGAGAAGTGGCAGTCTGTGGAGCATCTCCTAAAGGCCTGAAAGTGGGCCAATACCCCTCAATCCCTCAGGTTCCCCATATAGCTAATTCTTTCTACTCCTGTATCTATGAGTTCATCCTCTGGAGGCATTAATTCCTGCACGTTTGACTTAGAGCTGCCTATGTCTCCTGTCTCTTCCCATAATCCATGGGACCAAAAGTCTTTGACTTTTGCCAAATCCTTTGAGTCTGGTTGGGATCCCCCCCACCGCCTCCAATAATATTCTGTATTTATGTTAGCCAGGGCTACCTCTTTTTATGATAAAGGTCAGAATAATGAAATTCAGAAAAGCTTTTTCTCTGAACAGCTCTCTACTAAAGAGGTCATGAAAGTCAGCTTTAAGACTCAAAGCTGGCTGAGGCAGGAGAATGGCGTGAACCCGGGAGGCGGAGCTTGCAGTGAGCCGAGATCGCGCCACTGCACTCCAGCCTGGGCGACAGAGCGAGACTCCGTCTCAAAAAAAAAAAAAAAAAAAAAAAAAAAAAGACTCAAAGCTGATCAATGACCTCTTTATTCTAGGAAATAAGTAAAGATTGCAGAACGTATAGATTTTCTGTGAAGATTAAATGACATAAAGCAGGCCAAGTCCATAGCACAATGCTTACCATAGAGTGATCACTCACTGCATGTTGGCTGTTATGATTGTTGTGGTTATTCCCCTGTCATCAAAGGAGAGATTCCCAGTCATTTCTTAAACGTCAATTTTTCTGTTCAAAGAATGCTTTTGAATATTGTTCTGGATATGAGGTTTCTCAGCACGGCCTTACTCAGTCTTCTCAGACAGACCTTCCCTTTTCCTCCTCTCTATAACTTACCCAGAATTCCAATGAATTCCCCCGCATATTCCCTTTGCATACTCCTCCTGCCTACCCCATCTCCTTACCCTCCCTGGATATCATTCTCCTGGTATATTTCTCTGCATATTCTTCCTAGTTTTCAGCTCTCTCCTAACCTGAATATTTAGAAGTAATTAAATCCCTCTGTCTTATTTTGCATGATTCTTGTCTTTCACACATTTGTAACTTCATCTGTAAGAGCTAAACCTTTCTCTTATAAACGTTTCTAATTGTTTAATTCTTATTGTGTTCCTAATAGGCTTTCAGTCACCTTTAAAGCTAAAATATTTTTCTTTTAGCTTAAAATACCTCACGGTCCTGCCATCTGCTTTGTCTGCGGTTTCTGTTAGCAATATGATTTCCATTCCCAAATGATTCTGGATGATACTATTTTTTGCCTTTGCATTTGAAACTATTCTTCTTAGACATGGCAGAAACTGGGAGGTACGTGAGTACTCCAAACTCAAGCTCCACAGGTCATTATTTAGTCCTTTCTTTTGCATTTTAGACAATCCCAATCTGCTGCCTTTCAGAAGCCAGTGTTTACTAAAGACATAAAGTATGAAAAATAAGAACAAGATTTTCCTCAAAGAGATTAGACAATTCAAATTAATCTATAGTACATCATTTACAACACCTTTTTAAAAATAGTGAAACAAACCGCATTATTGTGGATTCAAAAAATGGATCTGAAGATTTTAAGGCAAAATATAAAAAGCTATTAATTGTTTTTCCTTCCCCTTGTGTGAATTTGGGCCTTACTTTAAGATGGCTCAGAGATTTATATTCTCTCACCTGCCCCATTAATTAAAGTGTGAGGTGTACTTAGTTGAGACTTTTTATGAATCAGTGGCTTTAAGAATATTAAAAACATAGGAATTCAGAGGTCTGACACTAGATTTGCCTACCATAAATTGAAAAGTGGCTTGATATTTACTAGATTGAGAAGAAATTCCATAGTGAAAATTAAAACTGTATTCCCTTTTATCTACTAGTTATTTGACATTATTTCTTTAAGTAGAATATTTTTTGAAAGAACAAATATTGTAAAATGGGTTTTATGTAATTCTTTTGAATCCTAACTACTAACTTGAGGATATTGCCATTTACTTCTGGGAGAATATTTTGCCTGTGGTTAGCTATAGTCACCTTGTTGTTGTTGTTGTTGTTTCATTATGTAGACATGATTGATTAAATAACTGGCCACATAATCGAATATAATTTCCAACCCCTTGTTTTCCTAGGATGCCTGGCAGATGAAAGTCTAACCCTTAAGTCATATGTTCCATCTTTCAAATGACCATCTTCCATCTTGAAATTATGTAAGAGTCTACCAAAACTCATCTATTAGTATAACAAAGACACTTTTTTTTTTTTGAGCTGGAGTCTCACTTTGTCATCGAGGCTAGATTGCAGTGGTGCAATCTTGGCTCACTGCAACCTCCATCTTCCGGGTTCAAGTGATTCTCCTGCCTCAGCCTCCAGAGTAGCTGAGATTACAGGCACAAGATTATGGATTATAACACCAAAAAAATATTGTCCCTATGTATTAGGTATCATGTAGTTTTTAGGATTTTTGAAACTATACATGGCTTCCTTGGAATTTGAAAGGATGAGTAAAATTTCTAGGTGATAATATTGAAGATCTTTCTTACTGGTCTTTTATTGGTTACCGTGGTGACCTTGCAGCAGGACTACAAACGGAGAGGAATGGGCCAAATTTCCTATCCATTGTTTTTAAAGAAAGCAAGTCCGGCAACATCTGACTTTCATGTCATGTTTGTTGTATGATCAATAGAATCATACTAAATTCTGAGGCTCAGTTACCTTCAGTGTTCTTTGATCAAATCTATCACCCTAAGGCTAATGAGTTTCAAGGCTGGGGGTGGAAAATGGATCAAGTTCCTGTTCATAATTTACTATAATATGGCAGGCTTGGGCAAAAAAATTATCAGAATATAATTCAACTGAGAAAAAAGTAAACTTGTTGATGTTAGTGACATGACAGGTAGCTGTGGCCATGATTTGAAAGAATGTATGTGATTTGAAAGAATGTATGTGTGAAAGAATATATGGGGTATCAGGTCCTAGGGAATTTGGAAATTATTTTACTGGAAAGCAAATGACTTTAGCTGATAAAGTTTGTGGTGGCAAAGCAGAAACGATGAGGGTTGGATTAAGAAGAAGTCAATAGACTTCTAAATCACTTCGTTAACACTATTTTTTATGTTCTCATTGCATATGTGAAGTAACTGACTCTCTTGGCCCTGATAGGGGTGAGGAAATGGGAAGGTGAGGTATGTTATATAATACATATACATATATTTTTTGGTCCCTGATTCCTGGTACACAGCTTCAAAAATGCTTAGGATTTTCTGACTAAAAAGAATGTCTTTAGGCTGGATGCAGTGGCTCACACCTGTAATCCCAGCACTTTGGGAGGCCAAGGCAGACAGATCACCTGAGGTCAGGAATTTGAGACCAGCCTGGCCAACATGGTGAAACCCTTTCTCTACTAAAAATACAAAAATTAGCCAGACATGGTCATGGCGAGTGCCTGTAATCCCAGCTACTCTGGAGGCTGAGGCAGGGGAATCACTTGAACCCGGAAGATGGAGGTTGCAGTGAGCTGAGATTGCGCCACTGCACTCTAGCCTCAAAGACAAAGTGAGACTCCAGTTCAAAAAAAAAAAGTGTCTTTGTTATACTAATAGATGAGTTTTGGTAGACTCTTACATAATTTCAAGATGGAAGATGGTCATTTGAAAGATGAAACATATGACTTAAGGGTTAGACTTTCATCTGCCAAGCATCCTAGGAAAACAAGGGGTTGGAAATTATATTCGATTATGTGGCCAGTTATTTAATCAGTCATGTCTACATAATGAAACAACAACAACAACAACAACAAATCTTTGGACACTGAGGCCCAGTAGAGTGTCCTAGTTGGTGAACACATTCATCTGGTTGAGAAATACCGATATGCAAGTAGAGTATGCCCTGACTCCACAGGGAAATGGCACAGATGCTTTCTGTTTGTTAGCCTCCCAGAGCTCACCTTATTATCCTTTATGATAAATCTGTAATCTTAAATATAATACTTTCAGTGAGTTCTGTGCATTGTTCTAGCAAATTATTGAACATGCAGGGACTATTGGAATATCTGTATTTTTAGCCAGCCAGACAAACACTAGCACTGGATGGTTAGCATCAAAATTGTATTTCAGTATCCTCATTTGGTGTTACACCAATGAAGGTGGAAACAGAATAGAAGGGGAAGAATCCTGGTTTTCTGATAAGTGTCTTCTGATTAAGGATGCATAGAGATAATGTCTTTGAATATAAATAGATATTTTTCTGCTTTATTTTCTGGCAAAGTCACTTCCCATTATAGTTAAGAGGAACTTTTCAGAAGTACTTTTCAATATAAGGTGAGAGCAACTTGGTAAATGGGTTTTTCTGAAAGCTGATGCATAACAGCTGCAGTAAGGAGGGCTGTGTAGTGAGGTGAAATTTGAAAACAATCACTTGAGAGTAAAAATAAAGCTTGAAAGATTAAACAAGACTTTTATTCTGATATCCATAGGATCCCACTGAATGACTTTGAGTAAGATAGCAACATTTTTAAAGGATCACTTTAGCTTCTGTGTTGAGAATAGGAAAAGCATAGGAATGGCAAGTGCAAACACAGGTGACCAGTAAAGATGCTATTGCAATAATTTGTGTAAGTGATGATTATAACAATGAGACAGCAGTTGCTAAAGTAAAGGGAAGGGTCAAAAGTAGTATATAAAGTTTTAAATGAAATTACTCATGTAACCAAAAGCAATTTTAAACTTTCTAAATTACCAGGAGTAAAATACACACATACATACACACATATGCACAAATGAATTACTACCTATCTGTAAGTAAATGCAGTCTCATCCCAGATATTGAAAGATAAAGAACATTGTGTGTGTGTGTGTGTATATGTATATACACGTATATATGTATGTGTGTATGTGTATATACACGTATATATATGTATGTGTGTATATGTATATACACGTATATATATGTATATGTGTATATATATATGTGTGTATATATATATATACACACACACATATACCACATTTTCCTTGTCTATTAATATCTGTTGAACATTTAGGTTATTCCGTTGTCTGCATATATTGGCTATTGTGAATAATGTTGCAATAAAAATGGGAGTGAAGATATTGCTGTAGAAGTCATAATTTTGATTATTTTGTATGTGCTGGATTATCTGATAGCTTATTTTTAACTTTTGGAGGAACTCCATACTGGTTTCCATAAGTCCTGCACCGTTTTACATTTCTACCAAAAGTATACAAAGTGTTCCAATTTCTTCACATTCTCACTGAGATTTCTTTTTTAAAAAAATTTCTCTTTTTAAAAAATACAGCAATCCTAAGACACATAAAGTGACAATTTAATTATAGTTTACTGAAGATTACTAATACTAAGCTTCTTTGCATATACCTATTGTTCGTTTGTATGTCTTGTTTGGAGGAATGTCTGTTCCATCCTTTGCCCATTTTTAATGAGTTTATTTTAATTTATTCCATTTTATTTTATTTGCTATTATCAGATATACCTCTTGGAAATATTAACTCCATTTCCCTGGGTTTCGGTCACATTCTGTTGATTATTTTCTTTGCTGTGCAGAAGTCTTGCAGTTTGATGTCCTCCCACTTGCTTATTTTTTTCTTCTGCTGCTTGTGCTTTTCACATTAATCCAAAGAAACCATTGCCATAATAAATATCATGAAGCATTCCCCTATGTTTTCCTTTAGGAGTTTTACAGTTTCAGGTCTATACTTAAATCTTTAATTCATTTGAGTTGATTTTTATATATGGTGTAAGTATCTAGTCTCATTCTTTCACATGTGGATATTTATTTTCCTCAGCACCACTCCTTGAAGAAACCATTCTTTCTCCAATGTGTAGCCATCATCCCTTCAGAACTAGAAATCTGTAGCTAATCAAAGTGACCTTTTGACTTCTTCACCACACATGCCTAGTTATTTGCCAATTCCTCTCCATTTTTCCTCCCAAATATTTCCAAACCTGAAATCATACTCTGTTAACTAGCTCCTGCTTTATTAGGGGCTACTACTAATTCTTACTTGAGTAACAAAAATAAATTTTTTTTTTAAACAAGGATTCCCCCATTCCCCCTGTCTCTTCTCCAGTCTATTTTTTATTCTGGACCAGTTATATTTCTAGAAATATTATTATACCATTCTTCTGCTAAAAATCTATAATTGCCTCTCCATTGTTTATAGGAAACCATTCAAACGTCTTCATGTGGCTTTCAAGGTCATTCTGCTTTATGCTGACTTTTCCAAATTCATCTCTAGCTACTCATTCCCACTCACATTTTAAACTGTAGCTGTCCTTCCTGTTTATTTCTGGAAAGGGCCATTGTTTTATCTTTGCCATCAGTTTTCTGTCTTAGTACATTTCCTATTGCTTATAACAGAATACGTGTGACTGAGTAATTTACAAAGAAAAAGATTTATTTCTTACAGTGATGGAGGTTGAGAAGTCCAAGGCTGAGTGTACGCATCTGGTGAGAGTCTTCTTGCTAGTGGAGACCCTCGGCAGAATCCAAGGCAGTGCAGATCATCACATGGAGAGGGGGCTGATTGTGCTACCCCAGGACTGTTTCTTTTTATAAAACCACCAGTCCCACTCCCACGGTAACCCAATAATCCACCTCTCAATATTGCCACATTGGGGATTAAATTTCAACATGATTTTGGGAGGTGACAAATATTCAAACCATAGCACTGTCCTTCCACTGCTTCCTCTCATCCTTGATTCCTTCCTTCCTTCTTCCTTTCTGTAATGTACCAAATATGAACTGTTCTCCTTTACATGATGTATTTTCTTTACCCCCTTCACTCCTGACTCCTCTACTCCTTTCTTATATCTTGCAGCTATCAATTTGTCCATTCCTCAGGAAAACCTTCCTTTAACCTTCAAATCTGGTATCCTAACAATATATCCTACTTGTCTCATTATACCATATTTTTAACACATATACATTATTCTTAAAATACATATTTGAACAAATATGTTTCTCATAAATTTATTCTCTATATTTTACATATATATTTGTCTCTACAAATCTCTCATTTTCACAAATAAAAAAGTTCAATTAATTACTCAAAATAGGAATAATATAAACTATTTTCTCTCAAAAACACTAGATGCTGAGAGAGAGAGAGAGAGAGACAGAGAGACAGAGAGAGAGAGGAGAGACAGAGAGAACTGAAAATTAAATATGTTTTTCATAAGCAACTATTGAATAAAAGAAAAAAGATAAAAGTTGAGATTGCAAAATAGGACATAATGATAGTGACTAAAATGATCCTGAAAAAAATTCATAGACTTAAATGCTCAAATAAATAAATGCATAATGATCAATCCTTGAAAACATCTTAATTCTCAGTCTTTACAATCAGCTCTGGCAATCAGATAAAATATTTAGAGAAGAATTTTTGGCAACTCCTAAATATGGTATCTGCTTATATTTCCTTTAATTATTATTCTATATTGTGTATGAGGTTTCTATTTGGTGTGCTCCATGTTTTATGGCTTTCTATTCTATCTTTTCTTCTCTTTATCACCTTTTCTTGCAGATGTTAGGAGGGCAGGGTGTGTGTAAGTTTCCAGGACACTTAGCTCGGAAACTGAACCACAGAATTCTTTTTTGTTTGTTTGTTTGTTTTTTTGAGATGGAGTCTCGCTCTGTCACCCAGGCTGGCGTGCAGTGGCACGAACTCGGCTCACTGCAAGCTCTGCCTCCCGGTGAACCACAGAATTCTTAAGCCCAGCATAGATGAATGAGATGACTAGAGCTGGCTAATAGGCTAGGTTTTTTTTGTGATGTTCACATGGAAATAAAAGACAGAAAGGGAGGGGCTTTTGTAAAAAAAAAAAAAAGGTCGATTTAGGGAATTATTCATTCATTAGGATATACAGATTTAAAATACAGGGTCCTAATATGAGTCACAAGAAGCCCTAGTGTGTAAAAATTTCATAAACTCCACTGGAAAAGAAATTTTGAATCCCCTGAATTCAGCTAGTTATAATAGCTATATTGATGAATAATGGCCATCCTGTCTTTCTCTTTTTTTCCCCTAGCGCTCCTTTTAAGAAATCTTTGTGGGGAACTTGAAATATGTTTGTTTGAGACAGACTACTGGCCTCTTTCTGTGTGACAATGGACGGGGAAAGGCGAAGATTCCAATTTTTTTTTTTCTATTTAGCAAGTAATAGGTAATTAATGATTTTTGACATATGATAGTGAGCATTAAGATATATGTCGATGGCCCCCTTGAATTATAAAGGATTAAGACAAGGTCACATAAAAGATACAATCATAAGCCTCTCACTTTGTCTCACTTCTTATAAGGGTGAGTTGAAACATGTTTTTAATATTGGAGCCATAACATCTTTGAGCAAATGGCTTTCTCGGTATCATGCATTAACTGGGTCATTGACTGACTCATAACGTATGAAAAATGCTAACCGATCAATACAATCCCCTCCATGTCTATAGCCAATTGAGGTTTCTGTTATTTCATGACATCCTGTACACCAACCCGCTGCAACAAGACTGCAAATAGAATATGTTGCCTTCTGGTTCCAATCTCAGTATTCTTTGGCAGATATTTATTTCCAATTATATTAAACATCATTTTGTGAGTAGAGGTGCATACATTAAAATGATATTTGGTACATATTTCTGACTATACTTTGTCATCATTGACCAAAAGCAGGTGAAAGAGAGTTAAGAACAAAAAAATAACTGCTTGCCTACAAATAGGCCAATATGTAACCTCCCCACTAAACTCTTCATCAAGTAATGTGGCACAGATTTGTTTTTGAACATTCATTAATATTAGATGCTATAGGAGACCAAAGGGAATAAGGACGCACATTTAGGTTATTTACATAATATTTGGGTAGCTAGATGTTTTATATTTTGCTGGAGACTTTTTGTATAAACAAATATGTAAACTTTTATCTGTCTACTTATTTCTGGATTTTTTGTTCCGATCAGAAAAATCAGTTTGACCAAATATTATATAAATAATCCACATATTTAAACAAGAAAAATTTGCTTTACTTGAAAGGAAAACACTGCTAACTTCCTACATAAAATTCTCCTAAAAATCAGTGAGAGAAAGGCTAACATTCAAGAAGTAAGAACATAGCATCATCAGATATATTTTTCAAGATATAATATCAATATATGCCCTTCAATTTTAATACAATATTGAATATGTGCAAAATTATCCATCAACCAGGGATGGTTAAATGAGTATGGGACATCTAAAAATGCAACTTTGTGGAGATAATAAATGGATGGTGAAGATTGTTCACTCTCTCACTGTCTTGCTTTTTAATGTTCACCAAAATAAGTCATATTCTCATGGTTGGCTTCAGAATATTTATTTTTAAATTATTTTTTCTTTTTACTTTTGAAAGATATTTTTCTTATGAAGTTAATTTTAACAATCCAAATATTTGAAATTAACTCTATCAATCTGATTGTTTAATCTTCCAGTTTTTCTATATATGCTTTTTCATACCTTATTGGAGTTAAATAAAAAGTATTATAACATTTATATTCCATGTCCTAATTTGTGTTTGTGGATATTTGATATTTCTACTTGCCCTACTTTTGTTTATATAACTTAAGGTTCCAATCATTACTTTCATATGGGCCATTGAATTTCAAAATAATTTCATAAATTGATTTGCTAAAATTGATGAAGCCTCTCAGGAATATAAAAGCGTTTTTAATGGACTTCATGTTAGAGCAAATGCTACTATTAAACCTGAAATGTTAAATTGTTTACAAAAAACAGCTCATTGAACCCCCTCTTCCAAACTGTCTTTTTTGCCTCATAAAATTTACCAGAATCCAATGACAATGTGTATACATTTTTTTTGTTGTGTTGTTATAGTTAACATGTAAAGACACATAATCGGTTATATATTTAAATGTCAAATTTTCAAATCATACCAGTCACTATCTTTTATCTCACTCTCTAAGTCAGGAGTTTTCAATTTATTCATACTTTAGTCAATGTTTATGACTTTCTGTGTATGATTATAAATGATTTTTTTTTCCAGAAGGTAGACAAATTTTGCAATGATTACTTTCTGGCAATCAGAATCCTGAATTTCATTTTCTGCCAAGGATTGTTACAACTACACACGAACTACAACTAGAAGCTGAGTTGCATCATGCATACCTATTGTGAGAAAGCTGTCATTTTGAACATTTGCAGCTATTTGGAAGCTTTTATTTTCCAAAAATATGTACTTTTATAGCTTCATTCTAGCTATTAATTTTCTAAGTTTTTGCTTTGTCCATTGTTGTTATTATTGGGAATAACATTTTTTCTTGGGTGGGAATTTATTTTATGTGAGTTTGATTTATATATTCTTTGAAGATTCAAATCTTTGGGTTGATAGCCCATAATTTGTTTATTAAGAGACAATGGATATTTACAGAAATAAAATGATCAATTGCCATGGAGATGAGCATATCACCATAGCAACTTACATCATGTATGTGTGTATGAAAAATTCTGAGGGGTGGGTCAGGAAGATAGTGTGTTTGTGTGTGTTTTTTGAATTCGCAAAGGCTGAAGAAGTCATTTATCTTCTTCTAATTAGAGACTATCTTAGCAATTTGTTGAAGAAATAGATTAACAGTCACCTTGTCAGTTTGAGTGTTTTGCTCTGTGTTTAAAACATACTCATTCTATAGATTAGTTCTTCTCTTGCTGATCCACTGATAATATCCTGATATTTTGGAGTTCATAAATAGCATTTCCAATTATTTGTACAGTGGGTCAGCTTAATTAATAATAATAATAAAACACTGCAGGGCATTCCGAACACCGTAGGACACAAAGAGAATATGATAGATAGAGAATAGACAATTAAATTTCTGAGATAAAATGGAGACAGGGACAGTGACACAGGTAGATACCAACAAAAAAATTAAATTTCTCATCCTAGTTAAATTTTACGTTTTAACGATCCCAAACTTAGAATTATATTGAGAAATACAAAAGTGGTGTAGATTATGTTCACAATTAATAAGCCCCCTTTCCTTCCACTTGCCTGTAAGAATATTGATTATACATCTTTGCATGCTGCCATGTGACTTCAATGCACAGAAATATACCCCCCATTACTTTGACTTTGGGCTAGGTTTGTAACCTGCTTTGACCATTGGAATGTGAGTGGAGTTCACCAATGCTATGTGGGAGCAGAAGCTTTAAGAGACATTGTGGTGCTCTGCCAGCCCTTTACCTCTCTTTTTCTTTGCACAAAAATGATGTCTCAATCCTCTCAGCCTGAGTCCTGGAATAGAGGATATGTGGAGCACAGTCCTTGCAATTCTCAACCACCATTATGTACTCTGGAATAATACATATTACATAAGCTACTTTGTTTTGCTTATGATTGCATATTTAGCAGATATACTAAAGTGACTGACTAATTTATGTTGTTCAGTCATTTCTCATCTCTCCTCCCTCCGCCATTCTTTACGTCCTTTCGGTAGAGCTGACTCCACCCCAGCACTGTGGCTTATGCTGGATCGACCAGAGTGTTGCTTTCTTCATATGGTCTATTGAGACAATAAAACCTCAGCCGAAATTGTTGGAAGAGACCCATCACATCCCTCATTGCTACCTGGGGACAGAGAGTGGAATAAAAGTTGGTCCTGCTGCAGCAACTTGCATCAATGAAGAGAGAGTCAAACTAAGAAGAGCTGTTAAATCAAGTAGTATCTGAAGCCATTAACCTTCAATTATGGGAAATAAATATTTTCTATTCTTGCAACCTATCCAGTTGGGTGTTTTGGTCACTTTGCTCTAGAGAATAAACAATTATATTTTCCCAAATTTCTATTATGTATCTAAGAATTTGGTTATATTAATGCTGCAGATTGGCACATAATGATCAATGACTCAATCTTTATGTGGAGTTTGGTTTTAATGAAATGTATCTATTGTCATTTTATTTTTCTAGAGTTCTATTTTGTCTTATGTAATCATCGTTGTACACATTGGCTACATTTTATTATGTGTTGCCTCATTTTTATGTTTTTGTCTTTTTTTCTGTCTTTTCATCTTAAGTGTTTCAAGAAAACAACAAATATATGGGTGTTGTTTTTGAGCTAAATATAATATTTATCTTAAGTACTTTTATATTTCTTATTTTTAAAAATTTTTATTTTCGATTCAGTGGGTACATGTGCAGGTTTCTTATGCAAGTATATTGTGTGATGCTAAGGTTTGGGCTTCTATTGATCCCATTACCCAGATAATGAACATAGTACTCAATAGAAGTTTTTCAGCCCTTTTTCCGCTCTCCCTTCCTCTTTTTGGAGTCCCCAGTGTCTATCGTTTTCATCTTTATGTCTGTGTGTACCCAGTGTTCAGCTCCCATGTATAAGTGAGGATATGCAGTATTTGGCTTTCCGTTTCTGTGTTACTTCACTTGGGATAATAATCTCCAGCTGCATCCCTGTGACTACAAAGGACATTATTTCATTCTTTTTTATGGCTGCATAGTATTCCATGGTGTGTGTACCACATTCTCTTTATTCAATCCACCATTTATGGGCACCTAAATTGATTCCATATCTTTGCTTTAAATACTTTTAAAGTGATTGTGTATTTTGAAGTTTTATTTTTCCTTTGTGTAGGTTTTAACTGTTCTCCTTTGCTGTTTTTTAAATTATAATAGATCTATTATTCTTTTCATATTTTTTTTTGCCCTATGTGTAACTTAAATCATCTAGTTTGATTTTTTTGGTTAATTCTCTTAGGTTATTATATTTTAAAATTATATTAGACCACACTATACACAATGTTCTCCATGATGCTTTTTTAACATAAGAAAATAAGATGATTGCCCTTTTATATTGATCACTTCAGTGTAATACCCACATACTTACTTTAATTGCTTCCTAGTAAGCTTTAGTTTGTCATTTTTTTAAGAAAATCTCCTCATTTCACTGATTTATTTTTAAATGCAATATTGAAATGAATATTTTTGTGCATGGAGATTTTTGTGAAGCAACCTAAGTATTTCTTTAATGGAAATCACTGTAACTTTATATTATAGGTCAAACAGTATAAGTTTTTTTAAAGCCTTTGCTACACTTTGCCAACTTACTCTCCAGAATAGTTCCACCAATAAACACTGCCACTGTGAGTGCATGCAAATGCCTTTCTTCTCACACATTCATTCTAACGTTGTCCATCTGATGAGTATAAATTATCTTCATGCTTAAAATATGTTTCCATAGATAGTTCTCAATCAAAATCAAGAATACACAAGTATCTTTTAGTGAGGACTAGGACGGGAAGAATTCAGACTCAAAAGCAGACTGCAAAAAAATCAAACCCTGTCTTATCTGTTTGCCGGTTGCTGACTTATTTTATCTGTATAATGGGAGAAATATAGGATCTATTTTATAGGGTTTGTGCAAAGATTAAATAAGTAGAGTGATTAGCAGACTATCTGTGTATAGGAAATACTACATAAATATTGACTACTGTATTATTATATGTAAGATTAAATGTTCCATATATTTAGATTTTCTTCTTGCTTTTTATTACTTTTCTTTACAAAATTGTAGAACTTTATACTTACATGTTGTTCTGTACTTTCCTTCCTTGCCTTTCATTTATTACTTTAAAAACTTTCATTAAAATGTCAGCAATGGTTTATGCTTTATAAATTACTTTTAATAGTTTGGTTGTTTATCATAATTTCTTCTCAAGTAGTGCACTTCAGAACTTAAAGATGTAAATTCTTATGCTCTACTCCAGATACATTGAACTAGACATGCTGGAGTGGGGAAGGTACAATCCATGGTTTACAAGCTTTTCAGGTGGTTTTGATGCATACTCAAGTTGAGAGCCACCGCTTTAAACTACTCTGCAGCGAATAAGGGAAGCAAAGGAAAGTGTTATGACTCTAGTCTCTGAAATCAGGTGATATAGTTTGAAAACTGGGTCTATTACTAAGCTATGTGACCTTGAGCAAGTTAATGTTTCTGTCTCAGTTTCTTTCTTTTTGTAAAGTGGAGATAAAAGAGTTATGAAAATTATATGAAATAACATTTTTAAGCAGTTCAAGTAGAACCTACTCCAAGGAAATGCTTCAGTGAATACTAACTAATTTATCTGCCTTTGCATGAGTCCTTGATAGTTCTTTATAACTTAGTCAATAGGACTATTTGGTCAACATACGAGATTTTCTGAATCTGTCATTTATTTTCTTTCCCATGCAACATGAAAATGTTAACAAATGATACAAAAGGGAAAGGTATAGGATCAGTATTTTAGTACATATTCTTATCTTATTCCTGGTTAAAGATAAGTATCTTTAAGTATACCTAACTCATTAACTCAGTAATTTCTTCTTTTTCTCACTCCAACTTCAATCAGAGCAGTTCTTCTTTCATCTATATTGATAGAGATTTTCCACATAAAATTTTATTTAAATAAAGAACTGTGCCCAGAAGAAAAGATAAAAAAATCCAGTAATCTAGTCTAATCCTTACATGTTAACAATGAGGAAACTGGGACCCTTTAAAGTGAAGTTCATATGCAAGGTCACAAGGCATAATCAAAAATCAAAATCAAAGCACTGGAGCTCTGATGTCTTGAGATTTTATTTTTCAGTAGTTCCAATTGGCAGCATGTGGCTAGAAACATGTCTATGTGCTTGCTAGTTTCTGATGGGAAGGGGATTAGAGTGTTACAGTGTGTAAATAAGTAAAACTTTGTTTAATTTAGGCCTTTTCCTTTATTCTACAGCATATAGCCACTAAACAAATGGTGAAAAGGCAAGAAATTTTGGATTTCTCAGTCTTGAGATTTTCTGCCTAAAGACTTCCTATTTGGGGAAGTCATCCGCTGTGTTTCTTTATTATTGACTCAGTTAAATTATACCTATAACTTTCTATTATATCCTGAGATTTATACAGCTGCTTTATTATATTCATAGTTTATATGTTATATATAATATTTATGTATTATAGATATATTTAACATATATTTAACATTTAAAAAAACCTTTATGTAAATTCCATTGTACATGTGCAAGTTTGTTATTGGTAAATTGATGCCATGGAGATTTAGCATACAGATTATTTCATCACCTTGGTGATAAGCATAGTACCTAATAAGTAGTTTTTCAATCCTCACCCTCATCCCACTTTCCATCTTTGAGTAGGCCCTGGTGTTTGTTGTTCCCTACTTTATGTCCCTATATTCTCAATGTTTATCTCCCACTTATAAGAGAGAACATTTGATATTTGTTTTTCTGTTCTGCCTGTTTCTGTGTCAGTTTGCTTAGGATAATGGCCTCCAGCTCCATTCATTTTCCTGCAAAATATGCGATCTAACTCTTCTTCATGGCTGCATAGTATTCCATGGTGTATATGTATTACATTTTCTTTATTCAGTCTACTGTTGATGGGCACTTAAGTTAATTCCATATCTTTGCTACTGTGAATAGTGCTGTAATGAGCATACACATGCATGTGTCTTTGTGGTAGAATGATCTATATTCATTAGGATATATACCCAATAATGGGATTGCTAGGTCAAATAGTAATTCTACTTTGAATTCTTTGAAAAAATCTCCAAACTGCTTTCCACAATGGCTGATCTAATTTACATTCCCACCAGTAGTACACAAACTGTTCCCTTTCCTCACAACCCTGCCAGCATGTTATTTTTTTACTTTTTCATAATAGCTATTCAGACTGGTGTGAGATAACATCTCATTGTGCTTTGGATTGCATTTCTCTAATGATTAGTGATGAACGTTTTTTAAATGCTTGTTGATCATGTGTATGTCTTTTTTTGAAAAGTGTCTGTTCATGTCCTTTGCCCACTTTTTAACGGGGTTTTTGCTTGCTTGTTGATTTAAGTTCCTTTTAGATTCTGAATATTAGACCTTTCTCACATGCATAGATTGCAAACATTTTTTCCCACTCTATGGGTTGTCTGTTTCCTCTGTTGATAGCTTCTTTTGCTATGCAGAAGCTATCTATTTTAATTAGGTCTCATTTGTCAATTTTTCTTTTTGTTGCAATTGCTTTTGGCATCTTTGTCATGAAATCTTTGTCAGGGTATATGTCCAGAATAGTATTTCCTAGGTTATCTTTCAGGGTTTTTATAGTTTTAGGTTTCAGATTTAGTGATTAGTCCACCTTGTGTTGATTTTTGTTGTATGGTGTAAGGAAGTGGTTCAGTTTCAATCTTATGCATATGGCTAGCCAGTTATACCAACACTACTTACTGAGTCCTTTCTCCACTGCTTGTTTATGTTGAATTTGTGAAGATCAGATGGTTTATAGATATGTGGTATTATTTCTGGACTGTCTACTCTGTTCCATTGATCTATGTCTTTGTTTTTGCAACAGTACCATGCTGTTTTGCTATTTGTTGCCTTTCAGTATATTTTGAAGTTGAATAATGTGATGACTCCAGCTTTGTTCTTTTTGCTTAGGATTGCCTTGGCTGTTCTGGCACTTCTTCCCAGATTTTTCTAATTCTGGGAAGAGTGTCACTGATAGTTCGATAGGAATAGCACTAAATCTGTAAATTTCTTTGGGCAGTATGGCCATTTCAACAATGTCTCTTCATATCCATGAGCATGGAATGTTTTTCCATTTGTTTGTGTTGTCTTTGATTTATTTGAGTAGTGTTTTGTATTCTTGTTTTGGAGATCTTTCACCTCCCTGGTTAGGTGTATTCCTAGGTATTTTATTCTTTTTTTTCTGACTATCGTGAATGAGATTGCATTCTCGATTTAGCTTTCTGTTTGGATATTATTGGTATATAAGAATGCTACTGATTTTCATACGTTGATTTTGTATCCAGAAAGTTTGCTGAAGTTGTTTATTACATCAAGAGTTTATGGTCGGAGATGATGGGGATTTCTAGGAACAGACTCATATCATCTGTATACAGGAATAGTTTTACTTCCTCAATTCTTATTTGGATGCCTTTTATTTCTTTCTTTTGCCTGATTGCTCTGACTATGACTGACAGTACAATGTTGAATACTAGTGGTGAGAGATGGAATCCTCATCTCCTGCTGGTTTTCAAGAGGAGTGTTTCCAGCTTTTGCCCATTTAGTATAATGTTGGCTGTGGGTATGTCATAGATGGCTCTTATTATTTTGAAGTATATTTGTTCAATGCCTAGTTTGTTGAGAGTTTTTTTTAAACATAAAGCAATGTTGAATATTATTAAGAGCCTTTCCTGCATCTATTCAGATAATCATGTGAATTTTGTTTTTAGTTCTATTTATGTGTTGAATCACATTTATTGATTTACATATGTTGAACCAACCTTGCATCCCAGGGATAAAGCCTACTTGCCTGTGATAGATTAACTATTTGATGTGTTATTGATACAGGAACTAAAAATAAATTATTTATCCAGATGGTGATGTTAATGAGTCTCAGCAAGGCTTCCTTTTTAACAAAGAGCAGCCTGTAAAATCAAGCTGCAAACATAGATAAACAAGCTGGAAACTTGCACAGGTGAATGCTGGCAGCTGTGCCAATAGGAAAAGGCTACCTGGAAGCCAGGTATGTTCAACATGGAGGCTCCATCTTCCCTTTTCTTTGTCACCACGTGTACAGTAAAAGAAAGCAGGCAACATGGCACGAACTAGGTAGAGAACCCATATGCATAATAAAAGTTTAGAGTGGGGCAGCCAGCTTCTTTGTGTACTATGCAAATGGTACACGTGGTCCAACCAATCTTTCATGCCCTATGTAAACCAGACAAGCTCATCTATAAAACTTCTGCAGATTTTTTTCTCGAAGACCCTTTTCTGCACAGAGAGTTTTTCTCTTTCTTTCACCTATTAAACTTCCACTCTCAACCTCACTCTGGTGTGTCTGCATCCTAGTCTTCCATGGCCATGGGACAATGAATCTCAGGTATCACCCTAAACAGTGATGTCATTTCACTATTGGGTTCAGTTTGCTAGTATTTTCTTGAGAATTTTTGCATCCATGTCCATCAAAGATACTGGCCTGAAGTTTTCTTTTTTTGTTGTGCCTCTGCCAGGTTTTGGCATCAGGATGATAACAAATGAGTTAGGAAATAGTCCCTCCTCCTCAATTTTTTGGAATAATTTCAATAGGAATGGTACCAGCTCTTCTTTATATGCCTGGTAGAATTTGGTTATGTATCCATCTGATCCTGGGATGAATTTTTCTGGTTTGTAGACTTTTTATATCTGACACAATTTTAGATCTCATCTGTTCAAGGATTCAATTTCCTCCTGGTTCAACCTTGGGAGATAGTATGTTTAGAGGAATTTATTCATGTCTTCTAGGTTTTCTAGAATGTGTTCACAGAGGTATTCATAGCAGTCTCTGAGGGTTTTTTTGTATTTCTGTTGGGTCAGTGGTAGTATCTCCTTTGTCATTTCTGGTTGTGTTTATTTGGATCTTCTCTTCTTTTTTCTTTATTAGTCTAGCTGGTAGTCTATATATCTTAATTATTTCAGAGAAAAAATTAATCATTCATTGATCTTTTGTATGGTTTGTTACTTCCAATTTTCTTCAGTTCAGAGCTTTGATATTGGCTATTTCTTATCTTTTGCTACATTTGGTGTTCGTTTGCTCTTGGTTCTCTAATTCCTCTAGTGGTGATGTTAGGTTGTTAATTTAAGATCTTTCTAAATTTTTGATGTGGGCTTTTACTGCTAAAACTACTCTCTTAACACTGCTTTAGTTGTGTTCCAAAGATTCTGGAATGTTGTGCCTTTGTTCTTATTAGTATCAAAAAATTTATTGATTTCTGCCTTAATTTAATTATTTACCTAAAAGTGATTCAGGAGCAGGTTGTTTAATTTCCATGTAATTTTATCATTTTGAGTGATTTTCTTAATATTAATCTTTTTTTTATTGCACTGTGATCCAAGAATGTGCATGGTATGATTTTGAATTTTTTAATTTGTTGAATATTGTTTTATGTCATTTGTGTGTTTGGTCTTTGAGTATGTGCTATGTGCAGATGAGAAGAATGTATATTTTGTTGTTTTAGGTGGAGAGTTCTTTAGATGTCTATCTACTATAGACACATGACAGGTTCATTTTGTCACGTGTCTAGTTCAGGTCCTGAATATCTTTGTTAGTTTTCTGCACTGATGATCTGTTTAATACCATCAGTGAGGTGTTGAAGTCTCCAACTATTATTATGTCGTTATTTAAGTCTTTTCATAGGTCTCTAAGAACTTGATTTATGTATCTGAGTGTTGGGCACATATATATTTAGAATAGTCGGGCCTTCTTGTTGAATTGAGTCATTTACCAATATGCTATCTCCTTCTTTGTCTTCTTAGATTTTTGTTGGTTTAAAGTCTTTTTTGTCTGAAATTGAATAGCAGTCCCTGTTTTTTTCTGATTTTTTGTTTACTTGGTAGAGTTTACTCCATTTCTTTGTGCCTGTGGGTGTTATTGCATCTAAGATGGATCTCTTGAAGAAAGCATACTGTTGGGTCTTGACTTTTTAGCGAACTTGCCACTCTGTGCCTTTTCCTAGGGGAATTTAGTCTATTTGCATCCAAGGTTACTATTGATATGGGCAGATTTGATCCTGTCATTGTGTTTTTAGCTGGTTATTATGTAGACTTGTTGTGTGGTTGCTTTATAGTGTCACTGGCCTATGTACTTAAGTGTGTTTTTGTGGTGGCTGATAATGGTCTTTTCTTTCCAGTTTTAGCACTCCCTTAACAATCTCTTGTAAGGCAGGTCTGGTGGTAACAAATTCCATTAGCATTTGTTTGTCTGAAAACGATTTTATTTCTCCTTCACTGATGAAGCTTAGTTTGACTGGATATGAAATTCTTGATTAGAAATTCTTTTCTTTAAGAGTGCTGCAACATAGTATTGGAAGTTCTGGCCAGGGCAATCATGTAGGAGAAAGAAATAAAAGGTATTCAATTAGGAAAAGAGGAAGTCAAATTGTCGCTGTTTGCAGATGACATGATTGTATATTTAGAAAACCCAATTGTCTCAGCCCAAAATCTCCTTAAGCTGATAAGCAGCTTCAGCAAAGTCTCAGAATACAAAATCAATGTGCAAAAATCACAAGCATTCCTATACACGAATAACAGACAAACAGAGAGCCAAATCATGAGTGAACTCCCATTCACAATTGCTTCAAAGAGAATAAAATACCCAGGAATCCAACTTACAAGGGACATGAAGGACCTCTTCAAGGAGAACTACAAACCACACTGCTCAAAGAAATAAAAGAGGACACAAACAAATGGAAGAACATTCCATGCTCATGGATAGGAAGAATCAATATCATGAAAATGGCCATACTACCCAAGGTAATTTATAGATTCAATGCCATCCCCACCAAGCTACCAATGACTTTCTTAACAGAATTCGAAAAAACTACTTTAAAGTTCGTATGGAGCCAAAAAAGAGCCCACATTGCCAAGTCAATCCTAAGCCAAAAGAACAAAACTGGAGGCATCATGCTACATGACTTCAAACTATACTACAAGGCTGCAATAACCAAAACAGCATGGCACTGGTACCAAAACAGAGATATAGAACAATAGAACAGAACAGAGCCCTCAGAAATAATGCCACATACCTACAACCATCTGAACTTTGACAAACCTGACAAAAACAAGAAATGGGGAAAGGATTCCCTATTTAATAAATGGTGCTGGGAAAACTGACTAGCCATATGTAGAAAGCTAAAACTGGATCCCTTCCTTACACCTTATCCAAAAATTAATTCAAGATGGATTAAAGACTTAAATGTTAGACCTAAAACCATAAAAACCCTAGAAGAAAACCTAGGCAATACCATTCAGAACATAGGCATGGGCAAGGACTTCATGACTAAAATACCAAAAGCAATGGTGGCAAAAGCCAAAATCAACAAATGGGATCTAATTAAACTAAAGAGCTTCTGCACAGCAAAAGAAACCACCATCAGAGTGAACAGGCAACCTACAGAATGGGAGAAAATTTTTGCAATCTACTCATCTGACAAAGGGCTAATATCCAGAATCTACAAAGAACTTAAACAAATTTATAAGAAAAAAATCAAACAACCCCATCAACAAGTGGGCAAAGGATATGAACAGACAATTCTCAGAAGAGACGTTTATGTAGCCAACAGACACATGAAAAAATGCTCATCATCACTGGCCATCAGAGAAGTGCAAATCCAAACCACAATGAGATACCATCTTAAACCAGTTAGAATGGCGATCATTAAAAAGTCAGGAAACAACAGGTGCTATAGAGGATGTGGAGAAATAGGAACACTTTTACACTGTTGGTGGGAGTGTAAACTAGTTCAACCATTGTAGAAGACAGTGTGGCAATTCCTCAAGAATCTAGTACTAGAAATACCATTTGACCTAGCAATCCCATTACGGGGCATATACTGAAAGGATTATAAATCATGCTACTATAAAGACACATGCACACGTATGTTTATTGAGGCACTATTCACAATAGCAAAGACTTCGAATCAATCCAAATGTCCATCAATGATAGACTGGATTAAGAAAATGTGGCACATACACCATGGAATACTATGCGGCCATCAAAAAAGGATGAGTTTATGTCCTTTGTAGGGACATGAAAGAAGCTGGAAACCATCATTCTGAGCAAACTATCACAAAGACAGAAAACCAAACACTGCATGTTCTCACTCATAGGTGGGTATTGAACAATGAGTACACTTGGGCACAGGGCAGGGAACATCACACACTGGAGCCTGTCATGGGTGGAGGGAGCGGGGAGGGATGGCATTAAGAGAATTACCTATTGTAAATGACGAGTTAATGGGTGCAGCACACCAACATGGCACGTGCATACATATGTAACAAACCTGCACGTTGTGCACATGCACCCTAGAACTTAAAGTATAATAAAAAAATTAAAAAAATTTTTTAAAAAAGAGTGCTGCATGTCAAACCCCAGTCTCTTCTGACTTATAGGGTTTCTGCTGAGAGATCCACTATTAACCTGTTAGGGTTCCCTTTGTAGGTGACCTGTCCTTTCTCTGTAGCTGCCTTTAACATGTTTGCTTTCATTTTGACCTCAGAGAATCCGATGACTATGTGTTTCGTGGATGGTCTTCTTGTGTAGTATTTCACAGGGGTTCTCTGCATTTCCTTAATTTGAATGTTGGCCTCTCTAGCGAAGTTGGAGGAGTTTTCATGGATGATATCCTGAAATGTGTTTTCCAAATTGCTTGCTTTCTCTTCCTGTCCTTCATGGATGCCAATTAGTTGTACATTTGGTCTCTTTACATAATCCCATATTTCTCAGAGATTTTGTTTATTCTTCTTTAGTGTTTTTTCTTTATTTTTGTCTGGCTGAGTTATTTTGGAGAACTGGTCTTTGAGCTCTGAAATTCTTTCCTCAGCTTGGTTAGTTCTGGTGTTAATACTTTTGATTGTGTTCTGAAATTCTTGAAGTGAGTTTTTCATCTCTGTCAGTTCAGTTTGGTTCTTTCTTAAAATGGCCATTTCAACCTTCATTTCCTTTATAATTTTATCATATTCCTTAGAATCCTTTGATTGGGTTTTGATTTCCCACTGAATCTCAATGATCTTTTTTTCTACTTATATTCTGAATTCTGTTTTTATCATTGCGGCCATTTTATCCTGGCTAAAACCATTTCTTGGAAACTAGTATGGTCGTTTGGAGGTTAAGAAGACAATCTGGGTTTTTAGTTGCCAGAGTTCTTGCACTGGTTCTCTGTCATCTTTGTGGGCTGATGTTTCTTCAGTCTTTAAAGTTGCTGTGCCTTTGGTCAGGCACAGTGGCTCATGCTTGTAATCCCAGCACTTTGGGAGGCTGAGACAGGCGGATCACCTGAGGTCGTGAGTTCAAGACCAGCCTGGTCAACATAGTGAAACACCATCTCTGCTAAAAATACAAAAATCAACTGGGCATAGTGGGGTGTTCCTGTAATTCCAGCTACTCAGGAGGGTGAGACAGGATAATCACTTGAACCCAGGAGGTGGTGGTTTCAGTGAGCCAAGATCACACCACTACACTCCAGCCTGGGTGACAGAGTGAGACAGTGTTTCCAAAAAAAAAAAAAAAAAATGTTGCTGTCCTTTGGATTTTTTTTTTTTTTTTGGTTTTTATCTGCTTTGATGTCATTGGTGGTTTTACTGTGGTGTAAGGTGGGTTCAGTGGACTGCATTAATTTCTAGAAGATTTTAGAGGGCCGAGGTTCAGCTCAGCATTGCTTGGCTGCATGCTCTAACTCCAACAGGATTGCATCACCCCTGGCTCTCTTCTCTGGCCCTTTGAGGCTAGAAACGTGCTGTGCTGCAGGAGCTAAGATATTTTGCACCAATGGCTACCACACTGCAAAGAGTGATGACAGCCAAAACACTTCATTGAGTGGTGGAACCAGGATTTGTGCTCATTTGTGTGTGCCAGGAGCTGCGGCAGCATGGCAAGTTGAATGTTCACCTACTGGGGTGAGGTACTGGCAAACGCAGGTGTGATATCCTCTGTGCAGGTGTTTGTAGCTGTGGCAGTGTTGGAGCAAGGATACTGTGTTGGTGGGTGCAAGGCTGGCAGCTTCTATCAATGTATTCATGCCCGCGGCAGTGGCAGTGCAAGGTGGAACCAAGGCGTCCATGCACATATTCACGTCTGCCATGGTATCGGCATAGTTGTGGGGATTTGGTCGGCACAGAGCAAGCAGCTTCTATTTGCATGTTCATGCTAGTGGCAGTGGTGGCATGGGGTTGATGGTCTCCATGCATGCATTTAGATTGGCAATGGTGGTGCAGTAGGGAGGGGAGTAGGGTACACTCATGCTGGCAGCAGTGGCATGGTGGGGTCCATGCATCAAACACACACACTGGCAGGGAAGGAGAGGTGAGATCTGCCTGAGCACACATGCACTGGAGAAGTGATATGGGGGGTGACTGTGGGCAAGTGCATGCTGGCAAAGTGGTGCAGAAGAGGCTGAAGTGGGGGTGGTGTGCAGATGTGCTAAGCCACATCAGTAAAGGCCACTCTGGTGGAGCTCTCCAATAGTCAGGTGTGGTTTGCCAATGCAGAAGCTATGATACGGGGTCTCTGGAGGCACATCAGCAGGGCATCCAACCTACACTGCAATCAGGCATGGCAATGTCAGGCGCTGAGAAAGGCTAGAAGACAGAAGACCACTCAGGTTGGAGTGGCCCATCTCATAGGTAAGGTTGCCCTGCTCTGTTCAGGTCCAAAAGTTCCCCTAAGGCTACAGTCTCATAGGGAAGCATGGCAAGCCTTGGGATGGGGAGTGTGGGGGTTGGGGGGTGGCGGGGGGTTATCGCTGGCTGTGCTCCACTGCAGATATTCCTGCACTAAACTGTCTGGGCCCTGCACAGGCTTGAGTACTGCACAGGCTTGAGTACCACCTCTTTAAGCAGCTGTCCCTGCCAGCTTAACTGTCTCTGTGGGTTGTAGGGTCTCCTGCTGCCAAGATTCCAGAGGTCTGTGGCAAGAAAAGGTTGCTCTTGGCTTGCCCTGCTCACCCCTTCCACAATGGTTGTTGGCAGCCAGAAACAAGTCCCAGGGCATTGTAACCCTGTGTAGGCTTCCCTGTTTCTTTCCCCTTTAGCTCATCATCTGTGTCCTTCTTCTGTCCATTCTCAGATGCATTCCTTCTGGAGATCTGCTTGGAGTGCCTCAGTCTTCCCAATATTCCAGTTCTTCAGTGGCTGTGTCTAGTCAGCCATCTTGCCTCTAACATATTTTAAAAATTTATTCAAGTTTTGCGCTTGATATTTTCTATTGTCTTTTACTTGTATTAGTGTCTGATATGGTTTGACTCTTGTGTCCCCACCCAAATCTCATCTCAGATGTAGCTCTCATAATTTCCATGTGCCATGGGAGGGACCTGGTGGGAGGTAATTAAATCATGGAAGTGGTTCTTTCCCATGCTGTTCTTGTGATAGTGAATAAGTCTCACAAGATCTGATGGTTTTATAAAGGAATTCCCCTGCACATTCTTGTGCTTAATGCCATGTAAGGTGTGACTTTGCTCCTCATTTGCCTTCCACCATGATTGTGAGGCCTCCTCAGCTATATGGAACTGTGAGTCAATTAAAACTCTTTTCTTTATAAATTACCCAGTCTTGGGTATATCTTCATTAGCAGCCTGAGAACAGAATAATACACTGTATATAGTTAGATTTTATCTAATTATAACATGACTGACTTTATCATTTATTTAACTTTTTTTGCTTCAAGCTCTTTTAATGCACCTCAAATATTATTCAATTTAGCATTTATTTTATCTGTGTTTCATCTCATCTGATATTCTTAGTTATATTTACTGATTTTATCATATATTTCTTATAATTTTTATGATTTAATTTTTAACTCATACAGTTGGTTGAATCTTGCTTTGGCTTCTTATGCTATATGTTATTTTAGCTTTATTTTATATTTTTGTTACTCAATATATTTTTAGTTTCACATTTGTTTTGTTTGCTTTGCTTAAGCAGTTGGACACAGGAGATGCAGTTATAGAGAAAACTTATGAGAGGGTGAGTTGGTCTCCAGGGATCCTTTTCCAGCTTCAATTAAATAACTCCACATTGTCCTCAGTGTTGAAACCCCAACCATAACTACTTAAACTAAAAAGGAATTTACTTCAACTCTTTCAAAAAGTTAACTTTATTGAAATATCATTCACATACGATATAAATCACACAATTCAAGCAAGCCATTCAATGGTTTTTCCACAAATTTGTGCATTCATAACCATAATAATTTTTTGAACATTTTCATTATGCCAAAATATACTCCATGCCCCATTGCTGTTACTCCTCATTCCTGCCTCCCTCTAGACCACAGGCAATCACTAATCTATTTTTTTAAATTTACCTGTTCTAAATTTCCTGTATAAGTGAAATACAATATGTAGTCCTTCACAACTGCCTTTTTTTTTTTTTTTTTTTGACATCGTGAGCTGTTTTCAAGGCAAATCCATGTTGTAGAATATATCAGTATTTCATTTTTTATTGTTGAGTAATACACCATTGTATGAATATATTACATTTTATTTATCCATTCATCAGTTGATGGACATTTAGGTTGTCTCTATTTTTTTGTCTATTATAAATAATGCTGCTATGTACATTTGTTTGGCATATTTTTCATGGACATATGTTTTTATTTCTCCTGGTTACATACCTAAAGTAAAATGGCTGGGTCATATGGTAATTCTATGTTTAACCTTTTGACGAGCTACAAACTATGTTTCAAAGTACCTGCGCCATTTTATATTTTCACCAGCAGTGTATGAAGGTTCCAATTTATCCATCTCTTTGCCAACCGTTGTTCTTATATCTCTTTTCATTATAGCCCTTCTAGTGGGTGTAAAGTAGTATCTCATTGTGGTGTTGAGTGTTGTGGTGTTACACATTCTTGATAGCTAATTACATTGAGTATCTTTTCAAGTGCCTATTAAACATTGTGTATCTTATTTGGAGAAGCATGTGTTCAGATCCTTTGCTCATTATTTAATTGGATTGTCTTTTTATTATTGAGTTGTAGCAGTTATTTCTATATTCTAGTAACATGATTTGGCTCTGTGTCCTACCCAATTCTCATTTCGAATTGTAATCCCCACATGTTGAGGGAGGGCCCTGGTGGAAGGTGACTGGATTCTGTGGGAGGTTCCACATGCTGCTCTAGTGATAGTGAGGGAGTTCTCATAAGATCTGATGGTTTTAAAAATGGCAGTTTCCCCGCACTCTTTCTTTCTCTCTCTCTACCCTGCTGCCTTGTGAAGAAGGTGATTGCTTTCCTTTCCCCTTCCGACATGATTGTAAGTTTCCCGAGGCCTCCCTAGCCATGCAGAACTGTGAGTCAATTAAACTTCTTTTATTCATAAATTACCTAGTCTCAGGTAGTATCTTTATGGCAGTGTGAGAACAGACGAATACATCTAGACACACATGGTTTGCAAAATGTGTCCCTTATCAGATATGTGGTATGCAAAAATTTCCTCCCACATATGTGTCTTGATAATTGCCTTTCCTGGTGCTCTTTGTTTTCTGTTTTAGATTTAAATGTCCATCTAAGTGTATGTGTTTTCGGCCTGAAGAATTTCCTTTAGTAGTTCTTGTCAGGAGCATCTGCTAACAACAAATTCTCTTAGTTTTACTTTAGTAAGTGAGAATGTATTTTTTGCCTTTATTTTTTTGAAAGATGTTTTGCCTGTGGCCTCTATTATTTCTGATGAGAAGTCAACTGTTGATGTCATCTTGGTTTCTGGCATGTGACAGTTGTCTATCACTTGCATCTTACAAGATATTCTCTTTACCTTTGCCTTTCGACCATTTTACCACATTACGTCTGGATGTGGACCTTTTGTGCCTTTAGCCTGCTTGGAGTTTTTTGAGCTTCTTGGATGTGTAGATTAATATTTTTAATGTTTATCGTCAACTTGGGAAACTTTCAACCATTGAGTCTTTCAATATATATTTTTTCTGTTTCTTTCATTCTCTATTCTTCATTTTCTGCTAGTGTGACCCTCATGGTGACATGTGGTACCTCTTGCTTGGAAACTGGGAGAAGTAACCCCATCTTTTGAGCCACACCCACTGCTTTGACATGTCTCTGGAGCTTTCTCATATTGTTAATCATCCTATTTTCATGCCCACATGTTAGCTGCTTATTATAAGCTTCTTGAAGACAGCATCAGGTCTTATTTATTTCTAATTATTCAATAGAAACAGAAAAGTATTTTGGATGTGCAATGTAAGTGATAATGAAAAGTGGTGATATAAGTGTATAGTATAAAGTCATTACTTTCAAATATTCCATTTTCTTATTTTGATATGTTTACTTGTTACTTTACCAGAAATAGGTGACTAATCTTTTTGTTTTTTAATAGTAAATCAAAGTTCACCAGGTTGGCCTTGAACCTGTAGCCTCGCCTCCCCGAGTGCCAGGGCAACCGGCCTGGGGAAAAAACTACTTTAAAGTTAATATGGAACCAAAATAGAGCCCGCATTGCCAAGTCAATCCTAAGCTAAAAGAACAAAGCTGGAGGCATCACGCTACCTGACTTCAAGCTATGCTACAAGGCTACAGTAACCAAAACAGCATGGTACTGGTACCAAAACAGAGCTATAGACCAATGGAACAGAATGGAGCCCTCAGAAATAATGCTGCATATCTACAACTATCTGATCTTTGACAAACCTGACAAAAACAAGCAATGGGGAAAGGATTCCCTATTTAATAAATGGTGCTGGGAAAACTGACTAGCCATATGTAGAAAGCTGAAACTGGATCCCTTCCTTGCACTTTATACAAAAATTAATTCAAGATGGATTAAAGAGTTACATATCAGACTTAAAACCATAAAAACCCTAGAAGACAATGTAGGCAGTACCATTCAGGACATAGGCATGGGCAAGGACTTCATGTCTAAAACACCAAAAGCAATGGCAACAAAAGCCAAAATTGACAAATGGGATCTAATTAAACTAAACAGCTTCTGCACAGCAAAAGAAACCACCATCAGAGTGAACAGGCAACCTACAGAATGGGAGAAAATTTTCGCAACCTACTCATCTGACAAAGGGCTAATATCCAGAATCTACAATGAACTCAAACAAATTTACAAGAAAAAAACAAAACAACCCCATCAAAAAGTGGGCCAAGGATATGAACAGACACTTCTCAAAAGAAGACATTTATGCAGCCAAAAAACACACGAAAAAATGCTCATCATCACTGGCCATCAGAGAAATGCAAATCAAAACAACATTGAGATACCATCTCACACCAGTTAGAATGGCAATCATTAAAAAGTCAGGAAACAACAGGTGCTGGAGAGGATGTGGAGAAATAGGAACACTTTTACACTGTTGGTGGGACTGTAAACTAGTTCAACCATTGTGGAAGTCAGTGTGGTGATTCCTCAGGGATCTTGAACTAGAAATACCATTTGACCCAGCCATCCCGTTACTGGGTGTATACCCAAAGGATTATAAATCATGCTGCTATAAAGACACATGCACACGTATGTTTATTGCGGCACTATTCACAATAGCAAAGACTTGGAACCAAGCCAAATGTCCAACAATGATAGACTGGATTAAGAAAACGTGGCACATATACACCATGGAATACTATGCAGCCATAAAAAATGATGAGTTTAGGTCCTTTGTAGGGACATGGATGAATCTGGAAACCATCATTCTCAGCAAACTATCACAAGGACAAAAAACCAAACACCACATGTTCTCACTCACAGGTGGGAATCGAACAATGAGAACACATGGACACAGGAAGGGGAACATCACATACCAGGGACTGTTGTTGGGTGGGGGAGAGGTGAGGGATAGCATTAGGAGATATACCTAATGTAAATGACGAGTTAATGGGTGCAGCACACCAACATGGCACATGTATATGTATGCAACAAACCTGCACATTGTGCATATGTACCCTAAAACTTAAAGTATAATAATAATCAAAAAAAGGAAATCATAAAAAATTAAATTAAAAGATTATTTAAAGTCACTCTTCTTTGCAATATCATTTGTGTGATAGCTTGAAATGTTGGCTAATTACCCAAGGTGTCACTGGTGTCTGAAATTCTTCCAATTGTGAATATTCATCCAAATATTTACATATCTTCTCTTACTTTATACCCAAGAAAAAAGGAAGACAACTGCATTGCCGTAAGCAAAACTTCATGATTTATAGACTTACGTAGGTTATATTCAAGGGAAAAATATGATCTGCTTCTGAAATTAGGATATAAAACATTGGAAATAATTTAGCTTTGAATCTGAAGGCAATTAATAGATATATATTTTTGAAAATAGTCTTGTTGGGATTTTGATAACTCAAGCATTTATGTGGACAATACAAAAAAATAGGTTCTTTAAGAAAATTCAGGATATACATTCAGATAGTTGTAAACCCACTTTCTCATCTTCTCAAAAAATATCTGATATTAATAGTTGGGTGTGTTGTTTAGAAAGTCAGTTTTATTTAGAGTAACTTTCTGCTGAATGAAATTTTTGCTACTAAATCAATTTATATATGTTTCATCAATATTAAATGACATTTTAAAATATCAATAAGATGCAGGCTTCAGGCAAGTTTAATTTTAATCTATACTTGGATTCAAAAGAACTTTCTAAACACACCAAGCCATTATTGTTTTCAAACTTTTATTTCTTAAACAACCAGTAAAAAAGATTAAATACAAATATACTGGCTGGGTGCACTGGCTCACTCCTATAATCCCAACATTTTGGAAGGACGAGGCAGGCAGATTCTTTGAGCCCAGGAGTTTGAGACCAGCCTGGGCAACATAGGGAGGTATTCATATATTAATACCAAAAAAGTATCTGCAGCACATATTAAAAAGAAGGGCTTAATATGCAATATATAGATATGTCATATATAGATATCAAATATCTAGATAAGAACCTGTTAATAATGATAATAATAAATTTCCCAAAAATATTCTTTTTAAAAAATTTACATATTTAAAGTATGGTCTTTACAAATGCCACTAAATGATGATACATGTACACACACACACTTTCATATATACTCATACATGCATACAAAAGCATCTAAAAAGAATTACAAAACAAGAGTGTCACTAATACACAAGAAAAAATTTAACTATCATTAGGAGTGCTGCAAACAGGACTAGATTGAGAAAAATACTAGCCAAGCAAGAATTCAAAACATGTGAATGATAAAATGAGTTTTTGGAAGCCACAAGGTCTCTTGGAAAACATTCTAAATCTCTTGATTTTGAAGAAACATTGAGTAGAGTTCAATGTGTACAGCAGTCTACAATGTACAGTTTAAGCACATGACAGGCTAAGACATGTGCTTAGGAAGGAGAGACATTAACACCACTGATTTTAAAAAGAAAGTCATCTGAGTGTGAGGAGAGCAACCTAGCTAACCTGTAGATGTCACAGTTCCTTCAGAGAAATATATATATAGGCCAATAGGCTCATAAAGACATGAAATGGTGGAAAGAACTAGATGTGCTCCAGTCAGATCAGGTGGAGGTGAGGGCAAACTGCAAATCCATGAATGAGTTCACACTGTTCAGCAATGAAATGACTAACGTTGATATTTACTCAAGCATCTTGGAGAGCATGTACAGCCAGCTAACTAAAGCAGAACATATCCAAATTGTTGATAGACGATCGGCATTTTCTCATTTAATTTCTGGCTTAAATAATTGAAATAAAAAGAAACCTTGTATCTAGTAGAGATTCCTTTCTACCTTTCAAAATTAGTAAATACATAATTTAATAATAAACAAAAATAGGATATATGTGTACATGTAGATGTATTTCTGGCCAAAATCTCTGAAAGGCAAACACAAGATTATAACCTGTATTAGGCCCCAGTGACAGGCAAACTGTGATCTTCATCTAAAAGTACAGCAAGCAATTAAAAATATCAATAGAAATTTTTAAATGGTAGTTGTTAAAAGTACAGAAACCTACATAATCAATTAAATATTTTTCCATGTAACAGACTGAAGATCTCACACATATTGTAGAAGATGTATGAGATGTACTGGATAATATTATTTCAATTGATGTTTATATTACTATAAATTTAATAGGTTAAAACAACCCACAGTTATCTTATAGTTCTGTAGGTCAGAAGTCCAGGCAGGATCTGTCAGATTCTCTGCTCAGTCTCTCAAGGCTGAAATCAAGGTCTTGGCTGAGGGAGCTGTTATCTGGAGGCTCTTGGGAATAATTAGTTTCCAAAGTCACTTGTGTGTTGTCAGAATTCAGGTTTTTAAGGTTATAGGTCTGAGTTTTCCCTTTCCTTAATGGCTGTCTCCTGTGGCTACTGTCTCCTCTTAGTGCCTGTTCAAATTCCTTCTTTTTCCTTTTTCCCATTTTCCTTTTTTTTAAACTTTGATTTTAAGTTCAAGGGTACAAGTGCAGGTTTGTTACACAGGTAAACTTGTGTCATGCGGGTTGTGGTACAGATTGTTTTGTCATCCAGGTATTAAGCCTACTACCCATTAGTTATTCTTCCTGATCCTCTCCCTCCACCCACCCCCACCCTCTGATAGGCCCCAGGGCATGTGGTTCCCTTCTGTGTGTCAATGTGTTCTCATCATTAGCTTTCACTTACAAGTGAGAACATTTGGTATGTGGTTTTCTGTTCCTGTGTTAGTTTTCTAAGGATAATGGCCTCCAGCACCATCCTTATCCCTGCAAAGGACATGACCTATTTTCAAAGGTGGCAGCAGCCCATTCCGTCCTTCTCAGGCTTCAGATCTCTCTGACTTTTCTTGTCTCCCGACAGAGAAAATTCAGCTTTTAAAGGGCTTCTGTAATGAGATTGGGCCCATCTGATAATCCTTTGCATGCACTCATGCTCAGTTGGCCCATCAGACTTCACTTACAAAATATAAGTTCTAAGACGAAGTATTAAGAGTTTAAAGAACGTGAAAGCGGAGCATTAAACCAAGTGCAAACTCTGTCTTGAGTATGAGGCCCGTGCAGCTGCGCAGGCTGCCTGCCCTTGAAGCCGGATTTCACCAGGTAAAGCGCGATCACTTTCTCCAATCTTATGTAAGCATGTTGAATAATTTAGGGTGACAACCAAAATTATAGAACCTCCAGCTGTAATTCCAAACCTCCAAGAAAAAATGGGGGAAGAGAAAACTTTCAAAATCACGTGATGCGGTGTGGACTGAAATGATTTACTCTACATTCATGTTAATGGTTGTCGTTAGAAAGATTTCAGGATATAATCAAGGACTCAGTCAGGGAAAAGATGAATTGACTAATTTGTAAATTTTTATTTTTTAATTAAAAATCTGACAAAATACAATATAAAAATATTTGTTTATTTGCGTTGGTAAATACTTGTGTGTAAACAGTAGTCTCTAAAAATGTATGTGTGTATGTGTATAGTAAAAATATAATAAAATAACTTCAGCCTGTAATCCCACCAACTCGGGAGGCTGAGGTGGGAGAATCGCTTGAACCCAGGAGGCAGAGGTTGCGGGGAGCTGAGATCACGCCACTGCACTCCAGCCTGGGCAACAGAGTGAGACTCCATCTCAAAAGAAAAAACAATAACCAAACAACTTCAAATCACTTCTGATGTCCATTAAAAAACAAATAAAGATCTCAAACATGGAGCTGCTACACTAAAATTAAAATGAACAATAAAATCAATTAATCATGTAATAAATAAATATGTGTAACCATGATCTTAAAACATTGCAAATGTGGTAATAATTCTTGAAAGTTCATATGAACAATGGAAAAAACAATGTTATATTTTTTAACATCTGTAATCTAATTGTCTCAGCATATTGACTGGTTTCCATCATGGATAGAGGTTGCTTTTGATAAACTTCAACATTTACAGAAGATTAAAAAATAAACCCTGGCAGACCTGAAATAGAGAAACTTTCTTACCTTGATAACTATGAAATATGTATAAATGGTGCTGTACCTAAAGGGAAACTCTAGCATTAGAACAAGAGAAGATTACAACTTAACATGGAATTACTTCTATCTAATGCAGGAAGAAAGAAAAAAGAAATAAGACATATCAGAATCAAAAAATTTTAAAAAGTGCCATTATTTGCAGTATATGTAAATAATGATGTTAAATAATTTAATATGATTATCTCCTAGGGAAAAAATGGAAATAATAATCAACAAAACATGGTCACTTATAAAAGTGTTTGGTAAAGTCTCCACAAAAAAATGTATATTTACAAAAATCAATGACAGCAAACTAACCACAACTAAAAATAAAGATATTCTTCATATTAGCAACAAAAATATAAGGTCTTTAAAATAATACAGAAAACCTCTTTGTATAAGAAATTAATATTTGATTAAAAAACATAAAAGCAGATCTGAAGCAAATTGAGCCATTTTGTACTTTTCACAGGGTGAATCAACAGTATCAAACACTGTTTCCCTTCAACATTTTAAAACAAGAAACTAGGAAAGGAGTGAAGGAATCTGCCTCACAGATTGTAAGGACTTGAAAACCCACCGATAGACCAAGGCATGTGTAAGAGTATGGTTTATAATGGAGCCGAGAGAGAGAGAGAAAGAACATCCATAGAAAAAGATGAATAATTTAATAGTTTCCAAAGGTGGACTCCATATCTTCCATCCCACATGTTCTTCTGCAATGTGACCTGTGACTGAACAGATAATTAATTAGAAGAGAAAGATCCCAAAGGCCTTCAAGCATATGAAGAAATGCTGAAATTCATCAGTAATCAGAGCCAATTAAAGCAGTAATGAAATATCACACTGTACCTATCAGATTGGCTTGAGTGAAAAGTTTTATATCATCAGTTGGTGGGGGGTGTTCCCTCATTCAGGCTGGCACATCCAGTGAATATTACACTTCAGAGCAAAATTGAATATGTGGATAGCCTTTTGGCCCAATAATAACAGCACCTCATGGAGATCCAAAAGGAAACACATGCAAAGATGTTTGTTGTAGTTTTGTTTATGGGAGTTAGAATTTTGAGGCAATGGGAGACCATCACTGGGGCTTGATTAAGTAAAATATGGAGGATACACTGTATAGAATATTAAGCAGCAGATAGATGCATGGTATTGAGAGTAGATTTTAAAAAGGGTTCTCTCTCTCTCTCTCACCCTGCCTAAAAACATGATGGCATTTTTGGCAATCACCATTCATATAAAACAAAAATACATGCATACAAATTTCTAATGTATATTTTACAAGCACCCATTTTAAAAGTAATTCTGTTATATATATTAGAATGATTGTACAAGGGAATGGGGATAGTAATTATAAATAAACAAATCAAGAGGGAACCATGATAAAATAGTGATATATAAGATGAAAGGTTTGATTAACTGAATCTACTACTTACTAGATTGAAAAGAAATTTATATATTTTTCCAAGACTTAGCCAATAATAATGAGAGATGATATGCATTCTAGTCTTTCTGATCATTTAATTTATTCACTTAAATGTTAAGTAGTCCCTCAGTTTCCTATGGCAACTACAAATGGAGTGGAACAATACATGTGTGCCTTTGAGATTACAGACCTGAAGTGAAACCTAGCACAGTGCAAGTTGCTGGCTGAGGCAAAGCTTCAGAGCTGCTCCTATGTTCCCCAGGCCAAGTCTCATTTCTCAGGTGCCTTTGTCTTCCACATCTGGGAATAGCATTTGCCCCAGCACCTAGAGCAGAATGGAACCCATTGTTCTTCTTCATTTATTTACTCCATGTCTTATTTCTGAGGAGAAGTATGTCACTAGCATTCTAAAGACATGAATTCTAGCCTCCCTTCTTAGCATGCTAATGTTGGAAGAATCATCAAACATCAAAAACAGAGGCAAAGCTTTTCAAGCTCTAGCTCAGTAGACAGAACAGGGAAATCAGCGATTCTCCTAGCCTGCTTCATTCTGATCACTTTCGCTTTCTTATATCGTACATGCTGGGTTACATGTACAATTTTGCTAAAAAAAAGTCTGCTTCTACAAATAGGTAGGGACATCTACTTTGTGCCAGAAACTGTGCATTGTAAGTACAGTCTTTTCTATAATGTGACAGAATTTTTAAAATCATGAAATATGTCTCTCTTTTCTTCCTTTCTTTCCACATTTACTGAATATCATCAATTCATCTGTGACTGGCTACTGACTAGTAGAGGCACACGTTTTAATACTGTGCATTGTTTTAATCACTGGAACTATGACCAAAACACAGATAATTATTAATTATATATGTGTTTTATGCTTAAACAAATAATTATTAATTATTTGAACATATCTAGTTATGGAGGCACAAATGTGCAAGTCACAAGCTATGTATTTGCAAATCTGAGGATTGATACCACTCAGCTGTCCTTATTAATAAATATGCTGAAGTTCCAACAGTAGTTCTAACAAAAGGAGCAGAATATTTTTGTAATAGAAAGAAAAAAAAAGAAAGAATTGATTATAAATGCCTGCCTCATTTTAGTTACCATGTAAGGTCAATGTTGTTATCTCTTTTTTCACAGAGGAGGAAAACCTTGAGACCCTGAGACTTTCAGAAACTTATTCACAGTTACCAAAGCTGGTAAGTAGAACAATGATCTCTAGAGTTGCCCATTGCTCGGCTCATGGATGGCAGTAATGGCATCACCTGGGAGGTTGTTAGACATGAGGAATTTCAGGCCTCACCCTTGACCTCCTGAACCAGAATCTATTGTGCTGGGGCCAAAAAAATTTGTGGGTTTTTTTTTTTTTTTAATTTAGGTTTTAGGGTACATGTGCACAATGTGCAGGTTTGTTGCATATGTATACATGTGCCATGTTGGTGTGCTGCACCCATTAACTCATCATTTAGCGTTAGGTATATCTCCTAATGCTATCCCTCCCCCCTCCCCCCATCCCACAACAGTCCCCGGAGTGTGATGTTCCCCTTCCTGTGTCCATGTGTTCTCATTGTTCGATTCCCACCTATGAATGAGAACATGCGGTGTTTGGTTTTTTCTCCTTGCGATAGTTTGCTGAGAATGATGGTTTCCAGTTTCATCCATGTCCCTACAAAGGACATGAATTCTTCATTTTTTATGGCTGCATAGTATTCCATGGTGTGTATGTGCCGCATTTTCTTAATCCAGTCTATCATTGTTGGACATTTGGGTTGGTTCCAAGTCTTTGCTATTGTGAATAGTGCCGCAATAAACATACGTGTGCATGTGTCTTTATAGCAGCATGATTTATAATCCTTTGGGTATATACCCAGTAATGGGATGGCTGAGTCAAATGGTGTTTCTAGTTCTAGATCCCTGAGGAATCACCACACTGACTTCCACAATGGTTGAACTAGTTTACAGTCCCACCAACAGTGTAAAAGTGTTCCTATTTCTCCACATCCTCTCCAGCACCTGTTGTTTCCTGACTTTTTAATGATTGCCATTCTAACTGGTGTGAGATGGTATCTCATTGTGGTTTTGATTTGCATTTCTCTGATGGCCAGTGATGGTGAGCATTTTTTCATGTGTATTTTGGCTGCATAAATGTCTTCTTTTGAGAAGTGTCTGTTCATATCCTTGGCCCACTTTTTGATGGGGTTGTTTGTTTTTTTCTTGTAAATTTGTTTGAGTTCATTGTAGATTCTGGATATTAGCCCTTTGTCAGATGAGTAGATTGCAAAAATTTTCTCCCATTCTGTAGGTTGCCTGTTCACTCTGATGGTGGTTTCTTTTGCTGTGCAGAAGCTGTTTAGTTTAATTAGATCCCATTTGTCAATTTTGTCTTTTGTTGCCATTGCTTTTGGTGTTTTAACAAACCTTCCAGATGATTTTTAGACACACTAAAATTTGAGATCCACTAATCTAAAGCTATGATGATTTGCCTCTAAGCCTATGTGTTCTCTTCATTATGCTCTGAGAAATTTCTACAAGACTTTATTCTCTTTCCAGCATATTTAAAAATTTTTGTCCTGAAAAGCAACATAAGGACACAACAGACTAAAGAAGACTGGAAAGAAAATATTTTTATAGTATTATTTTTTCATTGATCATTCCAAAGAGGAAAACAATGTCGCCTGAGTAACTTACTTTATTATACAGGGGAATTCCATTGCATACTTGTATTAGAAAGCAAAGAAAATTATATCTTTCAAATGATTGTCATTTATGGAGAAATATCCTGAATCCTCTTAAGTCAAATTTGGGATTAAAAATAAAGTACAATTCTTATATGAACTGATGCAGTTGATCTCACCCTGATTAGTCCATTAGTTCAATGATTAATTGCGCCTTTCATTTCTCTGTTAAGTAGTGAATGTTTAATTTTTGGCTGTATGTGAAGTGTAAGTACATTTGCAGCATTTGCTAATGTAGGATTAGCCCTTATTTCTTTTCAGCTATGGTAATATTTTAAGTGTAATACATGAAATTTTTATCTGCTTGTATAGGGTCCAGAAATCTCTAAGAGCTGATTATTTAGAATTCACTATAAATGATTGCATGCCACACAGGGCTTTATTTAAGAGAGTTCAAATTGCCAGTAAATTTGGAAAGCTGATTAAGATTTATAAAAGACTCTATCAAGGTAGATACACAGAAAAGAAGATATTGCAATTTAAATAGTTAAAGATGGCAACTTAGTAGGGTATGGATACATTCCTCTTCTTTTAATTAACTGCTGGTTAAATTTGTAGTTGCCTGATAGTCTTAGTTCAATTTTCCTATCATATGACCCCTACCTTCTTTTAATATTAATACATTTGGAATACTATTGTCTTTAAAAATATATTTAAATATATGTACTCTCCAATATGGAGGCTTTTAAAATGCTCTTTTCTAACATCCAGGTGCTGGATCATCTCTCTAATATCCTTCAATACATGGTCAGCCAGCATCTTCAACACATTAGCCCCACTGACTTGTATTTAGTTTGAAGCAGTTCAGACGACACCATTCCAAGTGTGTTGCTCAAGTATATTGAATGTTTTTAGTTTAAGGCACTTGAAAAATAGCAGGTACAAAAAGAACTTCCTTCTTGTTCCTGAAAGCAGGAGACCAAATTCCCATGTGAAAGCTATTCACCCTATACCAGAAGGAAAGTATCATTCCTACCAATGACAGGAAGTTGAGGACATGGGGAATCTGTACAAAGAAAACTTACTAAACTAACCCTTTCCTTCCTAGTGTCTTCTCCACTCAGCTAACTACTCTAACACAAGCCCTTTTGCTTTACCACATTTTCAAAATTTACTACTCTTTGTCCAACTCAGTATGTAAGTGTTCAACTTTAACTGGTTTTCTAGGTCTTCATTTTTTTATGTAGGAACCTATATAACATAAAACTTAAAATGAACAAATGCATATACTTTTCTTCTCTTAATCTTTCTTATGTCAATTTAATTATCAGACCCAGCTGAAAAGCTTAAGAGGGTGCAAGTAAAATTTTACCTCCCCTACACATTTAAGTTGATCTGATCTATAAATAATATTATCAAGTTTTAATTATGCTGCGATGTCATTATCATTGTAAATTTGATGAGTTACGACCTATATAAAGCCCTTTACAACAATTTCATACTTGTCACATCAAGTATTATTTCTCTGTATACTTCTAGATATCAAAGTCGAGTTCCATAAAACATCTAGCCACAGAGTCCACTTTATAGCCTATGAATGTTTCTATATTAATACAAATATCTGATCCTATATTGTAAAAATATTTGCTCTGATTTAAGTAAATATATAAATAGAGTTTTGTATATTTAAACAAAATTCTTAATGTATACATAGATATGTATTTTCTGGCCTAGTTTAATTTTTCTTTATAGAAGGGATTATATTGTATATACTATCTTGAAACTTGACTTTTTTACATAATGATCAATCATAGAGAATTTCCAGTACATTTAGGTTTATATAGAAAAGTACAGAATTTATATGTTCTAATTTTTGTTTCTCATTATCTAACTGTAGATGTTGGAGTAAACAAAAAAATACAAATGACGGTAATCTGCTAATTTTTTTTTTTGCTTTTTATTCTTTAATTAAACACTATTATGGTTTTCCCCCACCTCCTGTGAAAAAATTAAAAATGAGGTTATCATTTAAGTGTTTAGAGTTTACACAGTGTATAGAATTTTGTTTAAACTATTGTTGAAATAAAAGTTTCATTTGGCTAGTCCTCCTGACTAGTAAGAATATACTACAATTTACTAAATTTGCCTTTCTGTGATACATTGGTCTGAGTAAATTGTAACTGAACTGTCTCCTTTTGGCTAAATTAAAGAGAAACCTCTACTTCTGATGTGGTATCACTGGGAGAGAGAAACAAATAAGAAATTTTTTTATGTGTTAAGTGAATAACAGCTTATACTGCACATTTGGCAACATCATAAACCCATTGGCTTGTGATATACTGAAAGACATTCCTCATTCTTCAGCTCTCCTTGCATTCCAGTGTATAAAACCCAGAGATCTATGCCAGGGTTCAGAGGGAGACATTAACACAGCATCTGGCATAAGATATATCAATCACAAAGGAAAATGTCCAGACCTGGGGGACTACTGTATGCCAGGACCAAGCATGCATGTGTTCACTAGTCCTGGTGAAATGGGGTGGGAGACATGCAGACAGGAGATGACTAACTGGTGGTATGATACTTGGCCTTTTATTTTCAGTATAAGTGAATATGTAATTGGTTGAGAAATGTGTATACCTTAAGATAGCAGTTGCCATTTTTTTTTTCACAGATCTATGAGTAAATATTGTAGGCCTGCCAGCCTTATTGTCTTTGTAACAACTACTGACTTCTGCAATGTTGTGTGAAAGCAGCCATATACAAAGTTAATACATAAATGAATGGATGTGGCTGTGTTTCAGTGCAACTTTATGGACACTGAAACTTGATTTTTATGTAATGTTCATGAGTCATGAAATAATCTCCTATTGAATTTTTTCAATTATTTAAAAATGTAAAAACCTATCTTAGCTCATAGGCCATACAAAAACAGCACTTAAATAAACTTATATATGTAAAATTTGGGTTTTAGCACAAAGGATATATTCTGAAAGAAATACAGCATAATCTTTAAAAGCAATTTATGACTCGTATTTAAATAAAAGGGATGAATAGATGATGTGTATCTAATAGGTGAAATAGGTAAGTTATAGATAGGCATAATATATGTCTCACAGAAAGATGTTTATTCATGAAATATTTACTAACGCATATAATAGAAGAAAAATACAAGATAAAATGCCAAGCCCTAAAGTATTTTTGCAATTTATTGGGTGAGGATCAGCAATAAATATTAATATTAGAACAAATGTAATAAATATTATAAAAGATGTATATTTTCAAATATAAAGAAGACATATTAATTTTGATTGACTAAAGCAATAGTTTAACAGAAAAGGTAGCATTTTATATAAATCTTAACAGATGAGTAGAATTTCAAAATAAATAAAAAACTACTTTCAGGCAGATGGAGTAAGAGCAGCAAAAGCATTGAGAGATTTAAAGTTTATGGAAACTAAAAGTTAAAGCTGCATGTTGTTTGGAGTCTTACATGGGAATTAAAGACTAGGCAGTATAAAATAATTTGAAATGAGGAGCCATTACCTTTATGGATGAAAAATTAGTTATAAACATAGATAATAGGTGTGTGCATGGAAAATATATTGGAAGAGATAGGATATTTAAGAAAGAGACAGGTATTAGAAAAGTATTAATTCAGTCTTGGCATGAATATATGGTTAAACCAGGGCATTGGCAGGGGAAATGAATTTGTCAGTTTAGAGAAATGTTTTTGAGATATTGTTTATTCTATAGAGAGACATGGAGAAGATAAATTATGGCTACATTAGCTTTCAGCCTTGGTGACAGGAAGGTGTTAATCCCAAGTGTTTAGAATTTTACAGTTCAAATGCACTTCTACATATGGTATTTCATTTAAACTTCAATTGACCCAAGCAAATCAAGCATTAATATTTCCTTATTATTATTATTATTTTGGTATTTTATTTTATTTTATTTTTTATTATACTTTAAGTTTTAGGGTACATGTGTCCAACGTGCAGGTTAGTTACATGTGTATACATGTGCCATGTTGGTGTGCTGCACCTATTAACTCATCATTTAACATTAGGTATATCTCCTAATGCTATCCCTCCCCCCTCCGCCTACCCCACAACAGGCCCTGGTGTGTGATGTTCCCCTTCCTGTGTCCATGTGTTCTCATTGTTCAATTCTGACCTGGGAGTGAGAACATGTGGTGTTTGGTTTTTTGTCCTTGCAATAGTTTGCTGAGAATGATGGTTTCCAGCTTCATCCATGTCCCTACAAAGGACATGGACTCATCATTTTTTATGGCTGCATGGTATTCCATGGTGTATATGTGCCACATTTTCTGAATCCAGTCTATCATTGTTGGACATTTGGGTTGGTTCCAAGACTTTGCTATTGTGAATAGTGCCGCCATAAACATACGTGTGCATGTGTCTTTATAACAGCATGATTTATAATCCTTTGGGTGTATACCCAGTAATGGGATTGCTTGGTCAAATGGTGTTTCTAGTTCAAGATCCCTGAGGAATCACCACACTGACTTCCACAATGGTTGAACTAGTTTACAGTCCCACCAACAGTGTAAAAGTGTTTCTGTTTCTCCACATCCTCTCCAGCACCTGTTGTTTCCTGACTTTTTAATGATCACCATTCTAACTGGTGTGAGATGGTATCTCATTGTGGTTTTGATTTGCATTTCTGTAATGGCCAGTGATGATGAGCATTTTTTCATGTGTATTTTGGCTGCATAAATGTCTTCTTTTGAGAAGTGTCTGTTCATATCCTTGGCCCACTTTTTGATGGGGTTGTTTGTTTTTTTCTTGTAAATTTGTTTGAGTTCATTGTAGATTCTGGAGATTAGCCCTTTGTCAGATGAGTAGATTGCAAAAATTTTCTCCCATTCTGTAGGTTGCCTGTTCACTCTGATGGTGGTTTCTTTTGCTGTGCAGAAGCTGTTTAGTTTAATTAGATCCCATTTGTCAATTTTGGCTTTTGTTGCCATTGCTTTTGGTGTTGTAGACATGAAGTCCTTGTCCATGCCTATGTCCTGAATGGTATTGCCTAGGTTTTCTTCTAGGGTTTTTATGGTTTTAGGTCTGACATGTAAGTCTTTAATACATCTTGAATTAATTTTTGTATAAGATGCAAGGAAGGGATCCAGTTTCAGCTTTCTACATATGGCTAGTCAGTTTTCCCAGCACCATTTATTAAATAGGGAATCCTTTCCCCATTTCTTGTTTTTGTCAGTTTTGTCAAAGATCAGATGGTTGTAGATATGCAGCATTATTTCTGAGGGCTCTGTTCTGTTCCATTGGTCTATATCTCTGTTTTGGTACCAGTACCATGCTGTTTTGGTTATTGTAGCCTTGTAGTATAGTTTGAAGTCAGGTAGCATGATGCTTCCAGCTTTGTTCTTTTGGCTTAGGATTGACTTGGCAATGTGGGCTCTTTTTTGGTTCCATGTGACCTTTAAAGTAGTTTTTTCCAATTCTGTGAAGAAAGTCATTGGTAGCTTAATGGGGATGGCATGGTATCTATAAATTACCTTGGGCAGGATGGCCATTTTCATGATATTGATTCTTCCTACCCATGAGCATGGAATGTTCTTCCATTTGTTTGTATCCTCTTTTATTTCATTGAGCAGTGGTTTGTAATTCTCCTTGAAGATGTCCTTCACATCCCTTGTAAGTTTGATTCCTGGGTATTTTATTCTCTTTGGAGCAATTTTGAATGGGAGTTCACTCATGATTTGGCTCTCTGTTTGTCTGTTATTCGTGTATAAGAATGCTTGTGGTTTTTGCACACTGATTTTGTATCCTGAGACTTTGCTGAAGTTGCCTATCAGCTTAAGGAGATTTTGGGCTGAGACGATGGGGTTTTCTAAATATACAATCATGTCATCTGCAAACAGTGACAATTTGACTTCCTCTTTTCCTAATTGAATACCCTTTATTTCTTTCTCCTGCCTGATTGCCCTGGCCAGAACTTCCAACACTATGTTGAATAGGAGTGGTGAAAGAGGGCATCCCTGTCTTGTGCCAGTTTTCTGAGGGAATGCTTCCGGTTTTTGCCCATTCAGTATGATATTGGCTGTGGGTTTGTCATAGATAGCTCTTATTATTTTGAGATACGTCCCATCAATACCAAATTTACTGAGAGTTTTTACCATGAAGGTTTGTTGAATTTTGTCAAAGGCCTTTTCTGCATCTATTGAGATAATCGTATGGTTTTTGTCGTTGGTTCTGTTTATATGCTGGATTACGTTTATTGATTTGCATATGTTGAGCCAGCCTTGCATCCCAGGGATGGATGAAGCCCACTTGATCATGGTGGATAAGCTTCTTGATGTGCTGCTGTATTCAGTTTGCCAGTATTTTATTGTGGATTTTTGCATCGATGTTCATCAGGGATATTGGTCTAAAATTCTCTTTTTTTTTGTATTATTATTATTATTTTGAGACAGTATCTAGCCCTGTCGCCCAGGCTGAGTGATCTTTGCTCACTGCAATCTCCACCTCCAGGGTTCAAGTGATTCTCCCACCTCAGCCTCCTGAGCAGCTGGGATTGCGGGTGCGTGAGCCATCACCCCCGGATAATTTTTTTTTGTATTTTTTAGTAGAGAATGGATTTCCCCATGTTGACCAGGCTTGTCTCTAACTCCTGGCCTCAAGTGCTCCACCCACCTCAGTCTCCCAAAGTGCTAGGATTACAGTGTGAGCCACTGTGCCTGGCCTCTCCTTTCTTGAAAGAAAATTTAAGTTCAATTAATTAAAATTTTGGATGTGTGGTACCATAAAGGCAGATAACAAAGCATGTTTGAGTCTAACTCTACTATCTTTTTTCATCATTTGAATGTTTTCAAACAGCATAAACTTTGGACAGGCTGAGTTTAGGAGTACAAAAACTTTTTGAAAGTTAGAAATGTAAGAAATGTGAGGTATAGATTTTAATGGATGTTATTACTGAGACAGTAGCAGAAGTAGGGGGAATGAATAAAATTTCCCCAGGGCAGAAAGTCTAAAGTGATAGGAATACAGAAACTAATGTATTTTTCAATAACGTTTGTGATGTGAACTTGAAATGAAAATATAGGGTAACGCGTGTCATGGCAGTACCCTGCTTATTGGCTTTGGGGCATTGCTTGATAAAATTCCTGATGAATGCTACATGATCAAAGTAGCATTTATGTGATCAGATGAGATAGGCAGAAGTCAAGCAGGAGAATGCGAAGAAATAACCACAAGGAAAAACAACTTAGAGCAATTTTCTGTAGCTATAGGGAGCTGTAGAGGGCGTGAGCAGGCCAGTTAACCTTACATCCTCTCATCAGCAATAGAGGAGGTTCGCTGGGAAAACTCTGTATCTCAGACAATGATACAGAGTGTTGAAGAGAATAAATACCAGTATTTTATCAAGTCTAATGTAATTATCTATTTTAAGATGAAGTGCACTTACTATAAATCAGTAATACAGAAAAACTACTGCTAATTAAATGCTGACAAAACATATTTTTATGCAGAATTTTGTGTTATGTTTAATAAGTCTTTAGATAGATCTTGATTTATATATCGCTTTGTACATACATAAGTGGAAAATGTAAGCAAAGAAAATTCAGGATATCATTAAAACTGTGTCACGCTCATGGTCTGACCTACTGAGTCATTTTTCAATTTCACGTCATTTGTGAAAATAACATCCTCTATGTTACAAAAGTTGACTGTTTAATATTTTATTTTAAAAATTATTAAATATTGCTCTGTTGGCGCTGGAATTTTTTTCAAAGATGTTGAATATCCTATGGGGATATGATGTGTATGATACGTTCTCAAACGGCTTAGGAAAAGTAGTTAGATGATAGACTCACGGCCAACTTCCTGGAACCACTGAATTGGCTTCTCTGTCTACCTCCTTGGTTTAATTTTCCCCTCTTATTTTTTCCTTCTCTGAAGTTCCCTTTCTTTGATTTAAGTACATGTACATACTCTTTAAGATATATTGTCCCCCACCCTCACCCAGCATTGTATTGTCTATATGCTTTGTAGCAAGGAAAGTTTGGAGTTACTTCTGCTTGCTCTATTGCTGGAATAAGAATTATCTGTTCTAATAATTGACACATTCTCATTGAGGACTTAAGAAAATTGCTGCTCCTGTTACTACTAAAACTGACAGAGAAGGAAAAAAAGTCCATTGCAAATAGAAAAATATGAAAAAGGAAAGCAATTGCAAATGGCTTCAGGCTGAAAACTCGTACAATCAGACTGAATACTATGTACTGTTTTTCCTTCTTAGTAATCAAACTATCCAAGTTATCTTATTACGTATTAACTTGTTCACAATGCCTTTAGATTTCTGTTTAGAGCAGGAAAAAAATAGTGAAATGTACTTCTCATAGAGTACAATATTATTTTCAATTTTAAATAATATTAACATAATGTGTGACTTTCAATTTTAGATTTTTAAGTGAAAGGAAGTGATACAAATAATTAAAATTACAAATACATATATATGTGTGTGTACAAAAGGTGTTTATGTATGTATTTGACTGAAAATTGTATTTAAAACCAATAGAATACTTTTTAAAACATTTATTTGCAGCAATTTATTTTATTTTATTTTCCCAAAAGTGTACATCAAGTGGTTGAGGGAAAAATAGTATCTATTGTTACATCCACCATGCCTGAGTACTGGAAGAAAGTATTTCTCTTTAGCAACTTTGCCCTAGCTCACTGTTTTACCAAGCACTCTCTCGTAGACTGGCCTTGAAAAAGAGATGTTAGTGACACATAGTCCGGAGAGTATCAGAAAAGGAATAAAAAAGTTATTTCTAGTTGTCTTCTTGATTTAACCATGCATAGAAGTGAGAACTTAGTTCACTGTTTGCATGTTTCACATAGTATCAAATAAGATTGGAATAGAAGTGTGCAACACTCAGCAGAGGTCTACCAACCTATGTGGGCTTATATTTATGCAACTAATAATACTAATTTAACAGATAAATACAGTATCTCACACAAATATTAAACTACATGGATATTGCAATGACAGGTATAAGTCAGTCAGTTTTAGGTAAATGGGGAAATATGAACATAATCATTATAACTTTCAGTAACATTTGTGTGCTTTTATATGCTGTTTCTTTCCTTAGCTCTATTACAGATCTAAGAACAGTTACATTTTATCAGAAAAGAAAGCTTTCCCATAAAATGTATATTTGCATTTATTTTTAACTTTGCAGCTTAACCCTTAATGTGTTAAAAAAAACAACAACATGATTTGGATAATGGTATTTGGCTTTTTTAAAGGAACATGCATTTTAATCATACATTTTTATACTTAAAATATATTCCTCACTCAGCTGAGATTTTCAGGCTGGTGGAGTATTAATAATCCTCTTCTTAAAAAATTACTCAGTAACATCGTTCATCTGATGATGGAATCAATAGCATCAAGAGTGCATTGGGTCAATAAGGGAAGAAAATAATAACTTTTGCTGTTTCAATTGTTTTGAAAAAAAAATGTATTGCCCATTGTGATATTGCCTAGTGTGATTTTTTTTTTTTTAAGAGAAACCATAATTTCTTGGTAAGGTGTTATTAATAATGTCCAAAATGCCAGCCAGAAACCAACAAATTTAACAATTAGATTTGGGAATAAATCAAAGTTAATTTTTCGTTCCAAGTGGAAATTGTTTTCATATGTATAACTTTTTACTTTTCAGAATTATTTTTTAAATATATATTTCAGCCTAAAGCATTGCACACAAACTCAAAATATTTTGAATAATTTTTCTTAGCCCAATATTTGAGTTTAATATTTATTTCTAGGGTATTTTAATCTACTTATGTAATTGTGATAATATTTATCTTGTACACCCCTTCTTTTATATATCAATTCCAACTTCTTGCTATGTAGTTTGTATTAGTTTTTAACAGTCAGACTGTTTCTGTTACATTTTTTCTATTACATCAACCGATTACCTGGAAATCTGAAAAATGATCACCAAGTATAAAATAAAATATAAAATTGAAAAATGGACACTCTTTGTTTGAAGTGAAGCTTAATCAGGCTCAGGATAAAATGATATGTCATACTGTACAAGGACCAAACATTTCTTCAACCAGCTTGAATTTCCTTTATAATGTCATTCAAAGTTAATAACATACCAAAACATCACACAAAGTGACTAGGAAGTAAATATAGAAGCATATAATTTTGACTAGTTAGTGGTTATTGTAAGTTCCCAAGTCCTTGAAGTATCCTAAAAATGTATTGATACATAATAATCATATATATTTATGGGATGCATGTAATATTTTGATACATGCATACATTGTATCATGATCACACCAGGCTATTTAGGATATCCATCTCCTTGAACATTTATCACTTCTTTGTGTTAGGAACTCCTTAAATCTTCTATCTATTTTGAAATGTACATTAAGTTATTGTTAACAATGGTCACCTTACTGTGTTACTGAACACTGGAATTTGTCCTTCTACCCAACTGTTTATGTGTACCTGTTAACCAACCTGTCTTTCTCTCTTCCCTTGATTGAATTTAGAATTTAACTTTAATACCAGTAGTGGGAAAGAAGAAAAACATGTAGAAACAAAATCCCGTAAGGAGTAATACATAGCATCATTAATTAAACATTATTTGGTTTTGGTTTTGAATTTTTTCATATTTGTTACGTCAGCTACTTCCTTGTTTTTCCCAAGAAAATGATATATTACTTGGGAATTTCAAAATAATAAAGGAATAAATTTACATTGCCCTAAAAGGGTCTACATATTTAATTGTATTTAAACTTATCTGCAAAAAGAATATGCCCTCTCTCCGACTATTTTATGATGTTAGAAAAAAAACATGACATACCCAACTGAAATGTTTACTTTTTAATTAATGATAGATGTCTGTGTTTGTAAGCACTTTTCTTGGTTTAATATTGATGCCTAGGGAGCTTTTTGTATCTTAGATGACTTAAAATTAAAGTCTTAAATTCCATGGAGGCAATTATGTTTCTTCATACCAAGTATCCCTTTTAAAAATTTTAACAAAATCACTATCAAAGACACTAATGGGTTATTATCTTCTCCGTTCAAGCTAGTTGTGGGACTTTAATAGCTTCTACTCCTTTGACAGTATCATTTTTTCCCGACAAGAAAATAATCATCCAATCAATTTATGGAAACATTTTTCTTCTTTTTGATTTCCTATTTAGAATGTCCTCTAAATTTAGAGAAAGGACAATCTTCTTTAAATTTGAAATGATTCTCAAAATTGATTTATTTCCCTGCTCCCTACTTTTATTATTGCTTCCATTCCCATGAGCTCACAAATTCTTTATAAATATTTCTATTTAAAATCCTTTTAAAAATCAAGTGTAAAGAGTGGTGCTTCTGGGACAAGACACTCGACTCTCTTAGATATCTAAATTTCACTTTGAAATAACTCAATCAGTATAAAAAGGCATCTGCTATCATCACTGGAAAGTAGAAAAGGTCCATCCAGCTCCCTAAAATTTAAAGGAGTATTTTTCAAAATAAAAGGTTCAGGGTGAACTAAGAAAAATGGAACACGAGCCAAACATATTTCATTGTGTACCAAAGGGAAGTCTACTGCAATAATAAGTGAGAAGTTCCCATCTTTTCTCCTACTGTCTGCTTGCATTCTATCACAGCAGGAACCAGAAGTAAGGACAGGAGGCAGTGTGCACCGTGGGGAGAGACGGATCTTACCACTCTCAGATCATCAAATCTGCTCCACTGACCATGGCAAGTGGGCATCCCAGAGATCTGCTCACAGCTTTTTCTCCCCACCTAATGTGGCCCCATGTCTGTCATTTCCCCACATCATGTGGAAGTAGGTCTTCTTTCTTTCAGATAGCCCGTTTTTCCCATAGTTCAAATCCTTCTGCAATGAGGTCTCAGACCATATTGTACCCCCCGCCCCCACACTTTGCAGAATTGTTGAGAGGTATTTTATATTTGTTTGCATAATTATTTGATTAATTTCTGTATCTCATGCTAAACTGCAAGCTTCGTGAAGGTAAGTTTCTCATCTGCTTTTACTCACTACTTTATTATAGCCAGCACAGTTCCAGTTATGTTGTAGACAATCAATAAACATGTTGAAGAAAAGAAGAGTAGCTGATCTTTATTGGTAGTTTTGAGATAACAAAGGATGAATGCACTCCAGCAAAACAACTTGAAATTGTGTGTTAGAAACCATTGCTTTAACATTCATCAGTCATTCTCTGCCATAGGCAATATTTCCACTGGCTATGTCACACTTAGATCCCAAATTACTACAATCTTATTCATTATCTTTCTACTGCTACCTCAGGTTCTAGTCAACCAAATCTAACTCCTTTTCTTTGCAAAATAAATACTTCGTAATTTTGTTTTTGCTTTTGTATCTTCTTATGAGCTTGCTATTAGGTGAGGAGTGTTTCCCATTTACACTTAGGGTCATCACAAAGCTATTTTCTCAATGAATGGTGACAAAGTGTAAAATCAGAGTGATAACTATTTGTCTAAATGAAAATTTCCAAATTAATATACTTCCAAATTCATATATTTTTTATTCCTATATGAATTTCCAAATTCATATATTTCCTCTGAATTTCCAAATTCATATATTTCTTATTCTAATATTTGTGTATTCTACAAAACCGTATATATATATATACACACACATGTGAACTTAAGAGCAGTTATCTCTAAATGATGAATATTTTATATATATCTCTAAATGGTGACTATTTATATATAAATACTACATATATAAATATATATTTATTAATATATTAATATTTATTAATGGTGAATATATAAATATTAATATATTAATAAATATATAATATATTTATATATGTAGTATTTATATATAAATATTCACCATTTAGAGATAACTGCTCTTAAGTTCACATGCATGTGTGTGTATATATATGTGTGTGTGTGTATATAGTGTGCATATATATATATATCCCAGGAGTGATGCGTTAGGTCTTTAGGGGTATCATAGAAGGAGTTATCTGAAGCAAATGCCGTCAACTCTATTGCTGCGCTTAGTGGGTATTGGAACTTCGGTTATAGAATAGATTGTTGGAATTTCTGAAATGTAGTTTCTGAAATGTCTGCAGTGTACTTAGGTAATAGTAAGAAAGTTTGTATTTATAAAAATGTTTTAAATAACTAAATTTTGATGATGATCTCTTTCCTCTTCCTAATTTTTCAATAAAGCAATCCAAGTACATCTTGCTTGATACAGATTTCTAAACGTCAGCTCAAATCATATCAATTTTGAAACATTAATAACTTCACTTACCATATAATTTAACTCACACTATGAAATTAAAATCCTTAAAACACAAGAAGACTTACATTGTATCTGTTTTCTTCCACCAATACTTAAATTACTGTCTCTCCACTACACATATGATTGGAATAAATAAGACACTGATATCACCAAACATATATAATTTTTTTACTGACAAAAATCAAACACTGAAGGAGGCAATATATCTTTTTATTCTCAGATAGTCTAGCCTATTCACCACTGATGAAACCGTTACTCATAAGGATATTCATGCTACTTGGAACCTCCATACATTTGAGCTAGGGTTCACTTCTGTGTAGTTCCATATCTAAAATAGGGAGCTCTTTTTCAGCACAGATCCTGCATGGAGCAATGGACTCTACATGCTTTGCTATGTCATTAACTAAATCTGCACCAGAAACTTTTCTCTATAGCCCTGGCATTAAATAATCTTTTCTAATTCTAACAACAATTTCATGAAGTCTGGGGGTGGGGAGTGGGTGGAAGGGGAGGTGAGAATGGAGGAGTTTGCATTTCTTCTTTAAAGTTAGACTGCAATGAATAAAAATACCAAGGAGTGAAGGCAAATGTTCTAAGCTAGATGTTATGAATAAATAATTATTTTTTCCGACCTCATAAAGTGGAATTTCAATGGTTCATGGGGGAAAGAAAAATGAAAGAAAACTAAAGAAAAGAATAAGGAAACCAGAAATCGAATCAAAACCAGACTGAAACTAACTTTAGGAGTGCACTCTTTAATTTTAATGACTGTTAGGGAGACAGGGAACAGGACTTTAGGAACATGCAACATGCATTTAGGGTTCAAAGTTGTATAATCCATGTGATCTGAAAAGCCTTAAATTGTGACACTTATTTATTTTTATTTTTTTGAGACGGAGTCTCGCTCTGTCACCCAGGCTGGAGTGCAATGGTGTGATCTCGGCTCACTGCAACCTCCGCCTCCTGGGTTCAAGCAATTCTCCTGCCTCAGCCTCCCGAGTAGCTGGGACTACAGGTGCCCACCACCACGCCCAGCTACTTTTTGTATTTTTTAGTAGAGACGGAGTTTCACGATATTGGTCAGGCTGGTCTCGAACTCCTGACCTTGTGATCTGCCCCTCTCGGTCTCCAAAAGTGCTGGGATTACAGGCGTGAGCCACTGCATCCAGCCAATTATGATATTTATTTGATATTTATTTAGGGTACCCCTGTGTGGTAACTCCCCTAGTTACATTCCAAACATTCATAATAAAACTAAACATTAATGTTTGGAAGTCATAAACATCAAGCTGCAAATTCAAGAGTATCCACCTCTGGCTGCATGGGAGAGGAATGAAACTGCAAAGAAGTTTTACAGAGAGCTGAACATAGTCTGGCAACATTTTATCTCTGAATCCACATAGAATGAGCATATTGTTTTTTGTAAGATTACTTTTTAAACCTTTTTATATGTCTATAATATCTTCTAATAATTTACATTTTAAATAAGAATCTAGTTGAACAATTTATTTGTGTGATGACATTAAACACATCAAAAGCAAGACATTAAGAAAAATATTAATACTATTGTCTTAATAAAAGATTTTAAAAATTTTAAAAGTTTGCATTTTAATTAAAAAACAAAAGCCAGGATATCTTTGTATCATATAAACAAAAATGGTTAATACTCATGAATTTATTTTATTTTGCTTTTAACTTAAAACTATTATTACTTATTTCTTTTCATTTTTCTTGAATTTGTGGTATATTGATGTGGAGCACAACCCAAAATACACAAAAGGAATAGTTATCTTAGAAGACTATGAAGAATATAACTGATTTATGAGCCTACCAATAATGAATAGAGAAAAAACATGAATAAACAATTTGCAAAAGAAGTTAAAATGACTGATGCATGAAACTAGCATGTAGATTAGGTTTATATAGGCTAACCTTTTCTCATCTGCAGTGAATTTCAAAATATGTTAATAGAATAAATTAGAGAAATTAGAATAAATGTTCAATATTCAGTTTAGTAATCAGTTTTTCAGCATAAATTTAGGAAACGTTTGAAGCTTTATTTAGCCAAGAGCAAAGACTCGTAGCCCTGTCTCTTCCTAGTCCTCTTTGACCTCTGTCATGTATTTCTGTCCCAAAAGAGGAGTGTGTTTTCTTAAGTCACTCTGCTCCTCTTCATTATTTGTTTGCAAGGTCCCTCCAGGTCTCCCTTTCTTTTCTTATTTTTATGTTAATGGTGTTTGAAAATGTTATGTGAACATCCTCTAGTGCTGTTCTAGCTGTTCCGCTATTGCTTGAGTTTTTTTTTTTTCTTCTTCTTCTCCTTTAGATCCTTAAATGTGAATGTACTATGTCATTCCTTGTTGCAGTTGATTGTGTCATTCTTCCATTTCTTCTGTTTCCTCACTCATGTCTCTTGATGGCCCCTCTAAGAAACTACTTCCCTGACTGCATGATCAAGGAATGGCAAGGAGAGAACACACAAGGGCGAACATGGGGATGCTGGGACTCTGGCTCTAGAAGATCTCCACCTGTGCCTTGGAGAGCTTATTACACTAATAATGAGAAACTCTTTTTTTTTTTTTTTTTTTTTAGTTTAATGCTTAATGTTGTTGTTTTTTTTTTAATTATTATACTTTAAGTTTTAGGGTACATGTGCACAACGTGCAGGTTTGTTACATATGTATGCATGTGCCATGTTGGTGTGCTGCACCCATTAACCTTTCATTTAACATTAGGTATATCTCCTAATGTTATCCCTCCTCCATCCCCCCACCCCACAACAGGCCCTGGTGTGTGATGTTCTCCTTCCTGTGTCCATGTGTTCTCATTGTTCAGTTCCCACCTATAATTGACAACATGCGGTGTTTGGTTTTTTGTCCTTTCGATAGTTTGCTAAACTGTTTAGACCTCGCTTCTACCTTTCTCCTGGTCATCTTGCATAAACTTATTGAACAATTCTGAGTTAGCATGGAGCTTCTACTGATTTCAAAGTCTTTCTTTTCATATTGAATTCAAAGAAAATATTGTTGTCTCATATTATATACAAAAACAAATTGTGCTAAGAACAAACCTTGAGATTTTAAAGATAAATTGAATTTTCTTGTGGTTGCTTTCAAATTATTTTTGGGCACACTTTTAACTCAAATGATATTTAAACACATTAGCATGGTGAAGATTTTGATTAACAGAGGATGTCCCAAAGTTTCATAGAGCTTGGGAGTATCAACAATAATAATTTTTCATAACTAGTAGTTTGTGAAACATTGTTTGGCAGATGTTTCTCCAGTTCACATAATATTAAGCCAATATCTGAATGTTGTAAAAGTTCAGAAAATATTTAAACACTTAATATTGAAGGAATGAGAGCATATATAGCCAGTTCATTTAAGGTGAAACAAAAAAATAAGATTTAGAATAGTTAGAAGAAAGTTAAATACACACACACACACACACACACACACACACACGTTTTCATATGACTCTCCATGATGAATACCACATGCATATTTATATTTTATGATTTAATATATAATAAAATAATCAAGCTTATTAACTTGTAGGTGCAGTTGTATTTTCTAAAATGTAACGTGGGACAACGTTGTTTATGTTTTGAAATGAACACACACAAAGGAGATAAGCTATGTCTCCATTTTTCCTTAAGGCATCCTAGAGGATCAAGAGGTTTCATTTCTACTTCCCTCTGTTTTCTGAAGCTTTGTGCTGAAATTACTTTTCTAATTAAAAGCAAATTAAATCATAATTTCTTCCAGGCAAACACACATATACACAAAAACAAGAATGATTTGCATTACAATTAGAACTCTTTCCATAGTTAGTCAAAGATAATGAGAGTTAAAGGATTCATACACTTGGATAATATGCAAAATCATAATTCAAAATATAAATTAATGTACTCAGAGAGTATTAAAAATTCATTTCAAATATCAGCTCAAATTGTCAGGTAATTAAACTAATGCTTTATTGTATGACATGATTATAGAGAACCTCCATATTTTCTGTTGTTCTGATAGCAATGAAATGCCTTGACAACGTAGTTACTGAAAGGAACTTCCAGTAGAAAAATAGGCTTAAAATTTTTTTTTTAAATAAGAAAATGTATCAGTTTCACCAATAATATCTCAAATAATAATTTTTTTTAAATAGGTAAATAATAAATTTTTTGTAAATATGATGTTGTATAGCTTTGAAAATTATTTTCACAAGGATTAACTGTTTTGATCAACTATGATAGTAAGAACATGACCATCATTCTTATTAGGAAGATTAGTAAACAGGTAATTAATTAAATATCATTACATGTATTAGATAATTGATAAACTATTTAATGACATAATTGCAAACATTCCAGTCAAAATCGAGCTCAATAATTCTCAGACCAAATTGTTATCATGTGTTATTTTTAAATGTATAATCTCAACTTCCCTTTATTTGAAAGGCTTTTAAATTACTGGTAGGTAAAAAAGGAGCAAGCTATCCTGCATTTAAACCTAACTTCAATTTTATGTTGGGTTAATATGTGGAAGATACTTAATGATTCTGAGTTCAATATTAATGTGTATCTTAGATTTCAAGTGATAAAAAGCCAACTCAAATCAGTTTTCAAATAAACAAAAAAAGGAAAAGGGGCATTTATCTGACTATGCCATTTTAAAGGCAAAAGGTACACTAATACAACTGAATATGGACCTCAAAGATTCATTTCCTCTGGCTCTTTCTCTTATCTCTTGATTTTTCCTCCCATAGTACATCAAATTCATTCTCAGAAAGACTCTTCTTCATAAGGAATATAGTTATCACTAGCTTTTTATCTCTCACAGTAAAAAATAAAGATATTTTCAAAAGATGAGATACCCAAGCTCCTTGGGAATGAGATGAGATATTCTCAAGAGAATATCTTGGGATATTCTGTGGAAAATTACAAGTAAAACTCTGGTCATGCTTTTTTTTTTTTTTTTTTTTTTGCCCATCTTTGAAATAATTATCAGTGGAGTGGATTCAAGTATTCCAGCTGGCCAGGTTGAGCTAACTATTCTCCATGTGGTGGCAGTAGCAGGCATCTCTGTATGCTTGACAGCTCCTTAAAATTATGATAGTGAAAGGGAATGAGTCACATCAGACCCAAGTGTTGCAGATTGCTTGACAAATATTTTATATATACCACATTATTCTTATGACTGCCAAACATTCCTACACGCTTCTTTCTATATATGCATACTTACACCAAAAACTCCCCCGCTATATACCATAACGCTATGTACCCTCATCAAAAGAAGCTTTCTTCAAGTTTTTCAAGTTACTCGACTCAGTTTCAAATATCCGCTGCCAAGATGATGTTCATTGTTGTCCATCATTGCTTGGCAAGTGATGACGAAGAGATAAATATCATCAACCCTAATATACTCAAAAAGTTTGTAATAACCTATTTATAGATTACATATAAAAGAATGTTGAGTAAAAAGGGGAGGAAAGCCTTTGACAAGAATGTTTTTTAACTTACAAATGTGGGTGTGAAAGAAAATATCACATTATTTTATTTTCTATGAATCAACGTTTTATTTCAAGTCCCTACTCCTTCAAAATAGTGAGAAATCCTACCACGGAGAGCATTGTCCCGCTTCCCTTAATAGCTGTGAGATTCAGAGTATTGAAATATTGGGAGTGGGAGATACAGAACTACTTGTAGGAGAGAGACCCCCATTGATTATTATGAGGACATGCAATATCCTTTATCTATACTATATGCCTTCTTAAAAAATCTTACAGTGTTGTCTTCTAACAATTCATTTCATCCCCCAAATGGAGGTTCTGTTAACATTTTTCTTGCATGCAGTGCAAACCTAGATATTTTTGGTGAAAATTCCTCCAGGATATCCAAATCATAGGTAGTTGAATCTGCACACTTATTATTTTACAAAGTAAAAGGTGAGAAATTTCTCATTTTTGAAGAACTTTCTCTTTTCTTATGATTCATATCACAGAAAGTTATTTCTGTATTATATGTTGAGAGGACTAGTCTAAAATGGTAGGCAGATATTCAAAATGAGGTCCTGAGGAATTTGCAAACTACGCTGTTTGTTATAGTTTAAAAAATGACTTTCATGATTATGCATGGTGAGACATATGTCATATGTAGATATCTTGGTTTCACGTCTTCCAGTATTTCCCAGTAACTGTGAATTCAGTCTAATTTTATCATTTATCATAAGTACTACTTTCAATGGGACCAAGGTCAGCCCCTAATGTGTTATCAGATGAGGAATTAAGTCTGCCAGCAAAGGTATGAATATTTTGCAAAGTATAACTGTTTCTTGATAGTAATCTTCAACCCAGACTCTGGTTTACAGAAGATCGGTTGAATTAGAAACCTATATTGCTTTTAAGAACAGTGAATTAGAAATTGGATCTTGTATTCTTACACTTGTTGTGTAATTGTAATTTGTAATACAAATAAATATGTGTATTACACATAATCGTGAATAATTATAAACTTAATAATGTTAGTGTGACTATGCAGATAAATGTAAGCAATATAAACAGTCAAATTTCTATTTCTACCAAAGTCCACTCTAGTCATACTTTTATCTATTATTTTTGCTTTTTGTTGAAGTCTCTGATAAACCACTGCTACCTGGAGAGACAAAGTAACATTATTCTCCATTTCATTTATGGCATGTGCTGCCTAATTATGACCATTGAAAGTAATAATTAACTCATTTTCAAGACAATTCTTAAATTCAATAAAAATGCACATTAGCTTTTGTGTGTGTGAGAGTCAAGGTGTAAGAAATAGGCAGAGAAGATTTTTCAATTGCAATCTAAGGATTTATGCTTTCTAAAATGTGTTCTGTTCATGTTAGTGTACATTACATATACTTAAATAGTTCCAGGAATCAAGAAGTTAAAGAAAGGCAGATTTCTTTTGTAATTCTCAAAGTTTTTCTATTCTAAAGTACAATTTGAACTTCCAGGATGAGTAGGAAAATTCTGTGTTTCTCAGGCTATTTGACAATGAGCCATTCTTATGGCTTATTCCATTGAACAGATACGGGACATTTCAATATAGACATATTATATTAGAGTTGTAAGTATCCTTGCAAATTACCTAGCTGAGCACATTTATTTTATTGATGAGAAAATGGAGGCCCAGAAAAAATTTTCTAAATTTGCCTAAATTCTACTTAATAGCAGAATAAGGAATATTCTCATTTCAGGTGAGGGATTTAGAATAACTCCTAAAACTGAAGACTGTGTTGGAAAAATCCCTCAGTTCTCAGCTTTGGAAGTTACTCTCACATTGCTTTAGAATATTCCAGTGTTGGCCAATAGTGAGTTTAATTTTAAAGATTGCTTTGCTATTCAAGTTATGATAAAAAACAAAACAAAAATATTAAAGGTCTCACTATCAAAAATTAGAGCCTGGAAACTAGGGAAAGGTGACATTTACACTCTATCCTTGAAATAATTTTAGCAGGACATGTAACAGTTGAGACAAGACTAGAGGATACTTCCTGTAATGTATACAACAATGTGGGAGGTAAGGAAATGGGACCTTAGCACAATTCCAATAACAATGTCAAGCTGAAGAGGGAAAGGAATGACAGTGAGGGTATATGAGAAATAATTTAAATGGGGCAGGTTTCTTTAGACCTTGAATGACTTATCCCCAACGAAAGCTTCGTGGTTGGAAAGGGGGAAAAGTCTTACTCTGGCTAATTCTTAATGAGGTTAGATTTACCAATTAGTAGTGTTAGTACTAGATAAGGAAAGTCTTTGTAACCTATATATTTGATCTAGAAAGAATTTGAGATCAACCTGGAATACAGAATACATAAATTCTACCCCCACTTAGCCACTGGTTTATGTGACATCACTGAGATACAGCACTGAGGAGAGATTAGACAGTTCAGGTTTTTCCTGAAGGTGAACATGGGAGAGTAGAATATATGTGTTTCAATTCTTTTTTTTTTTTAATAAAACAATATGTTTGTTACCCAGGGTCAGAGTTTACCTAATATATTTTGGTAATCTCTTGGTCTACCAATGATTTCATGGGTCAACTTCCCATACATCCACTTGGAGTCAATAAAATGGAAAATGCAGTCTCTCAAGGCCATTTTGGAGACTCTTTGATTTTTCCATCAGAAATCTGAAAGATACCAGGGTTGATTATTACCTCAATTCATTTTAATCCAAAGCCACACTGTACAGTAGATCAGTACACCAACTGCTTCATTCTTTTTTCAATTTCCCACCTTGCTAGTTTAGAATGAACACTAACTTACTGTGCTATATGTGCGCACACTACAATATCACTGACTTTTTTTTCAAGTTTTTTATCATCCTTTCAAAGCAAGCATGCTGATTCCACAGAAAATATTTCTTTCCTGAAAATAAATCTGCCATTTATTTTCTCAAAGAGCTATTATGCTTTATATTATAAAAAAGCAAAACAGCTTCCCTTGTCCTCTTGTTCTTCCTTTTTGTCTGTTTCTTTATCTGTCTCTTTACCATTTTATTTCCAGGAAGAGATCTTTATAGGGGTCTTTCTTCAAAGAAAACTGATAAAATTTCTTTATTGTATTTTTTTCTCTGAACCAGATTATCTTCTGCATCATGACGTTCCAAAGTTCTAGAATATCATAGTAATGCCTAGAAAAGTCACATTTGTCACCTCACAACCCTTAATTTAGAAAACACAAGCAAATCCTTAGCAATGAACATGAATACCTCAGAAGTTAACATTCTATACAACCTTATACCATAGCATCATCATCAAACCAAAGTTATGCTTGAGAATCAATACTTAATATAATACAGACCCAAAATTATCTTACTCGTCAATGTATAGCCTAGATATGGTATTATCTGAGGAGAAAAAAAGAGAAGGATAGTTTTTATTTTCAGGCAATACGTGAAAGTTCTCCAAAGTCCCACTTATGAGCATATCCTCAAAATGTTAATTAGGACACTAAAATTATATTATGGTAGGAAAACTTTGTAATAGCTCTAAAATTATTTTCTCTCTGCAATAAAATCTCACATAATTTAGAAATTTGTAAAATGTCAGCACTAGTTTGCTGATCTTTCTTGAGAACACTTTCTTCACTTATATTTACATTGTTAAACATCCATTTCCATTTTCTGGAGTGCCTTTCCTGCTAAAAAGCTAAAAAAAGGTCTTTCTCTCATTCAGAAACTTGAAAGTCTCACCCTTTCTTTTTAAATCCAACATTAATAATGAAAAGACTGATATCAATTAGATTCTTCTTTCATTTGACTTTTTCACTTCATTCTTTTTTGTGTGTTTTTAGAGCCTTTTTTTTTTTTAACTTTAAGTTCCAGGATACATGTGCAGAACATCCAGGTTTGTTACATAGGTATACATGTGCCATGGTGGTTTGCTGCACCTATTTACCCATCTTCTAAGATCCCTCCCATCACCCTCCACCCTACAACAGGCCCTAGTATGTGTTATTCCCCTCCCTGTGTCCATGTGTTCTCATTGTTCAACTCCCACTTATGAGTGAAAACATGCAGTGTTTGGTTTTCTCTTCCTGCATTAGTTTGCTGAGGATGATGGCTTCCAGCTTCATCCATGTCCCTTCAAAGGACATGATCTTATTCCTTTTTTATGGCTGCATTGTATTTCATGATGTGTATGTACCATATTTTCTTTATCTAGTCTATCATTTACAGACATTTGGGTTAGTTCCATGACTGCGCTATTGCAAATAGTGCTGCAATAAACATACATGTGCATGTGTCTTTTTAGTAGAATGATTTATATTCCTTTGGGTATTGCACAGTAATGGGATTTCTGGGTCGAATTGTATCTCTAACTAAAGAGCTTCTGCACAGCAAAAGAAACTATGATCAGAGTGAACAGGCAACCTACAGAATGGGAGAAAATTTTTGCAATCTACCCATCTGACTAAGGTCTAATATCCAGAATTTACAAGGAACTTAAACAAATTTACAAGAAAAAAAACAACCCCATCAAGAAGTGGGCAAAAGATATAAACAGGCACTTCTCAAAAGAAGACATTAGGAGAAATACCTAATGTAGATGACGGGTTGATGGGTGCAGCAAACCACCATCGCAAGTGTATACCTATGTAACAAACCTGCACGTTCTGCACATGTATCCCAGAACTTAAAGTATAATAAAAAAAAAGGAGATATTTACGCAGCCAACAAATGTATTTAAAACAGCTTGACATCAGTGATCATTAGAGAAATGCAAATAAAAACCCAATGAGATACCATCTTATGCCAGTCAGAATGGTGATTATCAAAAGTCAAGAAACAATAGATGCTGGTGAGGCTGTGGAGAATAGGAACATTTTTAAACTGTTTGTGGGAAGGTAAATTACTTCAACCATTGTGGAAGATAGTATGGTGATGCTTCAAGGATCTAGACTTCATTCTTTAAATGTTTTTATTATCTTCTTTTTAAGCTTGGTGTTTTATTCTTCCAGAGCTATTCTTTTTTGTAAATATTTGTTTCTCTCATCATCTAAGTAAATTTCCTTGTATTATTTCTCTTATTTCTAAAGAAATCATTTCTACTTTGTTTTCTCTGTTCTTTCTAGAACTCCTAGTAGTTCAACATTAGACTCTATAATGTTTCTCTATATTTTTTCTCTTTTAATTAAGATTTTTTTCTGTTTGGGCCTCATAGAATGAGTTAGGGAGGAATCGTTTCTCCTCAATTTTTTGGAATAGTTTCAGTAGGAATGGTACTAGCTCTTCTTTGTACATCTGGTAGAATTCAGTTGTGAATCTGTCTGGTCTTCAGCGTTTTTTTGGTTGCTAGGTTATTTATTACTGCCTCAATTTCAGAACTCATTATTGGTCTGTTCAGGGATTCAATTTCTTCCTGGTTCAGTCTTGGGAGGGTCTATATGTTCAGTAATTTATTCATTTCTTCTGGATTTTATTGTTTATGTGCACAGAGGTGTTTATAGTATTTTCTGATTGTTGTTTGTATTTCTGTGGGGTCAGTGATAACATCTCTCTTGTCGTTTCTGACTGTGTTTGCTTGAATCTTCTTTTTTCTTTATTAGTCTAGCTAGTGGTCTATTTTATTAATTTTTTCAGAAAAACCAACTACTGGATTCATAGACTGTTTTGAAGGTTGTTTCATGTTTCTATCTCTTTCGGGTTCAGCTCTGATTTTGGTTATTTCTTATCTTCCACTAGCTTTGAGATTGGTTTGCCCTTGATTGTCTAGTTCTTTTAGTTTTGATGTTAGGTTGTTAACTTGAAAGCATTCTAACTTTTTGATGTGGGCTTTTAGTTCTATTAATTTCCCTCTTAACACTGACTTAGCTATATCCCAGAGATTCTGGTACATTGTATCGTTGTTCTCATTAGTTTCAAATAACTTCTTGATTTCTGCCTTAATTTCATTATTTACCAGAGAGAGGTTATTCAGTTTCCATGTAATTATATGGTTTTGAGTGAATTTCTAAGTTTTGACTTAGAATTTGATTGCCCTGAGATCCGAAAAACTGTTTGTTATAATTTCAGTTATTTTGCATTTGCTGAGGAGTGCTTCATATCTAGTTTTGTGATCGATTATAATGTATGTGCCATGTGGCAATGAGACAAATGTTTATCTCTTGTTTTTGGGTGGTGAGTTCTATAGATAGCTATCAGGGCCATTTGATTTCATGCTGAGTTTAGATCCTGAATATCTTCATTAATTTTCTGTCTCAATGATCTAATATTTTCAGTGGGGTGTTAAAGTCTCATTTTATGAGGCCAGCATCATCCTGAAACCAAAACCTGGCAGAGATACAACAACAAAAAAACAAAACTTCAGATCAATAACTTTGATGAACATTGATACAAAAATCCTCAACAAAATACTGGAAATCCAAATCCAGCAGCACACTAAAAAGCTTATTCACCACCATCAGGTAGGCTTCATCTCTGGGATGCAAGGTTTGTTCAACACACACAAATCAATAAATGGGTTTCATCGCATAAACAGATCTAAAGATGAAAAACACATGATTATCTAAATAGATGCAGAAAAGGCTTTTAATAAGATTCAACATCCATTCATGTTAAAAACTCTCAATAACCTAGATAATGAAGGAACATACCTCAAAATAATAGCTGTATAAGACAAACCCATAGACAACATCATACTGAATAGGTACAAGCTGAAAGCATTTACCTTGAACACCAGCAGAAGACAAGGATACCCTCTCTCACCACTCCTATTCAACATAGTATTAGAAGTTCTGGCCAGAGAAATCAGGCTAGAAAAAGAAATAAAGTTCATCTGAATAGAAAGAGAGGAAGTCAAACCATCCCTGTTTGCAGATGACATGATCGTGTATCTAGAAAACTCTATAGTCTCAGCCAAAAAGCTTCTTAAGCTGATGAACAACCTCAGCAAGGTCTCAGGGTACAAAATCAATATGCAAATATCACTAGCATTTCTACACACCACAGCAGTCAAGCCAAGAGCCATCTTACAAATGAACCTGTGTTTATAATTGTCAGAAAAAAAATAATAAAATACCTAGGAATACAGCTAACTAGGGAGGTGAAAGATCTCTACAAGGAGAACTGCAAGCCACTGCTCAAAGACATCAGAGATGACACAAACATATGGAAAAACATTCCATGGTCATGGATAGGAAAAATAAATATTGTTAAAATGTCCATTCTGCCTAAAGCAATTTATAGTTTCAATGCTATTCCTATTGAACTACCAATGAAATTCTTCACAGAACTAGAGAAAACTCTTTTAAAATTCATATGGAACCATAAAAGAGACTGAATAGCCAAGGCAATCCTAAGCAAAAACAACAAAGCTGGAGGTATCATGCTACTCAACTTCACACTATGCTACAGAGCTACACTAACCAAAAGAGCATGGTACTGGTACAAAAACAGACACATAGACCAATGGAACAGAATAGAGAACCCATAGGTAAGACCACACATCTACAACTATAGGTTCTTCAACAAACCCGGCAAAGACAAGCAATGGAGAAAGGATTCCCTATTCAATAAATGGTACTGGAAAAACTGGCTAGCTATATGCAGAAGATTGAAACTGGACTCCTTCCTTACCCCATATACAAAAATCAACTCAAGGTAGATTAAAGACTTAAATGTAAAACACAAAACTATAAAAACCCTGGAAGACAACCTAGTTAATACCATTCATAACATAGGCACAAGCAGAGATTTCATGAGAAAGACATTAAAAGAAATTGCAACAATAGCAAAAATTGACAAATGGGACTTAATTAAACTAAAAATTCTAGGCCAGCATAGTGGCTCATGCCTGTTATCTCAGCACTTTTGGAAGTTGAGGCAGGAAAATCATGTGAGCTCAGCAGTTTGAGACCAGCCTGGGCAACATGGTGAAACCCTGTCTCTACAAAAAATACAAAAATTAGCCAGGCATGATGGTATGCAACTGTAGTCCCACCTACTTGGGAGACTGAGGTGGGAGGATCCACTTGTGCCCCTGAGGTGGAGGTTGCAGTGAGCTAAGATTGCACCTTTGCACTCCAGCCTGGGCAACAGAGTGAGACCCTGTCTAAATAAATAAATAGCTTCTGCACTGAAAAATGAACTATCAACAGATTAAACAGACAACGTACAGAAAATTTTTGCAAACTCTGCATCCAACAAAGGTCTAATATCCAGTATCTCTAAGGAACTTAAACAAATTTACAAGAAAAAAGCAAACAATCCCGTTAAAAATAGGCAAAGAACATGAACTGACTTTTCAGAAGCAGACAAGCATGCGGCCAACAATCATATGGAAAAAAGCTCAACATAACTGATCATTAGAGAAATGGAAATCAAAACCCCAATGAGATACCATCTAACACCAGTCAGAATGACTGTTATTAAAAAGTCAAAAAACAGCAGATGCTGGTGAGGTTGTGGAGAAAAAGAGATGCTTTTATACTGTTGGTGGGAGTGTAAATTGGTCAAGCCATTGTGGAAGACAGTGTGGCAATTCCTCAATGATCTAAAGACAGAATTACCATTCAACCCAGCAATCCTATTACTGGTACATACCCAAAGGAATATAAACCATGCTGTGAGAAAGACGCATGTGTGCAAATGTACACTGCAGCACTGTTCACAATAGCAAAGGCATGGAATCAACCTAAATGCTCTTCAGTGATTGACTGGATAAAGAAAATGTGGTACATGTACACTATGGAATATCATGATGCCATAAAAAGATTGAGATCATGTCTGTTGCAGGCACACGGATGGAGCTGAAGGCCATTATCCTTAGCAAACCAACACAGGAACAGAGAACCAAATACCGCATGTTCTCACTTATACGTGGCAGCTAAATGATGAGAACACATGAACACATAGAGGAAAACAACACACACTGGGACCTTTTGGAGGATGGAGGATGTGAGAAGGGAGAGGATCAGGAAAAATAACTCCGACGGGTACTAGGCTTACTATCTGGGTAATGAAATAATCTGTATAACAAGTTTACATATGTAACCAACCTGCACTTGTGCCCCAGAAAGTAAAAAAAAAGTTTAAAAAAATTCTGTTTTTTTCTTTACTTTCAGACTTTTCTTCATTTTCTAATGATTTATTGCTTTTAAAAATTGGAAATCATATTTCTAACTAATAATGATATCTTTTTGTTTTGTTTCTCCTTTTAGAAATTATATTGGTCTTGTTTAATAGATGTACTAATGTCTTTAATCTTCCCTTAATTATCTTTTCCAACTCTAGCCAATTCTCTTTAGTTATCTGGGCATTTCTTTGCCATGATTTAGGCTTTTCAGGAATATATGATGATTCATGGTTTTCCATTTATTTTTCTTAATGTGACAAGAATAAATCTGCTCTACATTTTACCTGAAATTTGTATTTCTGTAGGCACAATTCCTGTTTTACTTTCTGCCTGAAATTCTCTATTTTTATTTGCTCTATATCTCATTTTAAAACTGTTTCCTTTATTGTTTCCATCTAACATGGATTTTAAGTTCCTTGATTTTTTTTCTATGTTTGTCTCTGCAGATCTCTCTTTCTTGACACATTTTTTTTTTTTTTTTGGCTCTTGTATTTCACATAGCCAAATTGTGTTTTCTTGCTATTTCATTTGTGGTTAAGGCTTTCCATTACAAGTGTGTATTTATTTTATTGTGGGCTATGTAAACACTATTTCCTTGTCTCACTTTGAGTCTCATGATGGTGACAGAGTGTTATAAAATCTACTTTTCCGTTGCTTGATGTAGTAGTGATGATGAGTGGGAAGGCTCAGCCGTGAATGGTGGACTTTGAACTCCATTTTTCCCTTGGATTTTACTAAAACTATAACAGCATCTTCCATTGAAATATTTTAGGGGATACAAACTTACTTTTAATTATTCTCAGGAAATAATTAGCCCCAGGCTGCAAATTGTTATTTAGTTTTTTTTTCCCCCCTACAAATTTCCTTTTCTTTACTTGAAATAACAAATTACAAATTACCTTTTCTTTACTCTCTTCATTAGTGAGAAAATAAGAAACTTTTTTTTTCTGGGAGGAGGGTTGCCTCTGACATCTGCTTGTGCAAAGGTCTAGGTTATGCTGCATAACCTCAAGGTTAGCATATGTTACCCTCCCCATCACCTTTACAGGAGGGTTTTTTCTTACCATGTAACAAGGGAAAAAACAGTAGTTGGGTGGTTAATCAAAGTACCCAAGGTAATTTGCAAACATTGCAAATGTATGAAGTGGGAATACCTACTGGACCTGAAGTCTATAATCCAGAATTAGTGCTTGTTTTCTGCTTTGTTTTTTTTTTTTTCACTTTGGTACTTCTAAATTTGTAATTCATTCTGAAGAGGTAACTGGCTTTCTCAAAGTGTTTTTCAAAAAGGGCAGGTAGGATTAAAGCGAATGTTTTCTTATTCCCAAACCAAGTTTATTTCATGGTTTCTCAAACAACTTTCAACAACCCAGATCACAGCTGAGACAGGGGCATGGAAAAGGAGGGTGGCATTAAAAATCCATTACAGAAAATCATTTGAAGGCTCTTTACACTTTGGAATCAAGTAAGGCTTAAATACTTGGTCACAAAGTCAAACATTTTCAGATCCATACACTTCAAGCCAGCCTGTGCATGCTATTTTACTACAACTATAATAGGAACTGTTAACAGATGGGTTGAAACGTTGATGACCAAGGATGGCAGATCCAGTTATCCCCAAGGAAATGTGATTTAAGAAGTATCTTGATAAAGACAGAAAGACGAACTGAACGAAAACAGCTGCAATTGCAAAACAAAATAACAACTCAAATATGTCCTCTATTTGATGTGTATTCTCTTGGCAATATAACTGTCCACAGAAGAAATGTGGGTCTGTGTGTGTGTATAATCTGCAGACTTAAGACAGAGTTTGCCCAAAGAACAGTATCAGCAGTTACTTTTCTTAAGAAATTGAATGGTAAGGATTTTTCATTGTTCTTGATGTTATCTTAATTCATTCTAATGCTTCTTAGTTCTACAATCTCCCAGACACACACATAACAAATTGGCTAACTTTATTGTTAGCATATGGTTAAAGAGTGACTTTTCGTGAGGATGAGTTAATTTATGCGTGCACCTGGTAAAAGCAGCTAGAGAATCTTTTGTCTAACCCAAAAGGTTGGCTAGCCTAACGGAAATGGAAAATAATGTTCGACATTATTTTGGAAATCAAAACTAATATTACTAGGAGGTAACTTAATCAGAACCTTAGCATGGAAGGAAAAATTTAGCTACTTAAATACTGTGGAAAAAAAACAAACAAACAAACATCTTTTATTCATTGCCAGGCCTTTACTGAATAAAATGGTCAGATCTTGCCAAGGAAATTTGCCAGACTCCAAGGTCTGACTCCATCAAAGGCACATCTATATCATTTTAATTGATGTCCTCCATAAACAGATAGTAGAAAATCATCTTTTTTACTGTATATTATTTTACAAGCTAATGCACCTGACCTTGGTTCAGGCACACTATATCAGACTTTGAGATACAAGGACAAACTTGCAAAGTGATACTGTCAGCAAACTACCCATAGGGGATCTTTGAGCTTTAGACATCATGGTATCATTGAGCTTTTTGGATTCCTTATACACTGACTTGATTCTGAAGTTTACCTTTTGATTAGAAAACCCAATAAAAGGTAAAGTGTCATTGTAATGGCTAACTATGGATGAAAACAATTCTATTCGGAGGTTTCTTAGCTGAGTCAACAGCTGTCAAAAAGTTTCAGTCCAAAAATAAATAATTTAAAGTGGAAGGGGAGGCACAAAATTAATAGAAAATGTAAGAAAATGTTATGCTCACACATTACCCAGGAGACAGGAGATCTTGAAAAAGTTTTCTATCTGTCTGAAATGTAGAAAATGCTAAGGATATTTTACCCAATCCTCTTAGAACCTCTGCAGTGCCATTCTCCAAGTTAACATTTCTGATCTCTCTATGGAATTACACCGCAGAGTTTTTATATTTGGTGTTACCTTAGCTAGAATTATATAAAAATGAGGAAAAGTTGCCCTATATTGAAAAAGGAAAGAATATTGTAATTGAAGAGCAACTTTTAAAATTTTTCTCGTTTTTTGATGCTTGGAATGGATTAATGGCTAGTGATTGAAAGAGATGTTCAAATATCCCCGTAACAAAATGTGGTGATGACATTTGCATAATTATTTTGCTTTTATAATGATTGCCTCAACCTAAAATATCTAAAATAGCAAACCAAAACAAAACAAAAATTCTTGACTTCAGTTAATAGATAATTTGTTTCTTCACACAAATCCAGGGTTTTTAAAATCTTTTGTTTTACACAAAGTATATGCTGTTCTTGCAAAGACTTTTCTGCGCTAATAACTAAAAGCACTGAATCTTACTTGGCATATTGTTTTTAGCTATATAGTATTTTAAATTTATTAGGAAGAAAGAATGCACACATTATGTCTCATCACTTGCAGGACTCTTGGGGGCCACCGAATTTAATAAAACTGGGAATATTCATTTTGTAAACTTAATACCTACTTGAAAACGTGCTATTATAATGTGTTTTGATGAATGAAATAAGATTGTTGCTGTACATTCTTATTTTTATTTTTTGAAACGGAGTCTCACTCTGTCATATAGGCTGGATAGCAGTGGCTTGATCTCTGCTCACTGCAACCTCCACCTACCAGGTTCAAGCAATTCTCCTGCCTCAGCCTTCCAAGTAGCTGGGATTACAGGCGCACATCACCACACCCAGATAATTTTTATATTTGTAGTAGAGATGGTGTTTCACCATTTGGTCAGGCTGGTCTTGAACTCCTGACCTCAGGTGATCCACCTGCCTCAGCCTCCCAAAGTGCTGGGATTACAGTTGTGAGCCACTGCACCCGGCCAAGAACCACTTATTTAAAGAATATCTGTAGTTCTCCCGCCCATGGCCTCCTCTGAGGCTCCCCACTTCAACTGTCAAAGGCTCTGTCCCTCTTGATCACTGGTAGGCATGGTCACTCACCTGAGGAGAGGCCAGACAAGAGGAACCACAGTAGAGGGAAGGTGAATAATGGTTTGTGGGAGCTTAAAACTAAAATGGTATGCATGACTGAAGACCAGGTAAGCAAGATTGATATCAATAAACATTAAAGCTTTTCTACAGAGTATTTTAATCAGGTTTTACTGTTTAAAAAATTGTATTGCAAGAAAGAAGAAGAAAAGTGGTAATCAACCAGAAGAGTGGTAATCACACACAGCACACCAAAGTTCCTTATCTCAACACAATGTCAGGTTTTAATTTATATTAGAGTATAATCAAGACCCTCTTGAAGATTTTTCCCAATGATTGGCAGGGATGGAGAGGACTTTTAAATTTTAATTTAGAAAGATGAGACATTCTACTGCTCAACAGGGAGGCATGACACCTGCACTAAAAGTTATTATCAAATAAGAAAGATATTTTTGATGTGTTACTCCCTTGAACAAGCTTCACGAGTCTTTTACAGATCTTCAATGTCCCACCTCCTTTGTTCTTCAGAACAAATATTGTAACTTCCTTTGTTTTTACATATAAATATGGTCTCCTTTCAAAGGCATAGTTGACCTTTCAAATATATGTTATCAATGCACCTTTTAAGTAGCCTCTTAAAGTTTGGTAACTTATGGCTACAAGTTTTTTTTCCCATCCACTTGGAATATCTATTTATTATTTAAAGGTGGTTTTCATCATAAGCTGTAACTTTTTAAACTAAAATACTTCAGATATAAAATCTTATTCTTCTCTCATCTAAGCGAAATGATTTGAATATGAAAAGAACCCACAATTTATAATGCTGGCGATTATATTTTTGTACCTTAGAAAGAATAAGCAAGAAAACAAATAGCATTAGGGATATGAGTATAATAAACAATTAAATATAAGTGGAATAACCTGAACATTAGAACAAATATACTTTCATAAATCATTTTGCGAAAAATAAAATAAATCCTTTGAAAATATTTTGTTTTTAATTGGAATCCTGTGAACATTTATATTACATTTGATCTCAATTTAAAATTGCTACAATTGAGCAAATGTGATTTTCAGAAACTGTAAAGAATCTACACTTGGGATTTGGAGACATGTTAGAAAATTTTCTCCAAAATCATGCAAAAGAATACAGACATTAAAAAGAAATCTGTGATTAGCCAAAGACAGAGCTGTAACTAGAGAAATAGGCAGAATTATAGGTACAAATGCTAACATTTAGATACAGAATTTTGAAATTATAAGGAACTAATAAAGGACCATACAAATGAAAAAGTAATAGTCAAAACTGTAAGAGAAGGAACTAATCCTGAACTGAATGAAAAAAGGAGAGAAAGCGGGTAAAAATTTCATTCCCATATATTTCAGAAAAAAAATATATTGCATAAGTAGAAACATACTGATTAAATCTTAAATATTTTTGCACAGAAAAAAATAATGTGAGCATTCAGGCATTAAAACAAATAAAACAGATGACCTTACTCCTTTCACCACTCTCCCAGCCCCTTGAAAATAACCTGGGCAGCAGTCTTGTTAACAATAAAAAATATTTTAGGATAATATAATAGATTCAGTATTTGTTGTTACAAAATTGTTATTATAAGTTTGTTGTTATAAATTTGTAAACTAAACGTACTAATGTTTATATAAAAGAACAAACTAAAAGGCAGTTGTTCTCATGTAGGTTTTCTTTTTGTTTTTTGATAAGTTGCATTGTAGTACACCTACCAGTCAACAAAACATCAGTGACTTATCATAAAAATAACATGTTTATTTTCCATTCATACAAAAAATAAAATATAATCAACATCTCAAAACTCCTCTTTATACATCAACCTGACCACAGGCCTCTCTGTCATTCCTTCAGGGCAACAGTATCATGATTTTTATTGCAATATTTCCTTTCATTTTCTTCATCATTTACTACCTATGGTTATACCATCCATTTGCATTTTAAAAACCATTGTTTCTTTTTTCCTCCTACTTTTGCATTTTAAATAAATGAAGTGATGGATTATTGTGTTGGCAAATTTATATATCTTGTTTTTGTTTTACTCTAGTTTGTGTACAAGGTTTTAATGGATAATATGCCACAATTTATCCATTTGGCTGTGAATGGGCATTTTGGTTGCTTTCTTTTTCGCTATTGTAAGTAACATATCTTGTATAATTTTTTCTGGTATGCACAAACACTTATTTCCATAGGGTAGGTAACAAGTAGAATTGTCAGGACATACTACACAATATTCTCAATTTTGCTAGATAGTTTTTGATTTCCTGTCTGGATTACTCAGGGAGTTGAGCACCTATTTATGTATTTTTTTATTTATTATTATTATTATTTTTTTTTGAGACAAAGTTTCGCTCTTGTCCCCCCAGGATGGAGTGCAATGGTGCGATCTTGGCTCACTGCAACCTCTGCCTCCTGGATTCCAGCGATTCTCCTGCCTCAGCCCCCTGAGTAGCTGGGATTACAGGTGCCTGCCACCACGCCCGGCTAATTTTTGTATTTTTAGTAGAGACGGGGTTTCACCATGTTGGCCAGGCTGGTCTAGAACTCCTGACCTCAGGTGATCCACCTGCCTTGGCCTCCCAAAGTGCTGGGATTACAGACGTGAGCCACCGCATATACATTTATGTATATTTATATATTATAACACAGAGTTGCTGGCTCTCTGTTTCAGGAAACTCAAGTGTGGTCATTTGAATTTCTGCACTTCGTGAAAATTGCACTCAAGTCTTTGGTGCATTGTTCTACTGGATTGTATGCCCTTTATGTGGAGTTAAGACTTAAAAAAATTACACTGAATGAAACCCTTTGTTAATTTCCTGAGTTATAAATACCTACTCCCACTCTATGATACATCAGTATATTCTGTTGATGGAGTGTTTGATGACTAGAGGATTTTATTTTAGTTATCTAATTTAACAAACTTTTTATTGGAAGTGATTGTAATTTTTTCTTTCAAACTTTACTGTGATCTAATTCTAAAGTAATAATCTAATATTTATGTACATAATTCAACTGGACTATATTTTATATTTATGATATGAAGTATGGCTCCAATTTTATTCTCATCCACGTGTGCATCAAGTGCCCAATTTGTTTATTGAAAAAACTGTTCCTTCTCCACTACCATCTTTTTAATTATTGTATGTCCATATATCTATGGTTCTGTTTCTATGCTCTCTTTTTTATTCATTTAATGTAGCTAAGCTTGCAACCTTACCACAGCAATTTCCGTAATTTTAGCTTTATAAATCTCCACAACATTTTTATTTTCAAGAATGTCTGGGACATTCTTAGTCCTTTACATTTCTGTACGCATTTCAGATTCAGCTTGCCATTCTGAACATGACACACACATACACACACACACACTCCACCTTACCACCTCAGTAGACACTCCTGTTAGCAAAGGATTGAGATTGCACTTTTTGTGAATTATGCACTGAATCTATAAATGATATTTAGAGAACTGACATCTTTACAACAATTAACCTTTGAATCTAGGAATCTAGTATATATCACTATTTTTATACTTAACGTCTGGGCCTTGACATATTTAATGCTTTTTAAATGTTTTTGTTGTGTCTTTATTTTAAGATAACACACATATTTACTGTGTTTTGCTGAAGTTTATTATGGCATATCAAATTTATGTCCAGTAAATTTGCTAAACTCTCTTAATTTTAATAATGTATCTAAGATGATTTGGCTTTTTTTATGGGCACAATTGTAGTATATGTGAAATAATGTTTAATTCATTAATTTTAAACATTTCCTTTTAAAAAATTATGGATTTATAGCCTTAAATTAAATGTATATTAATTATGTTCTAGATATTTGGATGCATCCTACATTGCTTAATACACAGTATGTTTATTATCTTACAGATAAATTTTTAAAATTTTTTATTTTGATCTCTTTGAGCAGTGGGTTACTAGAAATACATTTCTCAACATTCAAGGATATAGATATTTCTACAGATCTTCATTCCTGATTTCAAGTATTGCTTTGAATCTGACAATATATTGACTGTTTTGATATTTGGTGACATTTGCTTTATGACCCAATAGACACTAATTTTAGTTAATGTTACACATATGCTTGTAAAGCACGCATATCCTATGGCTGTTTGTGAATTATGTGGTTCAAATCTATAACCTATTTTCTTTTTTTTGGTCAGGTAGTTTTATAAAGTACTAAGAAATGTGTCTTAAAATCTCTCACTATAATGTAAGGCATGTACAGTTTTGTTTTTCCTTGTAGTGCTTTTCTATTTAGATTACTGGCTGGATAAAAATTACAGATTGTTTTATCTATCTTGATCAAATGAAGCTTTTATTATCATAAATAGGTCTTCTTTATCTCTAGTAATACTTTATTTTGTATTAAAATCTGTTTTGCCTATTTTAATAAAATTATTTTGCTAACTTTGATGTTTAAATAATAGTTTGTCAGTTTTCATCCTTTTTTTTGAAGCTTTCTGAATGTTTTTGCTTGATGTGCCTCGTATGAACAACATAATATTATAATTATATTTCTTTTTCTTGTTGGCTTCTTTTATTTTTTTAAGCTGACATTTTATTACTGAGAAAGAAAAATATACAAGATGTTGGGAAACAATTTATTTGCTTCTACCATAAAGATTTTAATATATTTTTTGAAAAACATTATATTTATATCATAAAAATATTTATATTATATCATAAAAATATTTATATTTCTTTTAAAGATAAAGCGAAGGTTAAGTAAAAATGATAGCACTGTTTAATATTACTCAAAAATTATGGCCTGTACATATCTATGAATTTTAGTCTTTTACAGATAACTAATGCCTTTAAAAATAAATTACAGTAAGATTAAAATATTGTCTAAAGTAAGAATTTTAGTGAAATTTTATAAAATGGAATACTCCATTGATCATCTCCACAGGAACATCAAATTGAACAACTTTTATGTTTAAAAAAAAAAACATACATTCACAAGAGCTAAGTAAACCAGGTGAGAGATCACAGTACCTGGTTTTAGCATAATAACAAGAAAAGACACATTGAGGAGGGTAGAAAGAGGACTGTCACATTACCTACACAACCCTTCACCTAACCACAGGGAGCAGAGTGTGGAGAAGTAATCTGTTAACTTGGGGAAGGGGGAGGAAAATGTGCATGAGACTTTGCCTTGGAACTGGTCCTGCCTCAACAGTGTGAGGATGTACTTGGATCCCCTGATTCCAGGCCGGTGCCCATGGACAGATTTCCTAGACTCACCTATGACAAAAGTAAATTTGTTGCCCCAGAAGGATGAACCTGAATCCTAGCTGACTTCCCTGATAGCTGTCAAAAGTGGCCTCAGGCTCCGAATAAATTTCATTGGCAGGCAGGCTATAGCGACTATGGCGCTTGAGTGAGCTTCAGTGGTGTTGTGTTCTGGGAGGCCACGAGATTTGACTGCATCCCCAGCTAGGTACCAGCTGTGCTAGACACAGGAAATCCCACTACACTTATCTCCTGACTCCAGGTAGCACAGTGCAGAGAAACTTGAGGGGAGGAAAGGGAAGAGAGTGATGGACTTTGCATGCTAACCCAGAGAACTCTCCTTGAACTTACCCATGTCCTTCAGGCATGAAGACCTCAGAGTATGCTATAGAGTCTCAGCAAACAGGGAATTAGGCTACCCTATAGTGCTGACATGACTGTATGACCACAGGCTTAGGGGTCAACAGTCAGTTCCCTTTGCATTCCTAGAAGGCCCTCTAAACAAGGAAGGGTACAAACAAGGCCACACTGTGAAGACTGCAATAAATAATTCTTCCATACACAGACATCAACATACATGTACAAGCATCAAGAACATTCAGGGAAATATAAATTTACTAAAAGGACTGAATAGGGCACCCATGACCAACCCGGGAAAAATGACGTGTGATTTCTCAGATGGAATTCAAAATAGTTGTTTTGAGAAAACTTAGTAAATTTTGCACACACACACAAACACACACACACACAGAAAAGCAACTCAGAAATTTATCAGTGAAATTTAATAATGAGATTGAAATAATTTTAAAAATTATACAGAAATGCTGGAGATAAAAAATGCAATTGATGTACTTAAAAATGAATTAGAGGATATCAGAGCAGAAGTGATAAAGCAGAAGAAAGAATAAATGAGTTAAAAGACAGGCTCTTTAAAAATATACAGTCAGGTAAGAAAAAAGAAAGAATACAAAGGAAAAAATAATGCTTATGATATCTGAGGCTGAGGCAGGAGAATGGCATGAACTCAGGAGGCAGAGCTTGCAGTGAGCCGAGATTGCACCACTCCACTCTAGCCTGGGCGACAGAGCATGACTCCGTCTCAAAAAAAAAAAAAAAAATGCTTATGATATCTATATGATAGCATCAAATAACAAATGTAAATCATTAGTCATCAGGAGGGATTAGAGAAAGAGAAAAAGGTAGAAAGCTTATTCAAAGAAATAATAGTACAAAAATTTCCAAACCTAGAGAAAGGTATAAATACCCAGTTACAGGAAGGTCCAATATCACCAAGCAGTTACAATCCAAGTAAGAACACCTCAAGGTGTATAACAGTTAAACTCTCGGCTGTGCGTGGTGGCTTATGCCTGTAATCCCAGTACTTTGGGAGGCAGAGGCCAGTGGATCACGAGGTCAGAAGATCCAGACCATCCTGGCTAACATGGTGAAACCCTGTCTCTACTCAAAATAAAAAAACAAAATTAGCTGGGTGTGGTGGCGGGCACCTGTAGTCCCAGCTACTCCTGAGGCTGAGGTGGAAGAATGGCATGAACCGAGGAGGCGGAGCTTGCAGTGAGCCGAGATCGCGCCACTGCTCTCCAGCCTGGGTGACAGAGTGAGACTCCGTCTCAAAAAATAAAACAAAATAAAATAGTTAAACTCTCCAAGGTCAAGGACAAAGAGAAGATTCTAAAACCAGCAAGAGAAAAAAAGTGGGTAACATATAAAGGAACTCCAATATATCTGGAAGAAGATTTCTGTTAGATTCATTTGGTCTGGAGTGCTGTCTGTCTCCGATGCTTCTTTGTTAATTTTCTGTTTGGATGTTCTCTTCACTGATAAAAGTGAGGATAATGAAGTTGCCTATTTTTATCGTACTACAGTTGATAACTACCTTTAGGACTCTTAATGTCATCTTTATATATTTAGATGCTCCAGTGTTGAGTGCATATATGTTTATAATTGTTATACCCATGTGATGGTATCATTGTTATATCCACTGGCCATACGTACATACCAACAAATTGGAACACCTAGAAGAAATGGACAAATTTCTAGACACACAACCCTTATCAAGATTGAATCATAATATAGAATATTTTAGCATACAAATAGGAAGTAACAAAATTGAAGCCATAAAAAGGTATCCCATCTGAGAAAAGCTTAGTACCTGAGACTTTACTGTTAAATTCTACCAAGTATTTAAAGAAAAACTAATACCAATTCTGCTCAAACTATTTAAAAAAATTGAAAAATAGGAAATAATTCTAAACTCATTTCACAAGGCTGGTGTTACCCAGATATCAAAACTGAGCTAGGATAAAACAACAAAAGAAGAAATTTATTTATTCCAGATAAACAAAGATGCAAAAATTCCCAACAAAAATACTAGCAAACTAAGTTCAACAAAATATTACAAAATTCATTTACCCTGATCAAATTAGATTCATCCCAGAGTTGCAAGGATTTTTCAACATAACAAATTAGTTAAGATGATACATCACACTAACAGACTCAAAGACAAAATTCATGTAATCATTTCAATAGATGGTGAAAAAGCATTGAAAATAATTCATCTCTTCATAATACAAACTCTTTAACAAATTGGATATAGAAGCAACATACCTCCGAATAATAAAGGTCACATAAGACAAAACCACATCTAACATCATATTGAATGGGGAAGAGTTGAAAGCCTTTTTTTCTGAGATAGTAAACAAGGCAAGAAAGTCCATTTTGACTACTTTCGTTCAACATAGTATTGGAAGTTCTAGCCAGAGAAATTTAGGTGAGAGAAGTATATAAAGGGCATTCAAATTAGGAAGGATGAAATTAAATTGTCTGTTTTCGCAGATGACGTGATCATATATACAGAAACCCTACAGACTCCACTAATCCATGGTTAGAACTAATAGGCAAATCCAGTAAAGTTGCATTATTGTAAATTAACATACAAAAATCATTAGTATTTTTATATGCCAGTAGCAAACTGAGAACAAAATCAAAGAACAAGATCAAGAAAGCAATAACAAAAATAGAAAAGAAATGGAAAAAAAAACAAATAAATGGAAAGATAGCCTATGTTCATGGATTGGGAGAATTAATATTGTTAAAATGTCCATATTACAGAAAAGCAATCTACAGATTCAATACAATCCTTATCAAAATACCAATGATATTCTTCATGGAAATAGCAAAATCAGTTTTATAATGTATATGAAAAAAGTGGATTTCAAAGTACAAAGCAGAATTGTGTAACCAAGAGGCTGGGGAGGGGAGGGAAGAGGATGGAACTGGGAGAGGTTGGTTAATGAGTAGAAAGTTGCAGTTGGACAGGTAGAATAAGTTCTGCCCTTCTATTACACTGTAGGTTTATTATAGCTAATAATAATGTAGTGTATATTTCAAGATAGCAAGAAGAGAATATGTCAAATAGTCTCACTACAAAAAAAAGTGTAAAATGGTGAATATAATTACCTGACTTATTATGCAATGCATACCTGCATCAAAACATCAAACTGTACCCCATAAAATGTACAATTATTGTGTGAATTATAAATTAAAATAATAATAATAGAATGAACTATTGATATATGTAACAGATTAATCTCAACATTGAATAAATTAGAGATTGAACCAAATAAATACACATATACACATAATGTATGTGTATATATTATTTACGTATACATATATAAGTATATTTTAATAAAGAATATATAAATGTATTTTTATAGAGGAAAAATAAGCTGAAATAGCTACAATATCTGATATCTTCAATGGAAGATTAAATGTAACCTTATGTTGACTTTGATATATGGTATGGTGGTGCTAAGTGAGAGATAAACAGTCAGAGCTAAAAGTTCCATTTCTTTTGGTGCTGTGTCAGTATTTTTAGAAATACAATTTAGTGTAATTATCTGAATATTCTGTTATTTGTAAATGCAAGTGATCAATTTAAATTATGTTCATAATATAAATTTCATAGGCCAAATTGATTGATATGTTATCTATCCATCCATCCTATCATACATGTATTTAAATGCATTGTATATGTATAAGCAATATATATTTCTATATGTATAAATATGTATTATATATGTATAATATAACTGCATGCTAGGTATACCTATCTATACATATGCAATACATATTTAGCCATTCCAAATGGCGACTTTTAATCACATTTGAAATATCATATGGACTTTACATCATTAAAATTGTATTCAAGGATGACTACTTATAAGAAAGAAACAGAAAATAACAAATGTTGTAGATAATGTGGAGAAATCAGGTCCATTGCCCAACGTCTGTGGAAATATATAATGGCACAGAAACTATTGAAAACAGTACGATGGCTTTTCCAAATAGTAAAATAACCTAGGGATTTTACTTCTGCATATATACCCAAAAGATTTGAAGGTAGCGTCTTATAGATAAATTTGTATACCCATGTTCAAAGCAGCATTATTCACAATAGCCAAAATCCAGACAGAGTCAACCCAAGTATCCATCAACTGATGGCTAGATAAGGAAAATATGATGTATGCATACAATGGAATATTTTCCAGCATTAAAAGGAAGGACATTCTGATATGTGCTACAACATGTATGAACCTTGGGGACACTATGTTAAGTAAAGTAAGTCAGTCACAAACAGACAAATATTGTATGATTTCACTTACTTGAGATACATAGTACAGTTAAATTTGTAGTGACAGAAAGTAGAATGGTGGTTGTCAGAGGTCGGCAAGAAAGGGCCATGAGGGTTGCTGTTTAATGGACATAGAGTTTCAGTTTGCAAGAAGAGTTCTAGAGATTGGTGCACAGCAATATGAATGTATCAGATGTTACCAAACTGTACATCTAAAAATACTTAAGATGGTAAATCTTGTTAGGTATATTTTACTAAAATTAAAAATAGTCAATAATGAAAAGAACAAAATAATTATTTAAATGTAAAAAAATTGGCACCTACTCTAAAAAATTGTCATTTGTTTCCTATAACTTGTGGTCTCAGAGAAGCCACTTTGTTCAGGCTAAATATTGATCCAAGAACAAAATGTAACACCTTAAAATCTTCAAAATACACATTCCCACAAAGCATCTGTGAGTGCACTGAAATTCTCAAGATTTTTTAGGGAGATCATGAGAAGAGAAAGCACTGTTAAAGGTTTTTAAAGCATAGTCCTTAAAATATCCATCAGCAGCTCAAAACTGTATAACTGCACTTACCTCTCAATCTGTCTACACTTCATTGTGTCATCTTTTGTCTTCCTTCTTTCTCTTTCCTTTTCATGACATTGGGTTGTAAGAATTCTAGGAATCATGAATGATGGGTTATCTTTTAACACAAGTACTTATTACACCATTCTTTCAATTCTTTTAAGCAAAGGCTGTACTCTCTTCCTAAGAGGAATCTGATGATTAGAATTATTTCCCACATGACTATTATAGAACAACTATATTATAAATAAAATATTGGCAAATGCCACTCAGTTATATAAGAAAAAATATATAACCCTATAAGATGTTTCAGAAATGTATTAGTCTGTTCTTACACTGATATAAAGATACTACCCAAGACTAGGTAATTTATAAAGGAAAGAGGTTTAATTGACTCACAGTTCTGCATGGCTCGGAAGACCTCAGGAAATTTGCAATCATGGTGGAAGGTGAAGGGGAAGCAAGGGCGTCTTACATGGTGGCAGGAGAGAAAGAGAGAGCACAGGGGAAAGTGCCAGACACGTATCAAACAACCAGATCTTGTGAGAACTCCCTCACTATCAGGAGAACAGTGTGATCCAATCACCTCCCACCAGTTCTCTCCCTTGACATGTGGGAATTACAATTTGAGATGAGATTTGGGTAGGGACACAGAACCAAACTATATCATGTTTAGTCATTAAAAATTTGAACACATGCAATATTGTATTTTTTTAAAAATAGATTCAGGGAATACACGTGCAGGTTTGTTACATGGACATGTTGCATAGTGGTGAAGTCTGGGATTTCAGTGTACCTATTATCTAAATAGTGAACATTGTATTGCATAGAAAATTTTTTCCAACCCCACATCCTTCCTGCCACCTACCTTTTGAGTACTCATTGTCTATCATTTCCCTTGGTATGTCCATGTGTACTCATTGTTTAGCTGTTACTTATCAATGAGAACATGTGATATTTGATTTTCTGTTTCTGTGTTATTCATTTAGGATAATGGCCTCTAGCTCTATTCATCTTGCTGCAAAAGACATGACTTCATCCTTTTTTATGGCTGTTTAGTATTATATGATGTGTATGTAACACATTTTCTTTACGTAAACATCCACACATGGACGCTTAGATTGATTCCATAACTTCGCTATTGGGAATAGTGCTGCAATAGACGTATGAGTGCAGGTGTTTTGGGGTTTTTTTTTTTTTTTTTCATACAATAATTTGTCTTCCTTTGGGAAGACACCCAGTAGTGGAATTGCTGGTTGAATGGTAGTTCTATTTTTAGTTATTTGAGAAATCGCCATACTGTTTTCTGTAAAGGTTGTACTAATTTACATTCCCACCAACAGGGTAAAAGCATTCCCTTTTCTCCTTATCTTCACAACATCTGTTCGTTTTTTTAACGTTTTAATAATAGTCATTCTGACTGATGTATGAGACGGTGTCTCATTTTGGTTTTAATATTCATTTCAGTGATGATTTGATGCTGAGCAGTTTTTCATGTCTGTTGGCTGCTTCTAGGTCTTCTTTGGGGGAAATGTCTGTTTCCTCCAAACATAAAATATGAAAGAATTACTAGCATTTCTTTGTAGAAAGAATTGTAGTCCATGTTATAGCAATATAATTTTTACATTATAATCAATTCAATACCAGTATTTTGCTTTATGTGAGAAAACAGGCACTTTCCCACCAAATAATAACAAAACTTATATCCTTATATCTGCTTTCACTACAATTATACAATTATTGAAAAATTTTGGATCATTCCTATTAATTTATTTTGACAACAGAGCAATTAAAGGTTTATAAAAATCTAAATGGAGGAGGCAACATATTATTTTCAGATAATTGTTTATCTATTAAATTCAAGAGAAACAGATGAACAATTGACCAATTATACCTGCTGAAGCAATAATTATATCAATTTTTGCCTATTAATTCAGACTTCTAAGAATTCAATTTTAGTATTTTATTTTTTATCCGAAACTATTATTTCTTTTGAAATAATATGATAGCTAACATTGATTAAGTATTGCTATATTGGGGTTTGGCTAAGCACTTTATATCAGTAATTTCATAAGTAGATATTATTATCTATCATTGACACATTTTGAGTGAGTTTAAAAAAAGGTCTTGTTCACATAGTTTTCCACTCAGATTTTGAACATCCCAAATTCAAAATCCTACCTTAATAATTCTGTTTTCCTATCCCCAATAGATTAAAAATAAATTATTTCTTTCACATGATAGATTTAAAGTCCAAATTTTATTAAATATTATTGAAACTGATCAGAATAAATTTAACATTGTCTTTTACTTGAAGTATGACTCATTTAAAATTTTTTATATTTACCTCGGTTCTATTTCTTATCATAGATGAATGAGGTATTGTTTTTGATATGAAATACTAAAGGAATAATGTGAAATACCATCTTAAAAAAGAACTGCTTGTCCTCATCTAGTTAATACAGAAATTTGAAATTATCATGAGTTTAAACAGAGGCAAAATACTTTCTAAAGTCGTCTGTCCACACTAAAGCTGTGAAGGAATTGTCAAAACCTGTGATGCTTAATTTGAATTGCTCATGTTGAGTGTCCGCCATAGTGATGTGAATGTTCCTTCAGTATCCCTTCCTCTGATCATTGTCTGTGAAAGCAGTTTCAATTTCTATCTAGAACAGAAAGTGCAAGTGATAGATATGGCCTAGTGAAACCTGAAGAGCTTAGCCAGAAAACTAAAGTCTTCTATTTTATTTTTGATAGTTTATTTCAGAATATTTCAGAATATTTTAGGCCTGTTGTTTTAATAAAATTGACAGCAATAATCTCAAGACTAACTCTAATCTTTGCCATAGACTAGTGTGATGTTACAGTAAAATGATGATCTGATTTTATCCTCAAGGTTTCTAGCCACTTCTGTTATCCATGATCAGTCCAAAGCCTTTAACTACAGCATATTAAGACAATTTCAATCTGTAATAAAAGGAAAACTTTTATACACAAGCTGAATTCTGATGGTGCTTGTTTGCTGCATTTGGTAGGCAAGACCTTCACTTCTTTTTAACTCCAAAATCATTCTTCTCTCCAGAGCCCTCTTTCAATTGAGCATAGATGTACTTGCCTCCTTCTTTCTATTTGATTTTTCTTTGTCAGCATTGACACATACAATATCTTCGTTATGGAATTCCAACATTGGTTTTAGTGACACATCTTTTATAGTGGACCAAAGATGTCTTCCACATGTTTTTCTGTTCAGTGCCAATTTAGGCATAGCCTTTAATTTTTGTATGCTTTGAATTCAATCTAAGTCATGAGATGATGTACTGAATAAATCCTGGTACATTGAGGCATGTAATGTGATGATACAATGATATGACATGGTATGATATGATTGATATGACATAATTAGTATATGAAATAGTATGATATAGTGTGGCTGTTAGTACCTGGCCATGTAAAAGAATCAACACAGATAACTGTTCTAAACATCTCAAGATCTCTGGCTTCTACATGTCCTAACAATAAAAATTCAACATTTTTGATTCTCTTCTAAAGTGGTAATACTGTAATAGCTGCAGCCCTTCTACTTCTTCCCAGGTTGGATGATGTTCCTGATCTAAATACTTTTCATTTTTCTTCCTCTTAGTTTGTCTAAATAATTGAAACCAATTTAAAAACTGTATGTTTGTTCTATAATCATATACAATTTATCAGAACAGCTTATGGAAATTTCTTTCTGGAATATTTGCTAGTGTACCTAATAGTAATTTTAATAATGCCTTATGAAGATATTCTCTACACATAACAGACATATGATAAATGGCTGGCACACTGTCAAACTTAACTACTTTAACAAGAGAATCCACTGTTGTGTGCTTTTAATATGAAGATTGGCATCTTGAAATAGATTAGCAATCACAGATTCAATATCCTCACCCTAATGTTATAATTAAATCTGACTCAATATGGTTACAACAGTCATAGATGAAAAAAATATATCAAGACCTTTAGCTAGTTGGTGTCACCAGGGTTTCAATTGACTTAGTTGGTCCCAATAGCAAATTATTATTTTCAAGTTTTATATCACAATGGGAAAAATTTCTGACTTCAATTTCCTATGTTTCTTGAGATAATGTGTTAGTCCATTTTCACACTGCTGATAAAGACATTCCCGAGACTGGGTAATTTAAAAAAAGAAGTTTAATGGACTCATAGTTTCACATGGCTGAGGAGGCCTCACAATTATGGTGGAAGACAAAAGGCAAGTCTTACATGGTGTCAAACAAGAGAGGATAAAGAGTCAAGCTTATAAAACCCTCAGATCTTGTGAGACTTATTCACTACCACGAGAACAGTATGGGGGAAGCTGCCCCCATGATTCAGTATCTCCCACCAGGTCCCTCCCACAACACCTGGGAATTATGGGAGCTACAGTTCAAGATGAGATTTGGGTAGGGACACAGCCAAACCGTATCAGATAACATTAAATATTTTTGGTCAGTCTTTTTTCTTTTTTCTACCATGTCGGTAATGGTATTTCATTTTATATATGTATAGAATATTATTAATGTATTTCATATATAACATACATAATTCTTAAAACTTAGAAAAATTTCGGATTTACAGAATTATTACAAAGATAGTGTTCCCATATACTCTATGCCCTGTTTCTCCAGTATTGATACCTTAAGTTAGTTTTGTACATTTACCACAATTAATGAACCTATATTGATACATTATTGTTAACTAAAGCTCACACATTAGTTACTCCTATATCCTCAGTATTCCCTCAGGTTCTTTTTATCTTCCAAAATCCCATACAGGTTACCAAATTACATTTAATATTCACGTATCCTTCAACTACTCTATCTATATTTGTTTCCCAGGGCTGCTGAAACAAATAACTATCTGTTGGGTGGCTGAAAACAACAGAAATGTATTCTATCACAGTTCCAGAGCTTACAAGTCCAAAAACAAGGTGTGAGCAGTACCATACTCTCTCTGAAGGTTCTAGGGGAAAATCTGTTCCATTTCTTTCTCTTATTTTTAGGTTTTGCCTGCATTTGTTAGTGTTTCTTCAACTTGGTGTTTAATGTACCTCAGTGTACATTAAATATTTTTGGTCAGTCTATTTTCTAATATATTCATACTGGTATTTCATTTTATGTCTAAAATATATATAAATGGATGCAGCACTCTAATCTCTGCTTCCACTGTAACAAGACATTCTTTCATTTGTCTGTTTATTTCTCTTCTCTTCTTGTTATAAGGATACCTATCAGATTATATTTTTCTCTTGTGTACTAAGTTGGAAACTTAGGTTATTTTATAACTTTCTTCTTTTCTGATATGTGATAAGAATGTTATAAATTTCCCTCTAATGGCTGTGTTCTCACATCCTACAAATTTTGATAACTTGTGTTTTTATTACCATTCATTTCAAAATACTTTTTAATTTCTTTTTACCTCTGTGTTATTTAGAAATATGTTGTGTAATCTCCAAATATTTGGTTACTCTCTACCTATCTGTCTGCTATTAATTTCTAGTTTAATTTTGTTGTGGTCTAAGAACATACTCTATATAATATCTATTCTTTTAAATTTAGTAAGATATGTATTAGGGCCCGAATGCGGCTTTAATAAATGTCGCATGAGAGCTTCAGATGGGTATGTTTTTTGTTATTGTTGGATGTGGTAGTGGCTAGATGTCAATTAGATTTAATTTTTTAAAAATACTGTACAGATCAGCTATATTCTACTGATTGTAGCTTAATGGATTTATCAGTTACTGAAAGAAAAATGTTAAAGTTCCAACTATAGCAGATTTGTCTATGTCATCTATCAGTTTTATCAGTTTTTGCCTCATTTGTTTTGATACTCTGTGATTAGTTATATACACATATAGAATTATTACATCTTCCTGGATAATTGGTATCTTTATCTTTATATAATACCTGTCTTTGTCCCCGGTAACCTTTACTGATCTCAGCTGTCCTTGTCTAAAATTAATGCTGTTTTTTAAAATGATGCTGTGGCATCATACAACTTTCTTCATCTTTTACTTTTAACTTTCATGAGTATTAACTTTTAAAGTTGGCTTTGTAAGCAAATTTAGCTGGATTGTTTCCCTCCTCTTATTCACAATATGTCATTTAATTGGCATATTTAGACTATTTACATTTAAAGTGATTGTTAATATAGTTTTATTAATATCTACAATGTCTCTGTTTGCTATTGATTTTGCTTTTGTTCCTTCTCCCTTTTTTTGTGCCTTCTCTACTTTTAATTGAGTATTTTATATGATCCCATTCTATTCCTTTAGCATTAGTTATGCTAAAGGATAATACCAGGGTATTAGTAATTACCCTAGATGTTGCAATGCACATTTTAACCTAATTTATGTCTATCTTCAAATAACACTATACCACTTCACAATCAGTACCTCATACAGATAATTCCCAATTTCTCCCACCCCTCCCTTACAGTATTGCTATCAATCATTTCACTTATTCTTATGCTACCATCACACAATGCATTGATACTATTATTGTATCACCAGTTATCTTTAGATTTTATAAAAATAATTAAAATAAAATGTTTTATTTTACTTTTATTTTTTTCTCTCCTAGACTCTTTCTTTCTTTACATAGATCCAAGTTTCTGACTTATGTCATTTTCCTTATGCTGAAAAAATATTTTAAGATACCTTGCAGGACTGAAAAGATGTAAAACTGGGAGTAATGACTTCCAAACATTTTACTTATTGAAGCTGAATTTGGAAGTCAGTAATTTAATTCTTATGCAGATAATTTGCAGTATCTCTCTGTTTCTTTAAAAGTTTTGTATTTCTCCAGTTTATCTCAGTGTTTCTTTTTCTTGTTACATGCTTTTCTTACATGATCTTGTAAATATATCTATATCTATATCTACATCTATATCTATGTCTATATATGTTGTTATTTGTTTTGTTCTGTTTTTGGAGACATTGACTCATTCTCTTGCCCAGGCTGGAGTGCAGTGGCATGAACATGGCTCACTGCAGCCTTGGCCTCCAAGGCTCAAGTGATTCTCCTGTGTCAGTCTCCAAAATAGCTGGGACCACAATTGTGAGCCACTATGCCTGGCTAATTTTTAAAAAATTATTTGCAGATATTAGGTCTCCCTATATTGTTCAGGCTGGTCTCGAACTCCTGGGCTCAAGCAATCCTCCCACCTTAGTCTCCCATAGTGTTGGTATTAAAGGTATGAGCCATCACACCTCTCCTTATGTATCTGTTTTTATTGAAGAAAGAAGGACTGCGCTGGTTACTTTATTTATTGGCACAAATTTTTTCTGTTATTAGGTAGGTATTTTCCACCCCAAACTATTCTAGATGAATTAGATATCTAACTGGGGCTCTACCAAAGGGTCATGGGTCAGTGGCATGGTGGCTCATGAACTTTCATTTTGTTAACTTATTTTCATTACATATTGAAAAATTATAGTTGTATATATTTATGGGGTACAAAGTAATGTTATAATTTTTAAACATAATGCAGAATGATTAAATCAAGCTAATTAACATATCCATCACCTCAAATATTTATCATTTCTTTGTGATGAGAACATTTGAATTTTACTAATAAGTCTTCAAAAATTGAGAGGTTGGCCTTTACACGGAATCTCTTCAAATGCTAGAATGAGGAGATAATTATTCTAGTGATGCCAGTACCATACCAACAGTATTATTTTTTAAAGGTGGTTAATTGCATTTATTTTTTTTAAATCTCCTTGATATTTTTCTAAGTAACAAATGGCATTGTAATAAACTTCTGTCGACACACTTTCAACTAATGGAACTGTTTTTATAGCATTTTCTCACTCCATACTCATACATTCAGTCATCTCTTTTAGGTTTCTCTTCCTTCAGTTATTTTCTCTCCTACTAGTATTCAGGACTTCAAAAATTATGGTTTGAATAATCTGTTAGCAAGCTTAATCTCTTTTTCAGCTTTTGGAAATGTGCTTATTCTCATCTCACCTCTGCCTCCAAACCTCCCCGAATGTCCCATTCCTATTTCCATGTCACTTCATTCTCTTTGCTTTCAGGGATTTTTCCACACTTTTGTACTTTTTCTATCATATTTTGCACAGAGTTGAGTTGAAAAGAAGCAAAAGGACTTTGTGTTTTTTCTCAGAATGTTTTGTGACTTTTGACAGGAATTCAAGTGATGTTATTTGACCACTTTTTGTATTATAATTAAGTCACGTTATATAGTTACAGCCCAAATTATCTGATCCCAAAGTTGGATAAGAAAGAAAATAATGACACTTGCTGGGACCTTGACTCTATGATATACTGCATTTCCTGTCTTCAAAAATATTAACATAGAATCACATAGTCTATCTCCTGTTACTTGTTGTTTGTGCACATTTAGTTTTCTTCACTTAGGGCTGCAAGCCTTAATGATACATGATAGCAACATGCACACATATATTACCTTTCCTCCTAGGTTGCAAATTCTTGAGGTATTAGAACACACACTCTCCATATTTGCATATTATATAGTGCAAATAAAAAAATTTAATATTAAAAAATTCCAGTATAGATGACAGTTCAAATGGCTATGAACAGAATTGAAGCATTAAAATCAGCCTATTTAAATCTATATTCATGTGATCTGATCACATTAAGTTCTTAACAGAAGCTCCTCTAAACAAAGATATTTTCTGTGGTATACATAGAAAGAAGTAATTCTAAATCACACAGTTCTTATCCTACTAATGTCAGATTTTCTTCAACAATTTTGCTCTTCCCCCAGTAACCCCTGCCCCTCTGTTTTACCACCTCTGGTGCAGAAAGCAAGATGATTCTGTTTGTTTAACTTCATATAGACCAATATGCCTGACAATAGATGTAATGTTCATGATCCCTCTTGAGCTCCAAATTTACTGCTGCTATCTTTAGTTATTTATCCTTATAGACAAAGTTACAGAAGTTGTGATTTGCTTTCAGACATCATCTAAATGCATCTAATGTGCCCAATAGACACCTTTTTGTCCTCTTCCTGCTCTGGTCCTAGAACACAAAGCCTGGGACTTGCTGGTCCATTTCTCCCAGCTCTGTAACACTGTAATGTTTTCAATGACTCTTTTGCTCCTAACAACCCATCAGAGAAACTGGGGCTCACTTGTTTTTAGCTTGCTTATTTCACTATGTGTAAGGGAAAAATGTTGAATACCACCATAAGCTAAATTATTATGTCCAGATCTGGAAAATAAAAAGTTAAAATAGTCTCTTATTTATTTACTCAAAAAAATAGCTTGCCTAAAACATTTTATTTAAATGAAGGAGGAGTATAAACATAATTTGGTGTGATTATACTTCTCCATTTGGCAAAATAATCAGAAACAACTTTCATTAAGAAATGTTTCATATTCCTTTACTTATCAACCAAAATGAATAAATCAGAAATAATTTCAAATGTCTTTGAATACACATGCAAGCCTTGAAGAACTGAGTTACACACACACACGCACACACACACACAGACACATACATATACACATATTTTCTAATATGGCTCAAGGGCAGAAAATTTAGTCACAACACTAAAGGGCTAACAGTGAAAGAGCTAAAAAGATTCAACACCCTGGCATGCACAGAAAAGGCTTAGATTTCTCTTTTCCTATGTTCTTTATTATATAGTGGCTTCTATTTCTTAGAACTAATGGCCTGTATAACTGGAATAATTGTAAAAACTTCGGCCTTCCTTATAGATGAAGTTTTTCCCAGTGTGGACCTCTTGTCTTGTTAAAAAGAGACTTCTGGATCATATATTCCCTTCCCCAGACCAGTTCTCCAGAAGGAGGTCATTTAGGGGTTAAGGCCAAATAACTGTATTCATTAGTGGTCTTTCAGCAACATATTGCTCTCAGGAATATGTGGTAAAGGTAGTTTTCTATTGCTGTGTAATAAATTACTACAAATTTAGCAGCTGAAAATAGCGTGCATTTATAATCTGGAAGTTTCCAGGAATAATGAGTCTGGGCAGAAGTTATCTGGGTTTTCTGCTTACGGTCTCACAGGATGCAGTAAAAGAATTGACTGGGCTGCTTTTTTATATCAAGGCTTGACTGAGGAAGAATCCACTTCCATGCTTATTCAGGTTTTTTTCAGAATTCCTTTCCTTTTAACTATATGACTGAGGGCTCCAGCATTTTCCTGACTGGCTAAATACCACACTCAGATCCTAGGGGCTACCAAAGTTTCTAGAGGCTTCCAGCAGTTCCTTGTCACGAAGGACTTCTTAACGTGGTATTACTTCATTAAACCAGCAGAGATAATCTCTGTCTTCAGTCTGCTTAGATGGAGTCGTATAACATCGTGCAATCAAGCAAGTGATATCTAATAACCTTTGCTTTGTAATATAACTCAATCATGTGGCTGCCATTCCATCACCTTTGCCATGTGAGACTGGTTAGAAGCAAGCCATAGGCCCCACTCACCTGCAAGGGGAGGAATTGTACAGGGTGTGAATATGAGAACACTTAAGTGTTTGTCTGCCACCTCCTGGTTGGGTTGGCATCATCAATATTGCATCCTGATTGTCTCTCTTTCCATCAGAAGTATTCCTAACATTTGCTGTACATCATCAATTTGAGGTCAATGTATGCATAAAACATTATAATTTATGAGAGGGAGATGTCGAAAAGCAGGATAAAAAATTGACAAAATTACACATGGAGAGTAACATTTCTAAATTGGGCAAAATGATGTGGTTCAACTCAGATATTGGCAAGATGCTTCTTAGAGTAAAGACGTATCTGCATATCTAGTGCATTTTTTACCCTATCAGTAATCTATTTGGAAGGGAATTGGATTAGTTTTAGGGACCAGGGCAGCCTCAATTAGAGGATGCACAGTTTATGTGTGCAAGCATTTGAATTGATGGATGATATATTGTTTACTAATCAGGCTATCTGTTTTTTGTTCTTTTACATAATGACAGCTGAATGGCACCAAGTCTTCAATGTTATCATATATATTTATTATTTGAAATATAAATCCATACATGATATATTTGGGAAAATAATATTTTTAAGAAATAAACAGATAAAATTAATCTGAAAAATACTATGTATTGTTTCTATATTGAGAAGATGAGGAAAAAATGGAATTATCACAAAACTAAGCATCAAGGAAAAAGTTTTAAGACCTGTTTTTGGAACACTTTCTCTCAAAGAATTAGATTTGCCAAGAGGCAAGAGGAAAACCACAGTTAGCAAGTTAGAAAAAAAGAAGTCTTCAGAATTTTGTAGTGAACAAAAAGAAAAGCTCAGACTTTGAAAAAAGGACATCAGAAACTCAGGAAGATATAGGATCAACTTAAAAACAAATTTTGATCTTGTGGTCAAGACAAAAATTCTAGGCTAGAAAGAGAAAAGAGGATCCAACAATTCTTTTAACCTACATGTGGTAGAAGAAGAAAGGGACCAACTTGAGAAAGAGGTAAAATTTTTTAAACATAGATAAACTTTCATAAAGAAGGCGGATATACAGTATGTAGAATTGAAATGTAACAAAGTTTCTGCTACATAAAAAGACATATGCATGTTGATGCTGCTTTTAGTGAGAGAAAGTTTCTTCATGGCCTTGGATATTCAGGTACACAAGTGTGTAAGGAAGCACACATGGAATATGCTGCTTCTTACAGCTTTAAGATACACAACAATTGCATTCCCAGTTCAGTAATTTGTTGTGGTGAGTACCAGCTAGGAAATGTTGGAAATTAAATGTTAAAATTCTTCAGATATGCTGGATGTAAAGGCTGAGGGAATTGAGAGCCAAAGACAGCAGCGTTGCAAAAACAGAAGCAAATGGAAAAAAAAACCCCGCAAATTCCTGCTAATATTTTTAATGGTAAAATTAGCCAGGGGTGTCTATTATGAGAAATGCAATACTTGGGACGTTGAAGAGTAGATGGTTAGAAATACGAGTTATTCTGTTAAAGAAAGAGAGAAACAGAGGAAGAGAGAATTAATCTCTGGGCAGAAACAATACGTATTCAATCTTGGAAGTAAAAGAAAGGTAAAATGAAAGTAGACATGAAAAGGGAAATTAGGCAACTTTTATATTTAGGATCACACTAAGAAAAATGTTGCATACATTCAGGACCATCCTGTTATGGGACCTCTGGGGTGTCATTTTTCTGGCTGGAAATTTCTGTGGCTGTGATGCCTTTGCCTGAGTTCTTGTCCTGCATCCAGGAAGAATGAAGTACACAGACAAGTGAAGGGCGAAGAAGATGAAGAAGAGTTTTATTTAGTGTTTGAACAGCTCAGAGGAGACTCACAGTGGGTAGCTCCTCTCCATAGGCAAGTCTTCACATCGAGTGTTCAGCTACACTCAGTAGAGAGTAGGCCCTCTACTCTCAGCTGAGAGGATGCCCCGCATCAATACTAAGGAAACTGACCTCAGCATCACGTACTCCTACATTTTGTCAAAGGAAGGCAAGCTATACCAATAGTAAATTTCTCCCATTGGTATGAAAATATTAGCATTACATTTTAGATATTTCATGATAAATTACTTCAAATTGAGGGTTTTTGTTTGTTTCTTTTAAGAGAAGCGGTCTTAATGTGTTGCCCAAGCTGGTCTTGAACTCCAGGCTCAGTTTCCTGAGTAGCTAGGATTAGAGGCATGCACCACCACACCAGGCTCTGAGTTTTTAAATTCAGAAGAAAGTTGGGTACACAAGAGAAGCTGAACCTATTAAGATATTCTTCTTCTCCTTCCCTATCCCCTCTTATTTTCCTGGCCCCTCTCCTTATCTCTTCTTCTCATTCTCCTCATTTTTCTTCGTACATCTCATCTTTTCCTGGGACGTACAAATAAGTGATAGTCAATGTGTGTGATTGGCAGACACAATATAGGTCTAATAGCAACAAGTACTAAATTCTGACTTACATATTTTACTCAGAGAAGGGTATTTTGCTTATTTTTTAAACAACTGAAATAATGTTGTTTGGTTCTTGTATATTTCTAATGTAGTATTTGTAAACTAGATTGTGTAAATGTTTCATTTTCCAGCTTTACTGAGATATAACCTTAACTAAAAATTGCATATATTTAAGTCATATAGCATGTTTCAATGTATGTGTACATTGTAAAATGAATACCACAATGAAGCTAGTTGAAATACTCATTGTCTCACATAGTTACCTTCTGTGTGCATGTGTGGTGAGAATATTTAAGATCTATTCTCTTTGCAAATTTTGAGTATACGGTACCTTAAATACATGCTGTAAATTAAGTCTACAGAACTCATTCATTTTATAACTCAAAGCTTCTACCCTTTGGCCAATATCTCCTCATTTTCTTCACCTGCTAACCTTGGATAACCACCCGTCTACTCTCTGTTTCTATGAGTTTAACTTTTATATTCCACATAAAACTGAGACCATCCAGTATTTGTCTTTCTGTGTCTGGCTTATTTCACTTAACATAATGCCCTTCATGTTTGCCATTGCGATGCAAATGGCAAAATTTCCTTCTTTATAAAGGCTTTATCCATTCATCTGTTGATCAACACTTAGGTTGTTTTAATATATTTGCTATTATGAATAATGTTGCAGTGAACATGGAAGTGCAGCTCTCTCTTCGAGATAATGACTTTATTTCCTCTGGATATATCCCTAGAAATGGGATTGTTAAATTATATGGTAGTTTCATTTTTAATTTTTTTAGGAAACTCCATATTGTTTTTCATAATGGCTGTACCACTTAACAGTCCCACCAGAAATATAGAAGGGTTCTCATTTCTCCACATCCTCGTTAACACTTGTCTGTTGGCTTTTTGATAGTAGCAATCCTAACAGATGTGAGGTGATAGCTCGTTGTGGTTTTGATTTGAATCTACCTGATGATTAGCGATGTTGAGCACTCATACATATATCTATTGACCATTTGCGTGTTCTCTTTAGAAAAAAAAAATACTCAGGTACTTTACCCATTTTTAAATAGGGTTATTTGTTTGGTTTTGCTATAGAGTTGTATGAGTCTCTTATATATTTTGGATATGAACCTCTAATTGAATGTATGGTTTTCAAATGCTCTCTTCTATTCCATAGGTGGTGGTAGCATTTTGTGAACTGTTTCCTTTGCTGTGCAAAATCTTTAATATAGTCCCACTTGACAATTTTCCCTTTTATTTTCTATGCATTTGGTGTCATATCCCAATAGTCATCACCAAGATCAATGTTATGGAGATTTTCCCTTGTGTTTTCTTCTAGAAGTTGTATGCTTTTGCACCTCATGCTTCAGTCTTTAATCCATTTTGAGTGAATAGTTGGGTATGGTGTAAGATAAGGATCCAAAATCATTTTATTTGTGTGAACATGTGGGTACCTAGTGTTCCCAACATCATTTATTTAAAAGACTATCTTTTTTATTGTGTATTTTTGGCACCTTTGTGGAATATTATGACCTTTGACCTGAAAGCCCCCGCTTCGAGTTGCCCTGCCTTTCCAGACCGAACCAGTATGCGTCTTACACATGTTGATTCATGTCTCATGTCTCTCTATAATGTACAACCAAGCTGTACCTCGACCACCTTAGGCACGTGTCTCAGGATATGTCATGATGTGTCCTTAACCTTGTCATAATAATCTTTCTAAACTGATTGAGAGCTGTCTCAGATAATTTTAGTTCACAAGCCTTTTAATATGCTGTGGAATTTAATTTGTGAGTATTTTGTTGAGAAGGTTTGCATGTGTTCATCAGGGATATTGGCCTGTAATTTTCTTTTCTTGTAATTTTCTTGTCTGACTTTGGTATGAGGGTAATGCTGGCCTTGTACAATGGTTTGGAAGTGTTCCTTTCTCCTCATAGATTAATTGACTATGTTTCAAGTGATATTTCTTGTTATTCACAATAGTACATTTACAGCAATATAGATATTGGTATTAATGAAAGAGAACCACGATTTTTATAATGAATTCAATAAGAGCAAGTCTGAATAAATGTTTAATTCAAAATTCAAATCAATGGTGATTTTTCTAGTAGTATTGTAGAAGACTATGAAAAGTAGCATACTGTGTTATTAGAATATATTTACATATTTAAATAAGTCTAATAGTCAGAAACAGATATTATGGTCCCTGTGGGAAGAGAATTGCCAGATTTGCAAAACCAAAATAAAAAATATGTATTAGGCCTAATTCACAATTTAAATATTGTCATCTTTGAAAGATTAATTGTTGGTCCTCAGATACTTAGGAGTTTAGCTGAGGAAGCTGTTTTTTTTATATCCTTAATAAGCAGTTAACGGCCCACAACAGAAGATGGAAAATCTCCCATCAGTCTAATACTGTATGGGATTTTCCCTTATTGCTCTACTGTGTAGTTTTTTTAAGTGTGTTAATTGAGTTCCCTACTTCTCTATAGGGAATCTTAAGATATAAACACATACATAAACAGACAAACAAACAAAAACTAGACTGAATCTGCCAGTGTTTCCTTTAGTCCCTAGTAGGCCTTATTATTTTATGTTTGAATTGATTTCTGTGGTTATTTACTCCCTAGTTAATTATTAAATAGAACAAACAAATCTATATTCCCCATTTATGCCAACAACAGTAAAATATCATCACGTAGGTATTATTTTTTTCTCTCAACTCTTTGGGAAGAAAAGGTTTGCATGAACATATTTATGCCTATTGCATCTTCTAAACATCTTGACCTCTTTTCTTGTAAAATAACTAATTGAAATTAATCAAATTAATTATGTATTTTTCTCTTACTCTTTATATTTGATATATTTGGAATTGATATGTTTGGATAGAAACTGAAAAAAACATATTCCACAGGACCTAATTAGTTTTCAATATTGTACTCAGATTTGCATGATAAAAAAAATGATGAGTTCATGTCCTTTGTAGGGACATGGATGAAGCTGGAAACCATCATTCTCAGCAAACTATTGCAAGGACAAAAAACCAAACGCTGCATGTTCTCACTTATAGGTGGGAATTGAACAATGAGAACACACGGACACAGGAAGGGGAACATCACACACCGGGGCCTGTTGTGGGGTGGGGGGAGGGGGGAGGGATAGCATTAGGAGATATACCTAATGTTAAATGACGAGTTAATGGGTGCAGCACACCAACATGGCACATGTATACATATGTAACTAACCTGCACATTGTGCACATGTACCCTAAAACTTAAAGTATAATAAAAAATGATAAAAAAAAATTCAAAAAGAAAAATCAGTATACAAAGAAAGGTTTGAGGCATTCAAATAAACAAAATCAATCTGAGGAAATAGAGATATTATATTCCATTGTGAAACTGATACACTGTTGGAAAGAGGTCCAAACAGCTGGATAATAATCTTAAAAAGGTATAATTTATATTTGTTAATGAGATTTGATATGGCATGCCATCTTTGACATGGGAATAATTTGAGATCAGAGAATGTTGTCTTATGAGCTGAAATACATGACTAGGATATAACAGAGAGGGAAAATAGCACGTTGTATCATACAGAAATCCACATCAGTGTGTTGTCAGATGTTAGCCAATACTAGTGTTTCTCATTTCATCTCCATTATCATATGTTTTATTTTGGGGTAGTGACATCTTGTGAGTAAGTGAGTATGTTTTATTAGAGGACAAGCAATCTTACATCCTCAATTATTTACTTAAATTGTTTATTAAGCATTGGTATTAAGAAATACCTTTAAGGATATGTGTCCACAAACAATTAATATTTTACTACCTTCCTATGAGCATCCTTAACTTGCCATATATTTTGCTGGGAGATGAAGCAAAAGTAATGGTCATAACATACAAAGTATCTGTTCTTGTGGGGCTTACATCTCAGAGAAACAGATAATGAATAAACAAATAAATATATACTATTTATATCATTTTGGTAGATTTAATAATGCCCCCTCAAAGATATTTTTATCCTAATCCCTGGAAACTGTGACTATGCTGCTTTACATGGTTATAGGGACTTCTCAGCTGTGATTAAATTAGAGATTTTGATAAGGAAATCATATCTTTAATTATCTAAGTAGGCCCAATATAATCACAAGAATCCCTATAAGAGGCAGTAAATAAGGTAGGATACAGAGAAGCAGAAAGAAGCAGAGTCCGAGAGGGATGATATGCCACTGGCTTTGACAACGGAGAAACTAACCATGAGGCAAGGAACAGCAGCCTCTAGGAACAATGTAGCTCTAAGTAAGGAAATGATTCTCCCTTAGAGTCTCCAAAAGAAACACAGGTTTGCTGATTTGGTTGTAGTCCAGAGAACTTAATTTCAGACTTCTGACTCCCAGAACCATAAGAAAATAAATGTGTGTTAAACCGCCGCATTTGTGGTAATTTGTTACAATCAGATTTAAATGATATTAAGAAAAAATTAGACATGGTACAGAAATAGAAAAGTTAGCCATTTTAAATAACAGGAGCAAGCAAGAAAGAACTTTCTGATAACATGTCATTTGTGTAGACGCATAAATGAAGTGAAGAAGTGAAACACATAGCTACAACTATGTTCCATGACAAGATAGTGCAACGTCCCTGAAGCCTGGTTGGTTGTATTCTAGGAATATGCACAGTACCATTGTGGCTAGAGTACAGCAGCCTCGAGGAAACAGAAAGGAGATATAGAAGAGAAGGGAGGGAAGCCAGAGCATTCAGGAACCCATGGATCATATTGGGAACTTCGCTTTTTTTGTATGTGTATGGGATGAGAAAATGCTGATATGTTTTCACAGAAGCCATGATATGTAACAAGATTTCCTTAGGTGCTCTGTGAAGAAGAAACTATAGGATCCAAGAAGCCTGCCTGGTGCCATTGTCTAGACAGGAATTAGATAAACATGGTTTTTATCCATATGAAAGCACTTTTATTTGTGTTTTTTAATATACTCTGATTTAACAAAGCCAATGTAAATCCTTCATTAATAAAAACAACATTTAATTCAATACATGTATTACAGTACAAAATCCATTGGGTTTTCATTTGTTCATTATCTACAAATGGATAAAATCTGGTATAGACATAAAATAGAATATTATTCACACTTAAAAAAGAAGAAAATTATACCATGTCTTAGTCCATTTGTGCTGCTATAACAAAAGTACCACAGACTAGGTGCCTTATAAACGACAGGAATTCATTTAACATAGTTCTGGAGGCAGAGAAATTCAAGATCAAGGTGCCAGCAGATTCACTGTCACTTCCTGGTTCACACATGACCATCTTCTCACTGAGTTCTCACATAGCAGAAGAAACAAGGGAGTGCTCTGGAGTTTTTAAAATAAGAACATTAATTCCATTCTTGAGGATTCCACCTTTTTTTTTTTGTATAAGACAGACTTTAATTTTATTTAAGAAATTCCACTTGTTACTTTTGGTGCTAAAATGCTATAGAGGATATTAATGTGCTTTGACATATTATAAAAATGGTTTTTTTGCATGGAGGTTATTTGTCTATTGTCTTTCTTAAGGCTTTTCTGAGAAATAAATGGGGAAACACCGTATCTTTCCCCAGATTTGCTAATTAACCATGTAAGCATTAAAACATTCTTTGTGTTACAATAGTTCTATAGATAGATATATGCTTTCTTTTTTTTTTTTTTTTTTACGTACAGTTTTTTCTTTCTTTTTTTTGCAATCTATGGTTTTTTTTTATTATTATACTTTAAGTTTTAGGGTACATGTGCACAACGTGCAGGTTAGTTACATATGTATACATGTGACATGCTGGTGCGCTGCACCCACTAACTCGTCATTTAGCATTAGGTATATCTCCCAATGCTATCCCTCCCCCCTCCCCCTACCCCACAACAGTCCCCAGGGTGTGATGTTCCCCTTCCTGTGTCCATGTGTTCTCATTGTTCAATTCCCACTTATGAGTGAGAATATGCGGTGTTTGGTTTTTTGTTCTTACGATAGTTTACTGAGAATGATGATTTCCAATTTCATCCATGTCCCTACAAAGGGCATGAACTCATCATTTTTTATGGCTGCATAGTATTCCATGGTGTATATGTGCCACATTTTCTTAATCCAGTCTATCATTGTTGGACATTTGGGTTGGTTCCAAGTCTTTGCTATTGTGAATAGTGCCGCAATAAACATACGTGTGCATGTGTCTTTATAGCAGCATGATTTATAGTCCTTTGGGTATATACCCAGTAATGGTATGGCTGGGTCAAATGGTATTTCTAGTTCTAGATCCCTGAGGAATCGCCACACTGACTTCCACAATGGTTGAACTAGTTTACAGTCCCACCAACAGTGTAAAAGTGTTCCTATTGAAGAAGATTTTCAATATATGAATTTTAGGGGGACATAAACTTTCAGCCTGTAGCAGGCAATGTAAAACGACATGGATAAAACTTGAAGAAATTATGCTAAGTGAAAAATGCCAGGTATTGCAGCACAAATACTGCATCATTTTGCTCATGTGAAGTATTTAAAATAATCAAACTCATAGAAGCAGAGAATGGAATGGTGCTTACCAGAGGTCAGGAGGGAAAGTTTTCATCCAGTGGATATAATGTTTCATTGATGGAAGATAAATAAGTACTAAAAATCTGCTGTATATCATCGTGTCTATAATTAAAAGCACTGTATTATGCATTTTAAAAATTTGTCAAGAGGGTGGATCTTGTGTTAAATCTTCTTGACAATTTCTTTAAAGTAAAACTCTGTTGGCATATTTTATAGTGTTGTGTTTGAAAGCATATTTCCGACAGAACAGAAACTTCATCAACATAGTAGCTTTAATGAAAGACTTGATACATAAAAATAGTCAACAATTAAATCTAACATAAAACATCTACTCCTCAGGTACACTAATCATATTTATGTGTACTGAAATATTTTCTGCTTTTAAAAAAGAATTAAAAAGACACAAAAAGCTATTATTAAAATATTTACTTTATTAAAATATTAGAATGACGTATTATTTTCAAAATTACATTTTATTTTCCCTCCATTGATTTATTTTGAAAATAGTCCTGTAATCTGAGATGAATCTATGATAAAAATATTTTGCCATATCCTACATATACCTCTTTAAAATTTCTTTTAAAATGACCACACACACACATATACACACAGACATACAGTAAGAGTTATAGTAGTAATTAGTATCAGCAATATGTTTAATCTACATGGAATGATGGAAGGAGCTTTGGGAAATATTTACAAGATTAGTGCAATCAAGTATATATTTGAAACATCAAGCTGAAGTAGTGTGGAGTAGTCCCGGGGGGTAAAGGGAAGACAACAACTGGAAGAGACCCATGCATTTTTGCCAAAGGAAAACCTGCCATAAACATCAAGATTGAATAGCAGGTTTAGAAATGAAGGTGATTTGTACTACAATTGGAGAGGCATAAACCTTTAACATGGCCTGGTGGAAGTGGTGTTTAGAAAGCTTCTCACACAGTCTCAATTTCTTCCCCTCCCTTCCATATTATACTCATAGAAAAGAATTCCCTGTGTTCAGATTATACTTAAAGAGTTAGAATTTATACTCTGAAACCTGATGGGCGCAGTGTTTACATAAATTATTTGAAATTCTTCTGTATAGGAAATTTGTTTATCTTCCTCCGTTTATTTGCATAGTCAATCATGCATTTATATCAGTATAAACTCTTGGATACTTATTTTATATTTTGGTCAAGGCTTCTGTAACCAATACCTAAAAATGTGAAAGTGGCTTTAAACTGGGTAATAGGTAAAGGCTTGAGAATACTGAGGGCAGGATCACTGCCCCGTTGGTTCTGGAAGGAGAACACCGAACCAAGGATTATTCTCAAGACTTGAAATCTAATGAAACTTGCTTTGCTAAGTTTTGAACTTGCTTAGAACCTATCACCCTTTTCTTGCATCTAATTTATCCCTTTTAGGATAAGAATGTCTATCCTATGCCTGTTCCACAGTTGTATTTTAAAAGCATACTACTTTTCTGATGTCACAGGTTCACAGCTGTAGAGGAATTTTATCTCAGAATGAATAGTACCTTGAGTATCACACACATCTGATTTAGATGACATTTAAATTTTGGAATTTTGGCTTGAGAGTTGATGCTGATATGAGTTGAGTCTTTGGGGCTGTTGGGATGGAAATAATGTATTTTTCATGTAAGAATATGAATTTTGAGGGCCAGGACTACAGTTCACTATGGACTGAACTGTGTCCCTCCAAATTTCACATGCTGAAGCTATAACACCCAATGTGGTTGTTTTTGGAAATAGGGCCTTCAGGAAATAATTAAGGTTAAATGAGGTCATAAATATGGAGAATTAATCTGATAGTATTTGTGGCCTTATATTAGTACTATATGTGGCTTTATATAGGTTGGTGTAAAAGTAATTACGGTTTTTGCCATTAAAAGTAATGACAAAATCCTCAATAACTTTTGCACCAACCAACCTAATAAGCAAAAGTTTTCTCTCACCCTCTGTCTGCCATGTGAGGACACAGGGAGAAGTCATCCATCTGCAAACTGGGCACAGACAAATCTCCAGTAACCAAACCTTGCTGGGCCTTCATTGTGGACTTTCCAGACTCCAAATTGTGAGAAAATGTATCTTTATTGTTCAAGCCATTCAGTCTATTTTGTTATGGCAGCCCTAGCTGACTAATACAGGTTTATAACCCAACACAAAATAATGTATTTTATGCTCAAATTATTCTAGCTTTGGCCATTGGGAGCTCTTTCAGGTGACTTCAGTATCCTTTTTAAATAGCCTCATTACTGTGTGAGGTAAGGGTGTATGCGGTTTGTGTGTGTGTGTGTGTGTGTGTGTGTGTCTGTGTAACCACATGCTAAACATAACCTTACTTTCTGGCATTATAAGATGCTTCAGGCTCGTAGTATATATTTTATGTTCTGCCAAGTCTTAGAATAATTCAGTCACTTCTGCGAGAAGCCTTGGTTCTTTGTATTGAATATTAGTATTAGAAATAAATATTTCCTTAATAATAATACGTTCTTTGCTCCTATGCTATGTTTTATTCTAGGCCCTATCAGCTGATAGAGCAAAAAAAAAATGTACTTACAGCCTATGTATACTCACCTCAACATGAGTTCATAGTGATGTCACCAACTGTAGTTAATTACCGTATGTATCATTCTAACCTCTTCCCCTTATATGCAACTTCCCACTTCAGTGGTGAAAAAAAAATGGTTCTTACCATTCACCATACATTACTTAATTGTTAATTCAAGAACACACATATGGCAGTAAAAGAATTGATAATCTATACATCCATGGGGAACAACTTTATTAACTAGGATATAGTACTTATATACAGTTTATTTTGCTTGAGTCTTACATACTCCTTTCATATCAAAAACAGAATTGTATACCACAACCAAGTGGGGTTTATTCCAAGTACACAAGAATAGGATAGACAATTTTAAAGACCTTTACATATTCTTGTTTAAACTGAAAATCTCTCATATACTATTAATTTTTATGATGTTGAGAATATTTACTATGTCTATCAGCCATTTGTACATAGTGTGTGTGTGTGTGTGTTTGTATTTAAAAGAAAAATTGCTAGTCAATGGAAAGATGATAACATTTGCATATATGTTATTGATAAAGGATATGTAACCAAACTAAACACAGTAAGTCAGTAAGAAAAAGACAAATAATCCAATAAAAAAGATGTTTTTGATATAATTTATTTCTCCACTGTTCAGATTTATTGACCACATATACAAAATATCACCTCATGCCTGGTGCTGTGTCTAATTAATGCCTGTAATCCCAACACTTTGTGGGATGAAGGTGAGATGATTGCTTGAGACCAGGTGTAAAGACCAGCCTGGGCAACATAGCAAGATTTTGTCTCTACAAAAAAAACAAAAACAAAAACAAAAACAATAAAACACTTAAAAAAAAAAAACTAGCCAGTGTGGTGATGTATGCCTGTGGTCCCAGCTACTTGAGAAGCTGAGACAGGAGAATGACTTGATCTCAGGAGTTCAAGACTCCTTGAACTCCTGAGATCATACAGCGAGCTATGATCATGCCACTGCTCTCCAGCCTGGACAACAGAGTTAGACCCCGTCACTAAAAAATAATAATAATAATAAACAAGTAAATAATCTCATTAATCTATTCACTTATCTTATTCTGTACTTTTATTATCTAATACAAAATGTTGTCATCTTTTACATGAACACTATTAATTGCCTCTAAATTGTTTTCTTTCTTCCAAGCTGGATCCTCAAATTTCTATCCTCTGCAGTTAGCTGAGTGATTTTAAAAGCACAAACATAATCACATCTATGCTTAAAACTCATTAGTAGCTTCCAATTGCACATAAGATAATATTCACAATTCATATTACAGTCTCCAAAGCTTAATATGTTGTTACTCACCACTTCTTACACCATCTCCTACTCACATATACGCTTCATCAGTTCTCACGTTTGTGTTGTTTCTCACATACACTGACTAGTATGCCTGACTTACGTGATTTTCTCAGCCTGAAATTATTTTTGCATAGTGAGCTCTTCCCTGTCATTGAGTTTTCAACTTAAGTGTCATTGACTAAGAAAACCCTTTCCTTATCATCTAATTTAACATAATCTTCTATGTCAATTCAAATGTTTATAGCTATATGTAAGAGAACCTCTTATTCAAGTGGCTTACATCATAAGAATAATATGTAATTCACTTGATAGGAAGCCCTGAGTTGGGGCTAGCTCTAGTACAATTGCTAACGTGACTCTGTCATCAGAGACTCCAATTTATCCAGTTTATTGCCAAATCATTTTTATGGCATTCAGCCCAGGAAGCATTACAGAGAAGGCACAATAACAGCTGGACAGGCAATTCGTGATGCCAGCCAATTGCAATCCTTGCTCATAACATACATTTTTTGATAATCCCTTATTCTATTTCTCAGCCTAGAATTTATTACTATTTGATATTTTCTTATTTATTTTTTTAGAAAGGGAATTATATAATGATAAAAGTTATAGATTCTGGAGTTTCCTTGCTTACCTTGAATGTCTGACTTGACTTTTTCCTGTTTGACCAATGTATCTAATCTCTGTGCCTTAGTTTTCATAGTAAAATAGGAATGATTATATTGAGTATCCATATTAAAATACTGTTGTAAGGACTGAGTGAATTAATTAGGTAAAACACTTAGAGTAGCACCTGGAATATATTAAGAGCTGTGGCAGGGTCTACTGTATATTATTACATATAATTTATTGCTTTTTTGGTCTCCCCCTCCACAGCCACACACACACACATGCCAGAGAATAAGTTATAACAGAGCAAGATTTATGTGATGTCGTGCAGAAAACAGTTAACACAGCAGACCTGAGATTGCTATCCTTATGAAGTCTGCTTACAAAGTAGGCTCTTGTCTGGTATTTGGAAACTTGGATTTCAGATTGGTTCCCACAGTTCCATAACTGATAAGAATGATTCACTCAGTCTAGACTGTGCAAGCAATATGGTTTATGCTAACTACTTGCTTTCCTTCTGGGACTCTGAAATGCTGTATGTGTTAGGCAGAGTGTGCTTTTGTGAAGCGCATGCAATAAAAACCCTGCCTTTAATGAGCTTCCCTGATAGACAATATTTCTCATGTGTTGTCACAAGTCTGCTGTAGAAATTGTGTTCTGTGTGACTCCACTATTAGAGGCTGTACACCTTGTCTTTTCTAGACTCTTCATTATGCACCTATTCCCTTTGCTGGATTGTCTTTGTTTCTTTTTGCTGCAATAAATCATAGCCATGTGTTCAACTGTATACTGAATATTATGAGCCTTCCTAGTAAATCACCAAACCTGAGAGTGTTCTTGGGGGGCCCTGACACAGACTTGTTTACCAAAATCTAAAACAGTGACTGAGTCATAGTATTAGGTTGGTGCAAAAGTAACTGGTTTTGCATTACTTTCAATAGCAAAACCCGCAATTACTTCTGCACCAACCTGATAGATTCTCAGTGAAAGTCAAATACATAGATGAAATAATAAATGGATAACTATAGCTCTATATGGTCACACACATTTGGACAAACAACAGCATCAACCTTTGGCACAGAGAATAGGTTGTTTCCACTGAAGGGACGGTGCTCTTTGATGGTTGTTTACTTACCACCATTTATCATAAATGACTCAAATGTCAGAATGCTAGGCCATGAGGAAATTGTGGGGAGGGACAAATCATGATTCTACAAACAATTTATTATGTCCACCAGCTGTTTTGGTCAATGTCTTAAGCATCAGCTCAAAATTAGTGTGGAATATAATTGCTGGAATGCTGTAATAAAAGGCTACTGATAAAGATATGATAAGCATTATGGTTAAATCTGATCTTTAATTCTACCCCAGGTGACTATCATGGGGTAAGTGAGACAAGTGAGATGTGTAAGCTTAGGTCATTTTAAATCAATGGAGCTAAGGAAGAGGGAAAAAACTAAGCAGTGATTCTGGAAGATACAATGGACCACTGTCCCTGTTCCATGTGTGAGCTCAGCAGTTTCTCATTCTCTTTCCACTTTGAAAAAAATTAAACTGTTAAATTAGTATGTTATTTATTTACTTTTTAGGCTGGATTTGAATACATTTAAGGGTAGCCTACACAATACTGTTGTTGCTTTTTGCTTACTATTTCTTTTCTCTAATATAATGTTTGGCAGATAGTAATTGCTCAATAGAGGGAAGTTTAGAATCATGGCTACCGGGGGTGTCCAATCTTTTGGTTTCCCTGGGCCATACTGAAAGAAGAATTGTCTCGGGCCACAAATAAAAAATGCACTAACACTAACAATAGCTGATGAGCTAAAAAACATTGCAAAAAATCCCATAATGTTCACGAATTTGTGTTGAGCCTCATTCAAAGCCATCCTGGGCTGCATGCAGCCCACAAGCCATGGGTTGAATAAGCTTGATGTCTACCATCTAGTAGGTAAATTCTCTTGGAATAGATTTCCCTTCTAGTCTTAGCACATTTAGGCAGTATTGGACAAGTAATTTGTACTGAGATTTTCTTTACTTATCTGTAAATTGTAATTACATTTAGTTTTCTGTGTCTGTGGGTTCTGCATCTGTGAATACAGAAGCCAACTGTGGGACTTGAGCATCTGTGGATTGTGGTAGTTGTGGAGGAGACGGCAGTCCTGGAACCAGTCCCCACCAGACACCGAGAGATGACTGTAATTATAGAACATTTGTAAGAGTTAAATTGAATACTATAACTTAGAAAATATAAGCACTTTAGAAAGGCTAGATATTCTTATTATTATCTAAGAAATTAGTAAGAAATTAAAGAGCAATGTTTTGTCAGATTATGTAAGACCTTGAATGTTAGCATTTATTTATATGACAGCAATAAAATTTTCAGCAGAAACGTGGCATAGTTATTGTTCTGATTTTATTTATTTATTTTTATAGCCAAATCTTATTACTGCAAAGATGATCTAGAAAAAGCTTACGAGTTTATTGTGAACATTCAGTTGATAAGAAATTAGCATTAATGATGATTACAAGAGTGGATCCTGATCTGTTTAAAAATACATTATATGTATTGAGACATCATTATATATGACAGCAACATGCATAAGTATTATTTGTCAATTAAGAAAAATAAAATTTTTAAAAAGAATGGAAATACAAAGAAAATCATGTGTAGACCACTTAAAGAATTTATCTATATTTTGATTCCTCTTCATTTAACCTTACATTTTCAACTAAATAATATCCTGCTTATTAATTTACACTACATATTGCCTGGTATAATTTTTTTTTATAAATTTAAAAATTGGAAAAATTTCTTCCATTATATTTCAAGGTTTCTGATAATAACTATTTAGGAGTATACAATTTGTTTTTTAAATTTAGTTTTATTTTATTTTAGATTCAGAGGGTATATGTGAATATTTGTTACATAGGTATATTGTGTAATGCGGATGGGTTTCAAATGAACCCATCACTCAAACAATGAACACAATATCCAATACATAGCTTTAAAAACCTTGCTTCCTTCCCATGTTCCCCCCTTTTGGAGTTCCTGTGTCTATTATTTCTATCTTTATGTCCATGTGTAACCATTGTTTACCTTCCACCTAGAAGTAAAACATGTGGCATTTGACTTTCTGTTTCTGAGCTATTTATCTCATAATAATGGCCTCCAGATCCATCTATGTTGCTGCAAAAGACATGATTTCATTCTTTTTGATGGCTGCATAGTATTCCACTGTGTATATATACTACGTTTTCTTTATTCAGTCAATAGTTGATGGACACTTATGTTTGTTCCATGACCTTGCTATTGTGAATAGTGATGCAATAAACATATAAGTGCAGGTGGCTTTTTGATAAAACAATTTATTTTCCTTTGGGTAGATGTCCAGTAGCAGTATTGCTGGGTTGAATAGCAGTTCTATTTTTAGTTATTTGAGAAATCTCCATACTGTTTTCCATAGGAGTTGAACTAATTTACATTCTCACCAACAGTATATAAATACATTTGTTTCTTTAAGCAGCCCACAGCTTTTTAGGTGGGTTTTTTTAATACAGTCTACATTTAACGAATAATTTTTGATAGAAAAAAATCAATTGACAAATTAATGAGTCATTGATTATTTTTAATCCCAGGAAATCAACAGATGACAACCAAATCCTAACAACCCTTCAGAAGTTAAAGCTACATTACTGTGAAGAAAGTCTAGTGTCTTGGTTTTTAAAAGTTTTAATTTTTTTTTAATGGCAATAAGTTTTGAGAAAAAAATGTGCTCAATGATTTCTTAAAGGTATTATTTTTAGGTCATTTGAATTTAATAGTTTATAGGTAATGAAATTTCACTTTTTATTTCTGCATGTTCAACTGTTTGAGGAAAGAAGGCTGAAAGTCAAATATAGTACCATTTTCTTTCACTTAATCCAAAAGGCCTCTGAAAAGTAATAAGATTTATTCTGTAAATTACTTTATAATTGTTCTTTAACCACACTATGATATTTGATAATGTCAGAATGATTTTGCTTTAGGGAATGTGATTTTAGCCCCTGAAGAAAATTAATTACTCTCCCTAAATAAACAGCATTATATATATTTTATGTGAACTTAGGGAATGTTTTTAAGGTTAATTAATCTGTCTCTGACAATTGCAGAAAAATTTTAGGAAAAAATTACTTATGCATTCAGGTTAGTTTGCTTATGCTAATACACTAACACACAAGAAAAATATCACATTCATTCAATCATATTTGAAGAAAATTACTTCCATTTACTCTGAAATCTAAGATATAACTCTATTGTGTAATCCAGTTCCCAGTGTGGTTTCTTTAAAACCTTGTGCTAAAAATTGTGCTAATCAATTTACCAAATGCTTCATTTACTCTAAAAAATAATATAAGTGTTGTTTTCTTTCTTGATATTTCATCCCTTAATGATCTTTTGTATATTATGCTAAGCTCACCAAGGCTTTGGAGAGAGATATATGGAGATATATATATATATATAAAAATAGAGTCACAGATTACAAATCCATAGGAAAAGTTCAGGAAGAATTACATCCATCTGTTCATTGTGCTTATCCTTTGGAAAGAGCAATGAGATGCAGGGGGAAGTAAGGAGAATCTACATGAGCTTTTAAAAATATTATTTTTTTCATATTATTTATTTCTCATTACTTTTCACATTGTTCTAACTAATTTGAGAATTCATACACATATTTTACATTTATTATTTATATATGTTTTTAGAAGAATAAGAAAATCTCTTCTTCCATCACTCCTTTAGAAAATGTTTGTGGCAGGGAGTGGGACATCCGGCTTCAGAGCAGGAACTTTCATTGCACCAGTGATGAAAAAGAGAATGAAATGTGGGTGACGTTGAGAAAGGCAAGAAGATTTTTGTTCAGAAGTGTGCCCAGTGCCTAAAAGGGAGGCAAGCACAAGACTGGGCCTAACCTCCATGGTCTCTTTGGGCTGAAGACTGGTCAGGCCATTGGATTCTCTTACAAAGATGCCAGTAAGAACAAAGAGATCACCTGGGGAGAGGATACAGTGATGGAGCATTTGCAGAATCCCAAGAACTACATCCCTGGAACAAAAATGATCTTTGCTGGCATTCAGAAGAAGGCAGAAAGGGCAGACTTGATAGCTTATCTCAAAAAAAGCTACTCATGAGTAATAATTGGCCACTGCCTTATTTATTACAAAACAGAAATGTCTCATGACTTTTCTATGTGTACCATACTTTAATAGATCTCATACACCAGAATTCAGATCATGAATGACTGACAGAATATTTTACTGGGCAATCCTGATTTAAAACTAAGACTGGCTTGTGGTTAAATGAATGTGTTCAGTTTTTGAATTTTAATAGTAATTCCAATTCAGTAAATGCTATCACTGTTTACCCCTTCTAAAGATATGATTAGACTTCACTGGTAATGTTCAACTTTTCACAAAGATGGTGACTGCCATCTTAAAACTTACTGGATATTGGTTTATATTTAGATTTCTATAACTGGTTATGTGAATATATTTAAATACTCGGGAAATTCCTTCACTGTCTCAGAACCAAGCAAGATTCATCTGTGTTTTGTGTTCATTTGCCTCTTAAAGGCAAGGGTTGAAGATAAATAAGGTAGCAACGTCTACTTTATATTTTTGGCCTTAACTATGCCAATCTAATTAGAATTCTCTGCATTTAAACTGGTTCTTTTTACTTACTGAAGGGCATTTTAGTGTGGTTTATGTGTAATATCAAAGATTATTTAACATTTCTCACATTTTATAGATGATCTATAAGGTCACATGCTTTTAATATAGTAGCAAGTTAAACTTCACTCTTGAATTCTTTACAATCTAAGTCAAACTAAGTTATAATTTAAGATTGTCTTTAAACAGCCATTCAGATACATAAAACTGTGGAACTGCTCTGTATTTGTGATTGTGGATAGTGCTTTTGCCAACTTAAAAGAATTAAAGTAGAGGAGATATACATAAATTTTAAAATTATGTGTGATCATAAGACTTAAGATAATTAAAAAGAAATTCACAGATCATTACAAAAACATGTTCATGGCAAAGAAAAGACATATTCTAAGTAGATTAATAATTACAGATGTGTCAAATATACAGTTCTAGGATTTATGATGTAGTCATTAAGTTCATCAAATACTATAATGAAATATGTAATTTAATTTAAATAATATTTAGAAATTATATCCATATATTCAACAAGTAATTATTAAGTGTATTTATGTGCCAGATACCATTCTAGGTGCCTGGGATGCATCAGTGAACAGAATACATCTAGTGCTGCATGAGGGAGCTTCTTTTTTAGTGAAGGAGGACATTAGACACAGATGTATAAATGAGTCATTGAACAAGATAATTGCAGGCAGAGATGGATTCTATGAAAGAAATAAATCAGGGTGATGAGAGGGAAAGTGACAGAGAGACAGCTTTAGGTTGGAGGCTAAAGTGAGGCCTTTGAAGAAATGATAATTCATGTGTGACTTGAATGACAAGATAAAATGTAGAGAGTTAGAGGCTGAGGATTACAGGCCAAGGAAATAGCCCTGTGCATATGTTGTGAGACATAGCTCCAAGACATAGACATGCATAGTTTAATTCAACTTGACTCTTCCAGAAATGAATTGAAGGTCGCTAGGCCTGGAGTGTCAGGAAGCAGAGGAGAAGTTGTGAGAGAAGAGTTTGAAGTGAGATGCCTGTGTCATTTAATGAAGCAAATCACATGAAAAATATCACTGGCATTTTTTATTATACGACTTATTTAAAAATAGCAATAAAATTTACTTCCTACTTTATCCTAAGGTTCTGAAGACCTTTCAATGGTGTTCTTGGAGGAGAGTTTACAATTTTGGTGTGTATCATGATTGTAAAGATACCCTGATATCTTTATAAAATAGAAGTAAATTTAGAAATTAAAAAAAACAAAACTTTCCTGTTCTCTCGGTCAATCACTGACAGTATGTAAAATCATTGCCTAGTTGATAAATTCATTCAAGTCTTTCATTTTAGTTCAAGGAGACTTTAGTTTCCTCCTTTTGGATTATAAAATGGCAGTTACCTGGATCCCTTTTGTATATACAATTCATGACTTACACATACCAGTTTTGTACATATGTTGTAAATAGCTACTATTGTAAAAGAAAAAATAATTTTCACAGGAATATTTTCTGTGTATAACAGAAATGGCTTACTTTGATGTCTTTGTTGAAAATATGTCCATAACTAATGTAAGAATATTCTAAAACTTTATTTAAAAATTTTAAAAGAACATTTTTATGGATAAGCAATCTCAATATTATAAAAATGACTTCTCTTTCCCATGTAAATGTAAAACTTCCCATCAAATTCTGATAGAACTTAATATTAATGGATCTTGATACAACATATAAAAATCATGTGAAATACAAGGGACCAAAAAATTGCAAAAATATTTTTGAAAATGAATAAATAAATTAGTGTTACTTAAGCCACAGTATATTAAGTCTTACAGCACCTGAAAGTCGTATTGTGCAGAGACAGATAAATGGAAAGCTAAGCAAAATAATGATTCCAGAAATCAATCAATAAACAAACACATATACACATATATTTGATATATGACTATTGCCATTGTAGACTAACAGGAAAAAGAGAAGCAATTCAGAAAATAATTAAAAATTAGTTATACATATGAAGAAACATGAACTTAGATTAATAATTCCTTCCTTATATTACATACAAAAATAAATGCTATATTTATTAGTCTACTATGTAAACCAACATTAGAAAGTCTTTAAAGAAAATATAATAGTATGTCTTTACAACACAAGATATGAAGAGCATTCTAAATAAAAACTCCAAAAGTGAATCATAAAAATGATTGATAATTTTGATTATATTAACATAAACATTTATTTCCTGAAATAAACATTCTTCCTGTGCATGCACATGCATCTGTAAATTTAAAATAAAAACAAATTCAGTACAATATTTATTTGTAATAATACTAGAAATCTTATGTGATATTGTTCTACAAGTACTAGACATTTTATATTAAGAAAGCATTGCAATAAGGTGTATAAATATTGATACATGGGAAGATATAAGTTCCGTGTCTGTAGCTAATATGAGCATAAAGCTGTAGATCATGAGAGAATAAAGAATATTAGAAAACTGACACTGTTGATAAGCCAATTCTCTTTAAATGTAAGACAGTCACAAAATAAAACTTTTCTTGAATTATTGGAATTGCATAATTTCTACTTATAGAAAATTATTAAATATCTTCTGGAACAGTTAAGCATTTATGATAGCAGGAGGTTTATGAAAAAATAATTTTGAAGAGTCACTAGATCTTTCAGATAGAGTTAGCATGCTTTACTTATTAAAACTGGATAATATTGTCACAAAATAAACACATTAATCAAAAAGATGTATGTAGATGAATTTTATGATAAAGCTAGGATTTCCAATCATTAAAGAAATAAAGATGAATTGTTCATTGAATGGTTTTGAAAAAATAATATGACTCTATATTCAAACTTGTGCATTATTTTAAATTAAATTTCACATGGAAGAAAACTTTAACATTAAAGAAAGAAATTATAGAGTGACATCAGAAAGATGACTGGCAAGAGAAGCCTGGCACTCATCCTTCCCACAAAAAAATACAAAAGCAGTAAGCAGATTAGATTTGACTGGAGTGTCGAGGGGAAAATGTTGGAGTGGAGAGGCACTTGTGCAGGAGAGCACAGTGGAAACATCCAATGTCTGCAGCCCAATTTCTCCACCTGGGTTGGATCTGCCTGGAGTCAAGAGGAACTTTCTGTTGTGGGCAAAAGGTAAGCATAAGATCCCCATCATCCTCTGTTGCCACTGCCAATAACTATAGTCCTTACTACAGGAGAATCATAACCATAGTCCTTACTACAGGAGAATCCCACAGTATGCACAAGCACTGGGCCCAGGTTGGAAAGATGCCAGGAATTCACAGAGCTGCATTGCCTTGGATTAGGAGCACAAGGTGTACACTTCCACCCCCACTGACTCCCTGTAAGCCAAGCTGCTGCAGCACAGTGCCATCTTGAGACCAGGGCCACCTCTGGAGTGCACCCTGCTCTGGGGACCAGACCACGGCGCCTCTCTAGCACTGGGCCTCCATCTTCATTATATTAATACCTGGATTATACAAGGGGCTGAATACCAGAGCCCCAGTAGCATGGAGCCTGGACCCAAGATTGACTGTGATCCTGGTCCTGCATAGTAGCGAAATCAGCTTCTGCCGCCCTCACTTACACCTAGAGGAACAGTCTGCCACTCCCTTGCAGGGCCGACCCCCCCTGACCTGGACAAACCACTGAGCACCCTCCTGTGACTGGGAGAGAGCCCTGAGCCTCTGAGCAACTAACACGCTCCTGAGCCAGTGAGTGGCTGTATATCCATCCCCAGCGCCTGAGAAACAGCCCTGTAGGCCATTCCCTGCAGACACTCAACCATGCAGGCCAAGCAGCCATGCACCCATGCCCCAGGACTGAGAAAAAAAATCCTGCGGCTGCCCCTGATAGGCCTTCCCCCAAGCCCACTAAGCAGCTGTGTGCCCATGTCTAGATCCCAAGAGACAACCCATAGGCCACCCCTGTGAGGCAGGCTTCCAGATCAATTGAACAGCCTTGCTCCCATGTTCCAGACTTGAGAAGCATTCCTATGGGCCACTCCTGGCAAACATGCCCAGAGGCTGGATGAGCAGCTATGCTTCCACCTCTTTAGCCTGAGAAACAGCCTTTTGGGCTACTGTCAGTAGACATAACCCTAGGCTGGTCAGGAAGCCTTGCACCCCACATTCCAGGCCTGAGAAGCAGCCCCATGAGCCCATCCTGGCAGACCTGCCCCCAGGCAGGCCCAGCATTCTTTAACCATCATCGGGAGCCTGAGAAGAAACTCCCACCAGGACACCCCCAGCCAAGAAGCAGTACAGTCAAGTCTGAGGCTTGAGAAATTGCCCTACAGGCTGCTCATGGCAGGCATGCCACCAGGATGGCTAAACAACCATGTGCCCATGCTCCTGGTCATAGTAACAACCTTGTGGCCCCAAGTTGTGGGGCCCCACATGCCCGCATCCTGGGAAACAGCATGACAAGCCCATTCATGGAAAAGCCATGTCACCACCACCACAAATTCTCTCAGCCGGTCACTGAGACACGTGCAAACATCACTTGCAAGGATTACAGTTGAAAATACTACATGGAAACTACACTACTGCATCTACCCAGAAACAAAGCCAATGTACTCCACCAAACTACCACCCAAGATCCATTCACACAAATAAGTCTTTCCCTGTGAAACCTACTCCATAAAATTAGAAAAGGTAACTTTTCTACCAGATGTATAGAAATCAGTGTAGCAACACATCAAACAAGGACACGTAGCATCTCCAAAGAGACACAATAATTCTCCATAACAGACCCCAATCATAAGGAAATATACGAAATACTAGAAAAATAATTCATAATAATAATCTTAAGGATACTCAGTGAGATACAACATACTACAAATATTTTGTATTTCAATGAAATAAGGAGAACAATTTATGTTGTTGCATCCAGCAACTGATGAATGGATAAAGAAAACGTTGTGCAGGTACACAAGGGAATGCTATTTAGCAATAAAAAAGAATGAAATTCTGTCCTTTGCAACAATATGAAAGGGAATGGAGGATATTATAAGTGAAATAAGCCAGGAACATAAAGTTAAACACCACATGTTCTCAGTCATAGGCAGAAGTTAAGAAAATGTTGATCTCACAGAAGTAAACAGCAGAACAGAGATTACAAGAGGCTGGCAAGGGTTTTGAGAAGAAGGGGATAGGGAGAGACTTTTTAAAGGATACAAAATTACAGCTAGACGAGAAATAAGTTCTAGTGTTCTATAGCACTGTAAGATGACTCTAGTTAACAAAAATGTATTATATAGTTTCAGCTATCTAGGAGGATATTGAATGTTCCCAACAAAAAGAAATGATAAATGTTTGAGATGATGAGTATGCTATTCACCCTGATCTAATCACTATACATTGTATATATGTAGAAGCATCTTTATGTCTTCCATAACATACAGATAGCTCAGTGGGCCTGTCCTCCTTCCCCACAATGAAAAGTTATAATCCAGTATGAAGTTCCAGGACAAATTGAATTAGAGTTATGCAGAGGTAACTTAGAATTCTATTTCTCTAAGGATTCCTTGTGGTGGTGTCATCAACCAAACTTCATACAAAAGTGAGACGTGAATGAAATTTTGCACCCAGGGCCAGAAGATGCTTTAAAAAAAAATCATAAAAGAAATGCACCCTCTGTCTAATTCAGCTGTTGCTAAACTCCTGTTGGGAGTAGTGAGAAGCAGAGAGCCACTCATCTAGAGGCTGCTCTAAACAGGCTTTGGGCTCAGGGTATCTCCTGAAGGTTGAGTAAGTAAGATCTTTACACCAAAGTAAGATCTATTGATGAACTGGTAAAAATAGAGTTTTAAATGTAAGTGACTTAAAAATTAAAGGTGATAAGAAATAATCATATGTCATTCAGAATGTTAGCAAAGATACATGTCAAAAAACATGGATAAAATAATTTTAGAAAAAAAGCAACAAAACAACTCATTAAGTTAGAGAATTTATATTGCAACACATGAAAAAGGGAGGCATCTGAAAAGGACTTTGCAATCATTATATTTCAAATTCTTTCAAGAGATAAATGACAGAGTTGTAGTTAGAAAATAAAATTAATAAATTATAATGAGAAAAAATAATTGAGAATAGATAATAATGTAAAAGGCAATGTTTGGGCTTCAGGGTGGAGTACATAGAGAGAAAGAAATGAAAAACATCAAAGTGAAACAGCGTGAAAAATAGGGTGAAATATACAGAGTAAGTAATAGAAGAAATGACGGAAAGGCAATATTTTAAGAAAAACTGGCTATAAAGTTTGTTGGATTGAAAAAAGATAGGTGCTCAGTTACAAAGCACACATAAATAAAAATAAGTGTACACCCAGAAAAATTGTAGCTATGTTGTAAAATATCAGTGACAAAGAGAAAACCTTAAAAGCATCCAGAGTAAAAAGACAGATTATCGATGGAGGAAGAGCAGAGAGACTTACAACAGGCTTCCTGCAGAAACTTCAAATGCCAATTGATAGTAAAACCTTTGAAGGGCTAAGAGACGATAATTGCCAATGCAGAAATCTATACCTATTAATACTAGCATTCAAGGAAGAAAAGAAGATACAATTTAAAATTACCACCAAAGACACTGTCAGAAATAATCCCAAAGGGTGTCAGTAAGAGTGACAAAAATAAAAAAAGGAACAAATGGAGAAAATGTGGAAAGAAAAGAGAAATAATGAGGTAGATTATTGGTAAAAATAGATTTAATCCAGTTTTGTAACCAGTCAAAAGTTATTTTTTTCTGTCGTGAAAATGCAATTAATATTCTTGATTATAATAGCATGTAAGGTAGTTAGTCACCATAAAAATTGAGAAGCTATAAACCTGTTCACTTAAAGTCAAGATGTATTAAATGATACCATTAAAAATGTATACCTGTACATTTGAAAACATAAAAGTTATACTTTTCTACAATGGCCAATAAAAATTAAAATATTTAATTAGTGACCAAACTCTGCCAAGCCAAAAATAACTGGCCCAGATTAAAAAATTTAGTAAGAGTTAATGATTTTTATTTGAATTATTTCTGAGATCTAAAATTTTAAGGCTGCCTATGTTATTTTATGAAATTAGGTAATCAATACAAAAACTGAGAACAATATGATAAAATTTATTTTTAATGTTCAATTATAAACATTGGGACATCCACTAATAGTTGTGGAATTCTGGGCTATAGTCCAAATGCAAATACATGTAACATATATGTAAATATTTGAAAGCTACAAATCAAATTTTAAAACTCAATTACTATTTATTCTTTGTTACTACTTTGAAAAATGTATCATTTTAGTAAGGATCCGGGTGGCTCTACTGATATTTAGAATTCGATAATTTCTTTGAGTTTCATGTGGGAATAAATTACTTTAGGGAGAGCTGGTCAATATTTTCTAGTCATCAGCTACCCCTTATCTTTGAACACTATTTCTTTATTGTACAGTGAATGGCTCTATGTATGCTTATCACCAACATCCATGTTTGCATGTGCAAGCTTTGTCTACATACCACCAAATTAGCTACACTTTAGGTACAGGCTCTTGTATCCAGGCATGCATACATACCCATAAAATAGTTCAGCTTCAGGAAGAAAGACAAGAGAAAAGGCTGTCGAAACCCTGGTAGTATGATCAAGGCCGTTGCAGACAGGCATTCAGAGATTGTGAGAGCTCAGGTAATGCATAAGGGATTGTGGGCTTCGTTTAGACATATGTCTTTGACCCTCTGACCTTCTTATACCCTTGAAAAAAGCAGAGTCTGAGCCTAATGATGTTTCCAATAAATAATCTTAACAAAATACTTGGTAAATTAAGTTTAAAAATATGATACATGTATTATAACCAAGCAAAGTTTAAAGTAGAACAGACACGTGTAATCAAATATATTTACAGATTAAATAAGCAAACCATCTTAAAAGATGATTAAATACATGAAAAATTAAATTGTCTTAACATGATGAAAAAAATTCTTTATAAATTAAAAATGGAAGAGTACTCTCTTAATTTAATTTGTTAATCATATGTACCCACAACCTATTAGAGACATTAAACTTACGATAAACTGTGACAACATGGAGTCTGATAAAAACAAAGATGCCTCTTTTTGTCTGCATTTTTTTCAACATAGTTTTAGTGGCCTTTATTAATTAAATTTAATTAAATAAGAAAAGGAGACAAAATAAAAAATAATTTCCACATGTTATTTGTTATTTTGTGTACTGAAAATCGTAAACAATGTACAGAAATTATTGGAACTGGTAAATTAATCAAGTTGTAGAAGAGAAAGAAATGTAAAAAATCAATAAATAATTTGTATGCAAATAATCATTACATTTTAAAAATACAATTTTAGAGGCATATCAACCTGCAAAACTCATGAATTCATGAGTGGAGAAAACTCGTGAATGGAGAAATTTTGGTAAAAGATACTCAAGAGCCCTATGAAGAATATAAATGAAACTAATTGAATTCATGAAGAGTTATATGAGATACTAAGAGTAAGAAATATAGAGAAACCAATTTCTAAAACAATAGAGACACAGAAATTTTTAAAGTAAGAACCTTATTAATATTACTAATGGCAAGAAAAGAAAGAGAGTAAAGAAAGTCATTAAATATAGAACTTTTAAGAAAACTACACGTTAACATAAGAAAGCAATTGAGAAATAGAGAAATTTAACAGATTATAATAATAAAAAAATATTAATCTAGGTGCATCTTCCCCAACTTCATCTCTAAATATAAATTTAAGTAATTTTAATCATCAACAATGAAACAAGATGTCTAAAATTCACATGTAACAGTAAATACACCAAAATAGTCAAAAACCTTTCTTAAAAACAAAAACAAGAATGAGGAGCTTTTTTTCTACAAGGATTTCAAACTTGTAAAAAATTAAGCATAGCAATTATTTAACTTTTACATAAATAGTAACTGAAAAAAAGCTGCTGTTACCATAGTACAGTAATTGTTACAATAAATAGAGTCAAAGACAAAGAATACTGTTAAAATAAATTACTTAAAAGCACATGCCAGGGAAGAAATAATGAAATAAACTATTTAGAAAATACTACTATTTAATGCTAATTCTGTTTTATTTTATTTGTTTTTATTCGTCTTTCAAAATGTATGTATAGCTCACATTTACGTCCATTTTTAAACTTTTTATTTAAATTGGTTTTTGGGAAACAGGTGGTGTTTTCGTCATATGAATAAGTTACTTAGTGGTGATTTCTAAGATTTTGGTGCACCCATCAACTGAGCAGTGTACACTGTACCCAATGTAGAGTCTTTTATCCTTCATCTACTTCCCACTCTTTCCCCTGAGTCCCCAAAGTCCATTGTATCATTGTTACCTTTAGGTTCTCATTAGCTTAACTCCCACTTATGAGTGAAAACATATGATGTTTGGTTTTCCATTCCTGATTTACTTCACATAGAATAATGGTCTCCAATCCTATCCAGGTCGCAACAAATGCCATTAATTTGTTCCTTTTTATGACTGAGTAGTATTCCATAGTGTGTATATATACCACATTTTCTCTATCGACTTATTGACTGATGGGCATTTGGGCTGAATCTGTATTTTTGCTATTCTGAATTGTATTGCTACAAAACATGCGTGTGCAACTATCTTTTGTGTATAATGACTTCCTTTCCTCTGGGCAGACACCCAGTAGTGGGATTGTTGGATCAAATGGTAGATCTACTTTTAGTTCTTTAAGGAATCTCCACACTGTGTTACATAGTGGTTTTACTGGTTTACATTCCCACCAGCAGTGTAAAAGTCTTCCCTTTTCACCACATACATACCAATATCTATTATCTGTTGATTTTTTGACTATGACCGTTTTTTCAGGCGTAAGGTGGTATCTCATTGTGGTTTTGATTTGTAGTTTCCTGATCATGACGGATGTTGAGCATCGTTTCATTTGTTTATTGGACATTTGTATATTGTCTTTTGTGCATTGTCTATTCATGTCCTTAGCCTACTTTTTGATGGGATTGTTTCTTTTTTCTTGCTGATTTGTTTGAATTCCTTGTTGATTTTGAATATTAGTCCTTCATCCAATGCATAGTTTGTGAAGATTTTCTCCCATGCTGTGCATTGTCTGTTTGCTCCTTACTTCTTTTGCTGTGCAGAAGCTTTTTAGTCTAATTAAGTCCCATCTATTTATCTTTGTTTTTGTTGCATTTGCTTTTGGGTTCTCGGTCATCAAGTCTTTGCCTAAGCCAATGTCTAAAAAGGCTTTTTCGATGTTATCTTCTAGAATTTTTACGGTTTCAAGTCTTAGATCTAAGTCTTTGATCCACCTTGAGTTGATTTTTGTATGAACTCATAGATGAGAATCCAGTTTCGTTCTTCTACAAGTGGCTTGCCAGTTATCCCAGCACCATTTGTTGAATAGGGTGTCCTTTTCCCAATTTATGTTTTTGTTTGCTTTGTCTATGATCAGTTGGCCGTAAGTATTTGGCTTTATTTCTGGGTTCTCTATTCTGTTTCATTGGTCTATGTGTCTATTTTTACACCAGTACCATGCTGTTTTGGTGACTATGGCCTTATAGTATAGTTTGAAGTCAGGCAATGTGATGCCTCCATATTTGTTGTTTTTGCTTATTCTTGCTTTGGCTATGTGTAGGCTCTTTTTTGGTTCCATATGAATTTTAGGATTGCTTTGTCTAGTTCTGTGAAGAATGATGGTGGTATTTTGATGGGAATTGCATTGAATTTGTAGATTGTTTTTGGCAGTATGGCCATTTTTATGGCCATTTTATGGCCTATTTGTTTGTGCCATCTATAATTTCTTTCAGCAGTGTTTTGTAGTTTTCCTTATAAATGACTTTTACCTCCTTGGTTAGGTATATTCCTAAGTATTTTATTTTATTTTATTTTATTACACCTATTGTAAAAAAAGGTGGGGTTCTTGATTTAATTATCAGCTGTGTAGCTGTTGGTGTTTAGCAGAGCTACTGATTTGTGTACATTAATTTTGTATCCTGAAACTTTGCTGAATTCATTTATCAGTTCTAGGAGCTTTTTGGATGAGTCTTTATGGTTTTCTAGGTATACAATCATATCAACAGCAAACAGTGACATTTTGAGTTCCTCTTTACCTCTTTGGATGCCCTTTATTTCATTCTCTTGTCTGATTGCTCTGGCTAGGGCTTCCAGTAATATGTTGAATAAAAGTGCTGAAACTCGATGTCCTTTTCTTGCTCCAGTTCTTAGGGGCAATGATGTCAACTTTCTCCTGTTCAGCATAATGTTGACTGTGGGTTTGTCATAGTGATTCTCCTGCTTCAGCCTCCTGAGCAGCTGGGACTACAGGTGTGCATCACCAAGCCCAGCAATTTTTTTTTTTTTTTTTTTTTTTTGTAATTTTAGTAGAGACGGGGGTTTCACCATGTTTGCCAGGATGGTCTTGCTCTCTTGACCTCGTGATCTGCCTGCCTCGGCCTCCCAAAGTGCTGGGATAACAGTCATAAGCCACTGTGCCCTGCTGATTTCCTCTTTCTCTATCTTATGCAATAGTGTCAATAGGGTAGGATTGGTCCCAATTCTTTGAATGTCTGATAGAATTCAGCTGTGAATCCATCTGCTCCTGGACTTTTTTTGTTGGCAATTTTTTTTATTACCATTTAAATATTGCTGCTTGGTTTTGGTCTGTTTGGAGTTTCTATTTCTTCCTGGTTTAGGCCAGGAGGGTTGTATATTTCCAGGAATTTGTCTGTTTTTTTCTAGGTTTTCTAGTTAATGCATGTAAAAGTGTTCATAGTAGCCTTGAATGATCTTTTGTATTTCTGTGGTATCAGTTGTAATATCTCCCGTTTCATTTCCAGTTGAGCTTATTTGTATCTTCTCTCTCCTTTTCTTGGTTAATCTTGCTAATGGTTTATCAAATGTGTTTATCTTTTCAAAGAACCACCTTTTTGTTTCATTTATCTTTTGTATTGTTTTTTGTTTGTTTGTGTTTCAGTTAGTTAAGTCTGATTTGTGTTATTTATTTTCTTCTTCTGGCCTTGGGTTTGGATTGTTCTTTTTTCCCTAGTTCCTGAGGTGTGAGCTTAGATTGTCTATTTGTGTTCTTTCAGACTTTTTGATGTAGGCATTTAATGCTATGAAGTTGTCTCTTAGTTCATAGCATTGAACTACTGTCTTTGCTGTATCCCAGAAATTTTGATAGGTTGTACCACTATTATTGTTCAGTTCAAAGAATTTTTTTCATCTTGATTTAATTGTTGACCCAATAAAAAGTAAGAAGCAGCTTATTTAATTTCCATGTGTTTGCATAGTTTTGAGAGTTCCTTTTGGAGTTGATTTCCAATTGTATTTCACTGTGGTCTGAAAGAGCACTTGATATAATTTCAATTTTCTTAAATTTATTGAGACTTGTTTTGTGGCCTGTAATGTGGCCTATCTTGGAGAATGTTCCATGAGCTGATAAACACAGTGTATATTCTGCAGGTGTTTGGTAGAATGTTATGTAAATATCTGTTCAGTCCATTTGTTCTAAGGTATAGTTTAAGTCCACTGTTTCTTTGTTGAATTTCTATCTTGATGACCTGTCTAATGACATCCGTAGAGTATTGAAGTCCCCCACTATTATTGTGTTGCTATCGTATTTCTTGTCTAGTAGTAATAGTTTTATAATTGAGGAGATCCAGTGTTAGGTGCATATATATTTAGGATTGTGATATCTTCCTGTTGGATAATTCCTTTTATTATTTTATAATGTTCCTCTCTGCTCTTTAAACTGCTGTTGCTTTAAAGTTTATTTTGTTTGATAGAAGAATAGCTATTCCTGCCCTCTTTTGGTGTCCATTTGCATGGAATGTCTTTTTCCACCCCTTTACCTTAATTTTATGTGAGTCTTTATGTGTTAGGTGAGTCTCTTGAAGACAGCAGATATTTGGTTGGTGAATTTTTATCCATTCTGCCATTCTGTATCTTTTAAGTGGAGCATTTAGACCATTTACTTTCAATGTTAGTATGTGAGGTACTATTCTATTCATTTTGCTATTTGTTGCCTGAAGTCTTTTTTAAAATTGTGTTATTTCTTTATAGGTCCTTTGAGTTTTATACTTTAAGGGGGCTCCATTTTGATGCATTTCAAGGAATTCTTTCAAGATTTGGAACTTTTTTAAAGCAGTTCTTGTAGTGCTAACTTGGTAGTGGCAAATTCTCTCAACATTTGTTTGTCTGAAAAAGATTGTATCTTTCCTTCATTTATGATGCTTAGTTTCACCAGATACAAAATTCTTGGCTGATAATTATTGTTTATGGAGGCTAAAGATAGGACTCCAATTTCTTCTAGCTTGTAGGTTGTGTGCTGAGAAAACTACTGTTAATCTGATAGGTTTTCCTTTATAGGTTACCTGATGCCTTTGCTTCACAGCTCTTAAGATTTCTTCCTTCATCTTGACTTTAAATAATCTGATAACTATGTGCCTAGTTGATGATTTTTTTGAGATGAATTTCACAGGTATTCTTTGAGCTTTTTGTATTTGGATGTCTAGATCTCTATCTCTAGCAAAGCCAGGAAAGATTTCATCAATTATTCCTTCAAATATGTTTTCCAAACTTTTAGATTTCTCTTCTTCCTTGGCAACACTAATTATTCTTAGATTTGGTGGTTTAACATAGTCCCAAACTTCTTGGAGACTTTGTTCATGTTTTTTAATTCCTTTTTCTTTGTCTTTGTTGAATTGGGCTAATTCAAAAACCTTATCTCTGAGTTCTGAACTTCTTTTTTCTGCTTGTTTGATTCTATTGCTGAGACTTCCAGTTTATTTTGCATTTTTCTGAGTGTGTTCTTCATTCTCAAAAGGGATGATTGTTTTTTATTTATGCTGTATATTTCTCTGGAGGTTTTTCCATCCATATCTTGTTTTTGTTTGTTTGTTTGTTTGTTTGTTTTTTGTTTTGTTTTGACAAGGTCTCACTCTGTCACCTAGGGTGGACTGCAGTGGCACAATCTTTGCTCACTGCAACCTCTGCCTTCTGGGCTCACGCAATTCTCCTACATCAGCCTCCTGAGTAGCTGGGACTACAGGTACTCACCATTGTTCCTGGCTAATTTTTGTTTTATTTTTGTAGAAATGGGGCCTTGTTATGTTGCCCAGGCTGGTCTCAAACTCCTGAGCTCAGGTGATCCACCTGCCTCAACCTCCCAAAGTGGTAGGATTACAGGCATGAGCCACTGTGTGTGGCTATTTTGTTAAATTTCTTTGAGTTGGTATTCACTTTTCTCTGGTGCCTCCTTGAGTAGCTTAATGATTGACTTTCTGAATTGTTTTTCTGGCAATTCAGGGATTTCTTCTTGGTTTGGATCTATTACTGATGAGCTAGTGTGATCTTTTGGGGGTGTTAAAGAAACTTGTTTTGACATGTTGCCAGAATTGTTTTTCTAGTTCCTTCTCATTTTGGTAGGCTACATCAGAGGGAAGATCTGGGGCTCATGAGCTGCTATTCAGATTCTTTTATTCCACAGGGTGCTTGCTGGATGTGGGTGCTCAGGGATGTGGCTTCCTGAGAACCAAACTGAAGTGACTGTTATTTCTCTTCTGGATCTAGCTGCCCAGTGGAGCTACCGGGCTCTGGGCTGGTACTGGGGTGTGTCTGCCAAGACTCCTGTGATGTCATCCATCTTCAGGTCTCTCAGCCCTGTATACCAGTACCTGCTCTGGGGAAGATAACAGTGGTATGAAGTGGATCTGTGAGGGTCCTTGGTTGCATTTTTTTTATTGTGCTAGTTTTCGGTTAGTTTGACTCCAGCCAGAAGGTGGCACTTTCAAGACAGCATCAGCTGCGGCAGTATAAGGAGGATACAAGGTTCCCTTAGGGTTGCCTGGGTATGTTTCTTAGGTGGTGGGCAGGGCCATAAAGCTCGCGCTAGATTATATCCTTTGTAATTGGCTACCAGGGCAGGTAGAGAAAGACTATCAGGTGGGGGCAGGTTTGGGTGTGTCTGAGCTCAGACTCTTCTTGGACGGGGCTTGCTGAGGCTGCTTTGAAGGATGGGGGTGTGGTCCTTAGCCCAACGGAGTTAAGTTCCCAGGGGGTATTATGGCTGCCTCTGCTGTATCATGCAGGTCCGCAGGGAAGTGGGGGAACACCAGCAGTTAGAGGCCTCATCCAGCTTCCATGCAGCCTGAAAGGCCAGTCTCACTCCCACCATGCCTCCCCCAACAGCACCAAGTTTATTGCCTGGCAGTGAGTGAGCAGGGTTGAGGACTTGTCCCATGTTCCAGGCCTCCCCACTGGGAACGCAAGCAGGACTTTCAGGTTTTGCACCTCACCACCTGCCACAGCTTCTGAGCTGTGTCTGCACTCCTGTTTCACACTCTCCCCCAGATTCTGTCCAGGAAACTCTGCATTTGGTTGAAATTGTTACTAAGTAAAGCTGGAGGTTTCCTTCTGTCTGTGGTCTTTTGTCAATTCCACTGGCAGCCCACCTGAAGGACACCTGTGAGACAAAGTCAGAAATGGCTTCCCTGGGGACTGAGAGTGCCCACAGGGCTCTTCCTGCTCCTTTCTCTACCACTGTATCTTGCTCGGCTCTCTACGTTTGTCTCAGTTCTAGGTAAGGTCAAATCCTTCTCCTGTGGTCTGGACCTTGAGGTTCCCCAGTGGGGATGTGTGTTCAGGGACAGATGATCCCCCTTTCATACTTTCACACTTTGGGCCTCACAATTTTTTGGCTTTCTCCCAGACCCTGCAGCAGCAATCCTAATTTAATGCTAATGTTATCTTAACTGGTGTGATGTAACTGTATATAAACTAGTGTGATGAGCTAACATGGAACCTAAAAAGATATTTATAATAATAAGTTTTGTAAAATGTTGAAAATAAATAAATGAGTATACAAATTAGGAAATCATAGAAAACTATAAAATCAAAGAGAGTAAAAGGCAAAATATAATAAAAATTTCAAAAAATAATGTGAGAAATCTGAAATATAATTAAAAAATTAAACAAGTAATTTTCAAGGAACCTGTAAGCAATCATATATAAAAAAAGCTAAGACAAGCCAGACAGTGAAGACTCAAATAAATAACTAATCCTTGAATGTGAAGACATAGTTGGATGCTAATAAGAAACAAGAGCAAAGAGGTAACCATGGCATCCTCAAACAGACAAATCAAGAAGCGAGTAACTGACCCTAATGAGACAATGATATATATGTGAGCTCTGACATGAAGAATTAGAAAATAGTACTTGTAATAAAACTATAAGATAACAGAAAAAAGCAACTCAGAAATCTATCAGAGAAATTTAAAAATAGATTGTAATAATAAAAAATTATAATTAAAATATCAAATAGAAATACTGAAACTGGAAAAATACCTTTGTGAAACTGAAAAATACATTTGAGGCTTTTAAAAGCAGAATGGACTAAAAAGAAAAGAGAGGCCTTTTGAAGGCGTGCTAATTGAATATAGACAGTCAGAAAATAAAAAAAAAAACAATACAAAGGAACAAAGAACTATATCTTATGGGATATAGAAAATCAGCTCAAAAGAGCAAATCTGAGAATCATTGAGATTCAAAAGAGAGCTGATAAATAGTAAGGGCTAGAGTGCTGATTCAAAGAAATGATAATACAAAACTTTCCAAACCTTGAGAACGATAGAAATACTCAGGTACAAGAGGGTCAGAGATCACCAAACAGATTTAGCCCAATTAAGAAATCACAAGGCATATAATAATCAATCTTCCAAAGGCATTAGAAAAAGACAGGATCCTAAAAGCAGCAAGAGAAAAAATAACCAACTAGCATCATGATGTCAGGATTAAATTTACACATAGCAATATTAACCTTAAATATAAATGAGCTAAATGCCCCAATTAAAAGACACAGAGTGGTGAGTGGGATACAAAGACAAATCCCATCAGTGTGCTGTATTCAATAGACACATCTCATGTGTAAAGATGCACAAAGACTCAAAATAAAGGAATGGAGAAAAGTTTACCAAGCAAATGGAAAGCAGAAAAAAGGAGAGGTTACAATCCTAGTTTCTGACAAGATAAACTTTCAAACAACAAAGATAAAAAACAAACACAAAAACAAAAAAAACAAAGAGGACATTACATAATGGTAAAGGGTTCAATTCAACAGGAGAAGCTAACTATCTTAAACATATATGCACCCAATACAGGAGCACCAAGATTTATAAAACAAGTTCCCAGAGACCTACAAAGAGACTTAGACTCCCACACAATAGTAGGGGAGACTTTAACACCCCATTGTCAATATCAGACAGATCATCAAGAAAGGAAATTAACTGGACATGAACTGAGCTCTGGATCAAGTGGACCTGACACATATCTACAGAACTCTTCATGCCAAAACAGCAGAATGTATATTTTTCTTGGTGCCACTTGTCACTTACTCTAAAATTGATCACATAATTGGAAGTAAATCATTCCTCAGCAAATGTAAAAGAACTGAAATCAAAACAAGCAGTTTCTCAGACCACAGCACAATCAAATTAGAATTCAGGATTAAGAAACTCACTCGAAACCACACAACCACATGGAAATTGAACAATCTGCTCCTAAAAACTCTGGGGTAAATAATGAAATTAAGGCAGAAATCAAGAAGTTCTTTGAAACCAATGAGAACAAAGAGACAACATACCAGAATCTGTAGGACGCAGCTAAAGCAGTGCTAAGAGGGAAGTTTATAGCACTAAATTTCCACATCAAAAAGCTAGAAAGATCTCAAATTGACACCATAGCATAGGAACTAAAAGAACTAGAGAACCAAGAACAAACCCCAAAGGTAGCAGAAGACAAGAAATAACCAAGATCAGAGCAGAACTAAAGGAGATAGATTTAAAAAATCAATGAATCCAGGAGCAGTTTTTTTGAAAAAATTAATAAAATAGACCACTAGATACACTAATAAAGAAGAAAAGAGAGAAGAATCAAGTAGACACAACGAAAAACGATAAAGGGGATATCACCACTGACCCCACAGAAATACAAACAACAACCTAAAAAGTGAGAGAAAATTTTTGCAATCTGTTCATCTGACAAAGGTCTAATATCCAGAATCTACAAAGAACTCAAACAAATTTACAAGAAAAAAAAATTAAAAAGTGGGCAAAAAACATGAATGGACATTTGTTAAAAGAAGACATTCATGCAGCCAACCAACATATGAAAAATTTCTCAACATCACTGATCATTGGAGAAATGCAAATGAAAACCACAATGAGACACCATCTCATGCCAGTAAGAATGGTGATTATTAAAAGGCAAGAAAAAACGGATGCTGGCAAGGTTGTGGAGAAATAAGAACGCTTTTACACTGTTGGTGGGAATGTAAATTAGTTCAACCATTGTGGAATGGTGATTCCTCAAAGATCTAGAACTAGAAATACCATTAGAGCTGCAATCCCATTACTGGGTATAGGCCCAAAGGAATATAAATAATTTTATTACAGAGATATGTGCATGTATATGTTCATTGAAGCACTATTCACATTAGCAAAGACAAGGAATCAACCCAAATGTCCACCTGTGATAGACTGGATAAAAAAAATATGGTACATACACACTATGAAATACTATGCAGCCATAAAAAGGAATAAGATCATGTACTTTACAGGGACATGGCTGCATCTGGAATCCATTACCCCCAGGAAAGTAATGCATGAACAGAAGACCAAACACAGCATGTTCTCACTTATAAGTGGGAGCTGAACAGAGAACACATGGACACATGGAGAGGAATAACACACACTGGGACCTGTCAGGGGTTGCATTTGGGGGAGGGAGAGCATCAGGATAAATAGCTAACGCATGCTGGGCTTAATATCTAGGTGATGGGCTGATAGGTGAAGCAAACCACCATTGGACACATTTACATTTGCCTATGTAACAAAACTGCATGTCCTGTACATGTATCCCAGAACTAAAAATAAAAAAATAGTAAAATGTATTTAAGGACACTGAAAAAAAATGCTCTAATTTGTCTTGCAATGGACTTCTCAGAATTAACATTACATGCCAGAATGGAGTTGAAGGACATACTCAAAAGGCTGAAAAAAAAATAAAAATAAAAATTTGCTTTTTAAACAAAAGCAAATTTGACAAATGGCGTCTAATTAAACTAATGAGCTTCTGCACAGCAAAAGAAACTATCATCAGAACAAACAGGCAACCTAAAAAGTGAGAGAAAATTTTTGCAATCTATTCATCTGACAAAGGTCTAATAACCAGAATCTACAAAGAACTCAAATATACTTGAGAATACTTTGTCTAACAAAGCTATCCTTCAAGCTTGAAGGAGAGAGAAAGTTTTTCTCAAACCAAAGCTGAGAGAATTTATCACTACCAGAACTGTTTTATAAGAAATGCTAAAGAATGTATTTCAATCAGAAAAACAAGGACAGTAACATACAAAAAGGAAACATTTGAAGGTATAAAACTCATTAATAAACAGAGAAACTCAGAGTGCTCTAATATTGTAATTGTGGTGTATAATGCACTTGTATCTAGGCATAAAGACTAAAACCTATCAAAAACAGTACAGCAACTAATTAAGAGATAAGTAATATACAAATTTATATAACTAAGAATTAGGTAATGTAAAAATTTAAATAGAGACAACAAAAATTCAAAATATAGGAGGATATGTATTTAAAGTGCAGACTTTTACTAAGTTTTTTCTTTGTGTCTATTCTCTGTTATCAAAGATAAGTTGTCATCTGTTTAAAATAACTTGTTACATATATTAGATTTTTTTGTAAACCTCATGGTAAACCAAAGCCAACACCTATTATAGATACAATAAATGTAAAAAGCAACAAATTAAAACATACTGCTGGAGAAACTCACTTAAGCATGAATAAAGACAGTGAGAAAGAAAAGAAGACAGGAACTACAAGACAACCACAAAACAAGTAACAAAATGGCAGTAGTAAGTCCTTATCTATCAATAATAAAATGTATGTAAATGAACTAAATTCTCCAATTAAAAAATATACTTTGGTTCAATAAATTTTTAAATAACAAGACTTAATTACATACTGCCTATAAGAAACCCATGTCACCTATAAAGACACACATAGACCAAAAGTGAAGGAAGAAAAATAACATATTTAATGTAATTAGAAACTAAAAAGAACAAGGTTACACATACTTATACCAGATAAAATAAACAAGTCAAAGACTGTAAAAGGAGACAAAGACGGTCACTATATAATAATATAGGATCAATTCAAAGAAATGTTATAATAAATTTAACTACATATGCACACCTAACATCAGAGTACCCAAACATATAAAGAAATCATTAATAGATCTAAAGAGATATAGTCTACAATACAATAACATCAACACCCAGTCTCAATAAAGGTCACAGCATCCAGAAGGAAAATAAAAAAAAACACATCAAAGTTAAACTGCACACTAGATCAAATGAACCTATTTGACATTTAATGAACAATTCACTCAACTGGTACAGAATACACATTCTTTTTATTAGCACGTGGAAAATTATCCAGAATACACCATATAACAAAACAAGTCTCAGCAAATATAAAAAGTCAAAGTAGTATCAACTATTTTTTCTGATACAGTGGAATAAAACCAGAAATCAAAAACAAAAGAAAAGTCTGGAGACTATACAAGCATATGGAAATTAACAACATGTTCCTGGATTATTAATGGGTCAATGAAGAAATCAAGAAGCAAATTTAAAATGTTATGAAAAAAATGGAAATACAACATACCAAGATCTATGGTTACAGAAAAAGCAGTACTAAGGGGGGATTTTATAGCAATAAATGCTTATGTCAACAAAGTAAAAAGACTTTTTTTTAAATAAGCAATCTAATGATCCAGCTTAAGGAACTAGAAAAGCAAGAATGAACTAAACCTCAAATAAGTACAAAGAAGGAAATAATAAATCTCAGAGTAGAAATAAATGAAATTGAGACCAAATAACAAACTATGAGAGAAGAATAAGATGAAAATTTGATTTTTTCAAAAGGTATGTCAATAAACCTTTATCTAGACAAGCAAAGGAAACAAGAGGAAGACCTAAAGAAATAAAATCAGAAACAAAAAGAGGAAACATAACAACTGATGCCACAGAAATAGAAAAAAAAAAAAACCTTAGGAAACACCATGAACAACTATATGCCAAAAAATTGAAAAACCTGGAAAAATGGATAAATTCCTGCAGACATACAACCTGCCAAGATTGAACCATAAAGAAATAGAAGACCTGAACCCACCAATAATGAGTAATGAGATAGAAGCAACAATAAAAAGTTGCCCACCAAAGAAATCCCAGGCTTCACTCTGAATTCTACCAAACATTTAAAGAAAAACTAATACTATTTCTATTCAAACTATTAAAAATATTGAAGAGCATGGAATATTTCTGAATTCATTATTGATATTGATACCCAGTATTATCCTTATACCAAAAACAGACAAAGCCATAAGAAAACTACAGACAGATATCACTGATGGACATAGTTGCAAAAATCCTTAGCAAAACATAAGTAAATCAAATTTAGTACATTAAAGAGGCCATTCACCACCATCAAATGGGATTCATCCCAGGAATAAAAGGATGGCTCAATGTGTGCAAATGAATACATGGCATATATCAGAGGAATCCACAACAAAATTTATATGATTATTTCAATGGATGCTGAAAACACATTCACTAAAATTCAACATTTCATAATAAAAACTCTGAACAAACTAGGCATTGAAGGAACATATCTTAAAACAGTAAAGGCCATCCATATATATCAAACCCACAGCTAACATACTGAATGGAGAACAATGGAAAACCTTTACTCTGAGATCTGGAATAAAACAAATATACCTGCTTTTACCATTTTTATTGAATATAATGTTGAAAGTCCTAGCCAGAATTATTAAGCAAGGGAAGGAGATAAAGGGCATTCAAATTGGAAAGAAAGAAGTTAAATTAACCTCGTTTGTAAACATCATTACTTATATTTAGAAAAACCTAAAAACTCCACAAAAAAACTTTTGGAACTGATACATGAATTCAGTAAAGTAGCAGGATAAAAAAGAAACACACACACACACACACACATTTAGTAGCATTTCTATACCCTAACAGCAAACAGTCTAAAAAAGGAATAACAAGTCAATCCCATTTATAAGAACTACAAAAAATATACAATACTTAGTAATTAATTTTACTGAAGAAGTTAAAGATTGTTACAAGGAAAACTGTAAAACACTAATGAGAGAAATTGAAGGAGACACAAAGGAAAATGAAAAGATATCTCATGATCATGGATTGGAAGAATTAATATTGTCAAAATGTCAATACTGCCCAAAAAACTTTACAGATTCAATGCAATTTCTATCAAAATATAAATTATATTATTCACATGAATAGTAAAAGCAATCTTAAAATTTGTTTAGAGCCACAGAAATCCCAGAATAATGCAAGCAGTCTTAAGCAAAGAGAACAAAGCTAGGGGTATTATACTACCTGACTCCAAAATATGCTACAAAGCTGTATTAACCAAAACAGTGTGGTGCTGGCATACAACAGACACATAGACCAATGGAACAGAATAGAGAACTCAGAAATAAATCCACACATTCACAGGCAACTCTTTTTGACAAGTGTCCCAAGAGCATACATTGGGAAAAGGCCAATCTCCAATAAATGATACCGGAAAAACTAATAACCATTCACAGAAGAATGAAACTAGACCCTTATCTTCCACCATATACAAATATCAAATTAAAGCAAATGAAAGTTTTAAATGTAAGACATGAAACTATGAAACTACTAGAAGAAAACATAGAGAAAAATGATTCAAAAAATTGGACTGGGCAAAGATTTTTTGAATAAGACCTCAAAAAGCACAGGCAACAAAAGCAAAAAATAGGCAAATTGAATTACATCAAACTAAAAAGCTTCTGTAAAGCAAAGGAAACAATCAGTAGTGTGAAGAGACAACCTATAGAACTGCAGAACACATTTTTGCAAATTATCTGAGAAGGGGTCAGTAACAAAAATACACAAGGAACTCAAACATATTAGAAAAATAAAGTAACCTGATTAAAACATGCACAACATATCCAAATAGACATTTTCAAGATAAAACATACAAATGGAAAGCAGGTATACGATAAAATATTCAACATTGCTAATCATCAGGGAAATGCAAATCAAAACCATAGTGAGATATCATCTCACCTTAATCAAAATGGCTTTTATTAAAAAGACAAAATATAACAGATAGTGGCGAGGATAGGAAGAAAGGAGAACACTCATGCCCTGTTGATGTATGAGTATTTCCACTATGGAAAACAGTACAAAGCTTTCTCAGAAAACTCAAAATAGAATTTACCATAGGATCAAGCAATCTCACTGCTGTATGTATGTCCAAGAGAAAGGAAACACATGTATGAAAGAAATATCTGCACTCTCTTGTTAATTGCAGCTACTGTTCATGTTAGCCAAGATACGGAATCATTCTAATTGTTTATCAGTGAATGAATGAATAAAGAAAGAGGGTATATATACACAAAGGAGTATGATTTAGCCATTAGAAAGGAAATCCTATAATTGCTGCAACATAAATAAAAATGAAGATCATGTGTTAAGTGAAATAATCCAGGCACAGAAAGAGAAATATCACATATTCTTGCTCACACATAGGAGCTAAAAAAAAAGGGGTTCACATGAAAATACCAGAGGCTGAGAAGGGAAGGGGAAAGGGAGGATGAAGAGAGGTTTATTAATGGGTACAAAAATACAGTCAGAAGAAATAAGAACTTGTGGTTTATAGTTCATAGGGTTAACAATAATTTATTGTATATTTCAAAATAACTAGTAGATAATAATTCAAATGTTTCTATCATCTTAAAAAATCAGATAAATGTTTGAGGTGATAGATATCCCAATTACTTTTATTTGATCCTTACACACTATATGATGTATCAAAATATTATATATACTCCAAAAACATGTACAACTCTTACATATCAATAAAAAGAAAGGTGGTCTTCAAAATACATATATCTAGCGTCATGATCTAATATAAGCATTTCCTTTAAAATCAAGAAAAAAACAAGAATAATTGTTTTCATCATGTTTATTCAACATGTTACTGGAAGTTACAATGTGCAATGTAGAATAAGATAATTAAATAAAAAGTTTAGGAATTTGAAAATAGAAAATGAATCTCTTACTGGGAAAGATAACACGATTGTCTACAAAGAATATGCAAAATTTATGGGAAAATATTACAATTAATAAAGTCTAGCCCAGTCAATAGGTCTCACATTCACCTGTCTACACTTGCCACAAATCTAAAAAATATGATTAGTAGATCACAATTTATAACGATAAAGAAATTTTAGAAAACTTTTTAAAAATAATAAAATAATTGTTGTATAAAACTTAAGAAAATTATAAAACTATTAAAAACATTTAATAAATATGAAAAGTTATGCTATGATCATAATGAATAAGTGTAATAAAGGTATTTATACTCTAATTTTTTCTGTAGATTTGATGTACTTTAAATTGAAATCTGAAAGGAAGTTATCTGGGGACTTTGATGGATGATTTTAACTTTTATATGGAAATCAAATCAGATATTTAGAAAATATGAAATTATATTCATTAAGTATGATGTCAATAAATTGCAGACAGAAATAGAATAGTGTGTTTTCATATGTAGTCTGCCTCCAAATGGACAATTGAGACACCATATGCAAAAATCAAATTTAAGTGGACTGGGACTTAAATGTGAAAAACAAAATTTAAACACTTTTAGAGTAATGTATTGCAAATGTGTGTATATACATGCATATATAAATATATACACACACATACAATACGTATGTACATATACTATACACACACATTTATACATAACAAAAGACAATCTGTACACAATATAAAAACCCAATAAAAAGTTAATAATAAATTTTTAGAAATAGGCAGTAGTAATAAAATATTAATCAATATTAAAGGATATTGGATTTCATGAAAGTAAAATATACTTTCACTGCATTGACAAGCATTTACATATCTGATAATGTAAAGTGTTAACAAGGAAGCAAGGAAAGGAAATAAGATATTACTAGGTGGAGTATAAGTTTTTGTTTTTTTTTTTTCTTGAGACGGAATCTCTCTCTGTCGCCCAGGCTGGAGTGCAGTGGCGCGATTTCGGCTTACTGCCACCTCCGCCTGCCGGGTTCAAGCGGTTCTCCTGCCTCAGCCTCTCGAGTAGCTGGGAGCGTGTCACCACGCCCGGCTAATTTTTTGTATTTTTATTAGAGACGGGGTGGAGTATGAGTTTTTATAGTAGTTTGGGGAAGTCATTTGGCATTTTCCATTGAAGTGGACAAACTAGCAGTACCTACAAAGACTTTTATAAACAATGATTGTTCAATAGTGTAGTTAAGAGAAATCAAGTCAATACAGGGAAGTGTAATCTCCTTACAGCACTCCACTGGTGGGGTGAAAATGATGAGGGCAGCATGATTTCAAATGTAGGTAAAATTCCCAACTTCCAGTTATTTACCAGTAACAACACTAGCTGGAAGCCTAGGTTTAAATATCAGAGATGCACTGTAAATCATAGACTGAGGAGGAATCACATGGACAAATCACTCCCTGTTTTCTCAGGTAAACTAGTAAAGAGGGACCTTTGAAAAAAGGGCAATTAGTTGAGTTGCACACATAATCCTTGGAAATTTATTCTTCAAAACTCTCACAAGAATTATTTCTACCTCTATCCTACCCTTCACCTTTTCTTTATTATACTGGTAGTTCTGTTTTTTTTTTTTTTTTTTTTTTTTTTAAGCATAGAAATATAGTTATCTTCACATCTAATAATGTATTATATTCTAAAAATTGCTTTGTTAGCTCCCCCATATTTGCTTAATTTGAGAGTTATAATTAGCTTCAATTTTCTTGAACAGAGTGAATGCAAAGTGTATTGGATTTTAATTTAAAATGCTTTTCATAGTTGATTTAAGTACTAAAATGTTATACACAAATTGCACTTTCAGTCAAATGACTCTCAAGTATTTTTTGAAGTGTATAATTAAAATATTCAAATGTGCAGTGATAAGCCACTTTCAGAAGCTCTGGAGTACTCCTAAAGGTGACTTGGAAAAAAACCCAAAACCAAACTAACTTCCTTCCACAACACCTGGTAGCCACTTGGAATAATTGGTTTTTGAAGTACTTCAGAATAAGACGCTTTTCACCAGTTATTAACATAACTCAGCAGAGTTAGTGTGGTTTCCATTTTACAGGCATTTAGAAGTAGGATATATTTTCAAAAGACTACACCTCATTACCTTTCATAAGAGCAACCTTATGCTATTTCGATAGAAGCTATTCACAACCTTCATTGGCAAGCGTGATTTAATAAACGTGTTTATCTTATGCACATATTCATTGCCATCTCATCATAATACAACCTTTTAAGCCCTTCACTTTTCTTCAAAAGAGCTTATTCTTAAAAATAAATAACTTTGATAATTTTTTATGTTTACTTTCCACGTTTTCTCAAAGAGCTCAGGTTGCCTGCAAGATACTGTTTTGTCATCTAAGCTATGTAGCCAGCTGAAAGAGACATGTGGTATTATATTTTGTCACATGATAAAAGTAAGGTTGAAAAGTGGTTGTTTCATTGGTCCTCTTGTCTCAGTCATCTCATTGTTTACTATGTTATATTCTGTATTGAATCAATAATTTTCTGCACAACGTATATCAGTTATAATAATTTTTCACACAGTGGTTTGTATGTTAGTCTGTGGGTTGAAATTTATCACAAATCCATAGAAGTTTATAAACTATTCACCTTTTCCCTGATATTAACCCAATTTGAGAAATCCAAATTTTCATTTCTTAATGTGAAGGACATTGATCTCTTTACTGTCAAATGTGATGTAAACCTTTTCCCTTCTAGAACTCATTAGGGCATACAGTGTCTTTTAGCCTTAATTTTTCTCACATATGTGGTATGCAGACCAGCCCTGAATCAGATGCCCTCTGTGTTCTCTAGTTATAAGACAAAGATCCAAAACAAGACCAATTCCTGCCCTTCATCAAATAAAAAATTTTGTCTTAAAATGCAGTTTAGACTGAAAAACCATATTACTTAAAAGAAAAATTAATTATAGGATTGGTGTAATAAGCTTGAAACTCACTGATAGCCTCCTGGTACGATTTCACCAAAACAAAACTAGCAGTTTTAAATATCCATGTGTTATCATCCATGAGTGTATATTGCTTGCCTTCAGGTTCATAAATTAACAGCTAACACTCAAGTGCAATAATTTTCAAATTGTGGTCAATGATCAGCTTGAATCAGAATCTTCTGAGGTCTTTGTTAAGAATGCAAACTACCTGGATGTTCTCCAGGCCTACAGAATTGAATATGTGCAGCAACTTGGATGTAACTGGAGGACATTATGTTAAGTGAAATAAGCCATGCATTGAAAGACAAACTTCACATGTTCTCATTTATTTGTGGGAGTTAAGAGTTAAAACAGTTGAACTCATGGAAATAGAGAGTAGAATGATGGTTACCAGAAACTAGGAAAAGTAGTGGGGTGGGGGTAGTGAGGATGTTCTATGGGTACAAATATATGGTTAGATAGAATGAATAAGATGTATTATTTGATAGCATAACAGGGTGACTACAGTCAACAATAATTTATTGCGCATTTAAAATGACTAAAAGAGTATAATTAGAATGTTATAACACAAATGATAAATTCTCGAGGTGATATATTTATTACCCACTTACCTGATATGATTATTATGCATGGTATGCCTGCATCGAAATCTCTTGTACCATATATATATATATATAATATTGTACCATATATATATATATATAATATTGTACCATATATATATATATATAATATTGTACCATATATATATATTATATATATATAATGTACCCACAACAAATTTGAAAAAACTACTCATTTAACCAGCTAGACCAGCAGAGTCTTCACTGTATGAAAGCCCTAGAATCAGAGGAGTAAGAGCCACATATATTAACCTGCCATAAAGCTGCAGATCTGAAGAGATGATGTGAACATCAATAAAGTGAATAGAAAGTAAGGTAAAATTGTAATACCAATAATTCCAGTAGAAAAACTCAAAGTGAGGACATACTCTATTTCTGACAAATTTAAAGATATACTAGAAGTACCAACATTAAGAAAGCAAGTAAATATTGCATAGGACAGGTCTGAAAAGTAAAAATACTGCAGAGCAAAGAAAAAGCGCCATGCTGAAAACTGGTAGGATGGTCAGACTTCTGAAAATTGTTCCTATTGAAGCCGAATTCTTAGACATCCTCTCTCAGAGAAAGGAATCCTTGTGTACTAGTGAAAGAACAGAAAGGCTCTTTGAGAACATACTTATAATACTCCTTCAGTGAGTCTTATGGAAATGGGCCTCTCCCCCTTCAAGGGTGAGTGCTGGGATTTTGGAAGGGAGACCACAAAACAATGAAATTGACCAAAAAATTTGAATAACTCTTTGCAGTTTGGGCAAATAGGGCCTAATAAGCTCCAAAGGGCTATACTTCTAGCACAGGCAGTCACATCTTTATTGAGTTCCTCATAGTGAGAGCAGGCACAACAGACAGAACAGGCTTAGAGAAGCTTCTAAGTTAGAAAACTGTGGGAAAAGACTATGATGCAAAGAATAGATATGCCCTGAAGAATCACCAGAAATTAGTATTTCTCAAACAGTGCTGCATAAAGAAATAGAAGAGCATTTTGGAAAAATGTGTAATTTTGGTTTTTTTTGAGATTTAAAAAATGTCTATTTTTGAAACTAGAACAACAATTTACATGAAGAAAAATGTTCACATTTAAAAAGTGTGACAGTAAGATATAGTACAAGATCATAGCATTTTAATTATAACAGAGTGAGCATTTTTCATCAGTAAAAAGAAAAACAAAAAGAGAGAGGATAAATGTATAGATATTTTTAATTAAGAGAGAGAATGATCTGTTTATATTTACTTAGTGGCCATTTTATTTTCATAGTGCCAGACGTGTCTTTTGCTCTGGTTAACCTACCGTGGAACTGGGTTTTCTTGTCCCCTTTTCGTTTCTAATTGCTCTTTTGATATACATTATTTCAACTTTTTTTTTTTTTTTTGAGATGCAGTTTCACTCTTGTTGCCCAGGCTGGAGTGCAATGGCACGATTTGGCTCACTGCAAACTCTGCCTCCCGGGTTCAAGTGAATCTCCTGCCTCAGCCTTCTGAGTAGGCTGGGATTACAGGCACGCACCACCAGGCCCAGCTAATTTTTGTATTTTTAGTAGAGATGGGGTTTTCCATGTTGGTCAGGCTGGTCTCCAACTCCTAACCTCAGGTGATCCACCTGCCTCGGCCTCCCAATATTTCAAGTTTTGGGACGTTCTATGCCATCCATGGTTTCTTGATGTTTATATTTGTCCGTTGTTGTTGTTGTTTGTTGTTTGTTTGTTTTGAGATGGAGTCTTACTCTGTAGCCCAGGATGGAGTGCAGTGGCGCGATCTCAGCTCACTGCAACCCCCGCCTCCCAGGTTCAAGCAATTCCCCTGCCTCAGCCTCCCCAGTAGTTGGGACTACAGGCAAATGCCACCACGCCCAGCTAAGTTTTTGTATTTTAGCAGAGACGGGGTTTCACTGTGTTGCCCAGGCTGGTCGCGAACTCCTGAGCTCAGGCAGTCCACCCTCCTCGGCCTCCCAAAGTGCTGGGATTACAGGTGTGAGCCACCATGCCTGACCTATATTTGCCTTTTAAATGTGTTCATTTTATTTAAAAATAATTCAATGGAAAATATTTTTCTCCTATATCTTTTGTCTGGTGACCATTTCACTCTACGGAGCAACCCCTATTGCTAAACTCTTAAGCATTATGAAAGGAGCATAATGAAAGAAAAATAATAAAAGGAAGATAATGTGTTTACATAATACATACCTATAAATGACCATGTATATATGTGTGTGTGTATACCTATGTCTACATTTTATCTATATATCAATCTCATGTCTATGTCTATATCTACATATACTTTTGATTATCACAACAGGAATTGTACCATCTGTCTGAACCTTGCTTTTTTTATTATTATAGTTTAAGTTCTGGGGTACATGTGCAGAATGTGTAGGTTTGTTACATAGATATACACATGCCATGGTGGTTTGCTGCACCCATCAAACCATCATCTGCATTAGGTATTTCTCCTAATTCTATCCCTCCCCTAGCCCCCCACCCCCCAACAGGCCCTGGTGTGTGATGTTCCCCTCCCTGTGTCCACGTGTTTTCATTGTTCAACTCCCACTTATGAGTGAGAACATGCGGTGTTTGGTTTTCTGTTCTTGTGTTAGTTTGCTGAGAATGATGGTTTCCAGCTTCATCCATGTCCCTGCAAAGGACATGAACTCATCCTTTTTTATGGCTGCATAGTATCCCATGGTGTATACATGCCTCATATTCTTTATCCAGTCTATCATTGATGGACATTTGCGTTGGTTCCAAGTCTTTGCTATTGTGAACAGTGCTGCAATAAACGTGCATGTGCATGTGTCTTTATAGTAGAATGATTTATAATGCTTTGGGTATATACCCAGTAATGGGTTGGTTGGGTCAAATGGTATTTCTAGTTCTAGATCCTTGAGGAATTGCCACAATGTCTTCCACAATGGTTGAACTAATTTATACTCCCACTAAAAGTGTAAAAGCGTTCCTGTTTCCCCACATCCTCTCCAGCATCTGTTGTTTCCTGACTTTTTAATGATTGCCATTCTAACTGGTGTGAGATGATCTCATGGTGGTTTTGATTTGCACTCTTTAATGACCAGTGATGATAAGCTTTTTTTTCATGTTTGTTGGCTGCATAAATGTCTTCTTTTGAGAGGAGTCTGTTCATATCCTTTGCCCACTTTTTATGGGGTTTTTTTCTTGCAAATTTGTTTTTCTTTGTAGATTCTGGATATTAGCCCTTTGTCAGATGGATAGATTGCAAAAATTTTCTCCCATTCTGCAGGTTGCCTGTTTATTTACTCTGATGATAGTTTCTCTTAATGTGTAGAAGCTCTTTAGTTTAATTAGACCCCATTTGTCTATTTTGGCTTTTGTTGCCATTGATTTTGGTGATTTAGTCATGAAGTCTTTGCCCATGCCTATGTCCTGAATGGTATTGCCTAGGTTTTCTTCTGGGTGAACCTTGCTTTTTAACTTGCATTTATATATCTCAAGTATTGTTACACATCAACAACTTAGTACATTTTAAATAATGATAATAATATTATCTTAAATGAATACTACAGAATTTATTTAACCAGTCTCCTACTGGAAGACCTTCAGGTCATTTCTGATCTTTTGGTATTACAAACAATGCTGTGATAATATCTGTGAAAATAAGACATTTTGCATATTTTTGCATGCATCGATAGGATATAGTTTCAAACGCATCTGTAATATCACTTCCTAGAAGGATAATTGCTGAGTTAAAGAGCATTGAAAGATATTATTTGCCAAATGTTTATCATAAAGGTTTTCTATTTTATAATCCCATTATTAATACAGAAGAGTATATATGCCCTTTCTTAGAGTCCATTAAGAAATTTGTTGATTTCTGCTAATCAGAGACATTAAGACTATTTTATTGTATTTCAGCATTTTTTCTCATTTGGAGTATGTTGAGCATAATTTCTCATGTGTGTAATTTTTTTTCTTTGTCCGGATCATTAAAATTAAATAAGACTCACATATTTTTTCTAGCGTTATTTACCTTTTGCTTTGATTACTATTTATTTCATTTTGTTCTATATGATTTTTTTCCTGTGTTTCCCTAATCTTAGACCAAACAAGCAGTTGGTTGCTTCTCTAGCTCAAAATTGATCACTTTTGTAACTTTATTATTAATATTTTGTATGATACATGGCATATATAAAAGTTTCTTATAGAGTCATGTATTCTAATAACTAAGGCAGATATTTTCTTCTCTCAGTAATTGAATTATTTTCAATTTTTTAAATCCACAGTGAAGTTGAAAGAAAAGTACAATAAATACCCAAACAGTTCTCTTCTAGATTTACTAACTTTTAAGATCTTGCCACCCTCTCCATATCTATATCATTTATATCTATGTCTGTATCTATATCTATATCTCTCTATATCTACATCTACCTAGATCTATAACTGTCTGTATCTATTTATATCAAATATAGACATAGATCTATGTCAGATATAGGTTCATATATCTGTCTTCTACCTACCTCTTTATCTCTCTGTCTATATGTCTTTTCATCCACCCACAAACACTTCCCTTTTGCTAACTCATCTAAAGGTAGCTATATTGATAGTCCATCCCTAAATGTTACCCCAAGTAATTAAATTCTTCTATGAAACTATATCACATGAAGCATCTAAGATAATCAGCATTATTTCAATGCCATCATCCAACATATGGCCCATATTCAAATTTTTCCAAATACCTTCAAGATGTCCTTCATTTTTTTCAATCCAAAATTCATTCAATGCTCACACATTGCATTTGGTGTTATGTCTCATTAGCCTCCTCAAATAAAGAAAAATACCATTGGTAACTTCTTTTGAGAAACTCAGGCCAGTATTCGTGACAACATACAATTCTGGATTCAACTGATTGTTTTTACTTGATTAAATTGAGACCAATAATTTTCAGCAAGAGTGACACATAAGTCATGTACTTTTTCCACTGCATTACATCACAATGGCAATGCCGAGCTTGACTGGTTAGTTAAGACCACGCCATCAAATCTTTCCGTTGTAAATCCTTCCTTCTCTTCTCTTCTCTTCTCTTCTCTTCTCTTCTCTTCTCTTTTCTTTCTGACAGAGTTTCACTCTTGTTGCCCAGGCTGGAGTCCATGGTAAATACATCTTCCTTCCTTTCTTCCCTCCCTCCCTCCCAATCTCTCCCCTCCCTCCCTCCCTCTCTCCCCCCGCTCCCTCCCTCTCTCCCTCTCTCCCCTCTCCCTCCCTCCCTCCCCCCTCCCTCCCTCCCTCCCTCCTCCCTCCCTCCCTCCTTTCCCCCCTCCCTCCCTCACTCCCTCCTTTCCTTCCTTCCTTCCTTCCTTTCTTTTCTTTTCTTTCTTTCTTTCTCACGGAGTTTCACTCTTGTTGCCCAGGCTGGAGTGCAGTGGCATGATCTCGGCTCACCGCAACCTCCACCTCCCAGATTCAAGCGATTCTCCTGCCTCAGCCTCCCAAGTAGCTGGGATTACAGGCATGCACCACCACACCCGGCTAAGTTTGTATTTTTAGTAGATATAGGGTTTCTCCATGTTGGTCGGGCTGGTCTCGAACTCCCAACCTCAGGTGATCCACCTGCCTCAGCCTCCCAAAGTGCTGGGATTGCAGGCGTGAGCCACTGTGCCTGGCCATATTTCTATTTTATAATTAAATGTAATCTGTGCAGTAATACTTTGAGACCTTGTGAATATTTTGTATCCTAACTTTTTTTGCCCATCAGCATTAGCATCCATTGATGAAATTGCCTGATACAGTTATTACAGTGGTTATTACAAAAAGATGATTCAGTTCCAGTGAACTGAAAAGTCTTTATATGTGCTATAATCATTTAATAAAGAAGATAATGTTAGAATGATATCTGTATCATTCACACTGATAACATCATAATATGATTTAAAGGCCTTATATTAAAAACTCTTTTAAAGCCCACCACCAACAAAATTCTTATCCAACAAAATCCATCCATTTTTGAAGTCCTTAACTTGGTTTAATAGCTTTAGTGTTTATTCTATTTTATAGTTTTGTTCTTTAATTTTCAAATAAATTAGCAATTTCTGTGAACAAATTAAGTTACAGAATCACCTGCCTATGTTTATGAATTAATGTTTTGCTAATATAATCTACAGTATAGACAATATTCTTGTTGATGATCAACAATTCCAGCCATAATTAGGGATAAACAACTTACTATCCAGCAACAGGAGAGTCATGAGGATTTTCCCGTAGACAAGCAGCATTAATAATGCTCTGAAAACAGAGAACAGCTTTAGGGCAAAGTACATCAAGGTGTAAAAATGTAGAGGTGAAAAAATACCCACATATGGAGAAAATGTATAAGTAGCCATGTATCTATGTGATGTGGATAATTGTTACAATTCTGTAACTGAATAAGCGTAAACACTGTGATTTCAATACATCATTCACTTCTAAGGCACTGATTTATATCATTTTGCTAAAATAAAATGATCAGTACATAATTCATAGCAGGATATTTTCTTGTTTAACAAATTGAAATACTTTGGTTTGTAACTAGCCGTGTGAAAAGCTCATAAATATTAATGAAATATTCTGAAATGTTCTGTTTATTGTCCATGAATAGTCGTGGAAGATAGTAAAAGAACTTGATTCAAAGTAAGCCTTAAACTTCTGTAATAAAGACACACTCCATTGGAAATTTTCCTGTAATGTCATGGTTTTATCTTTTGTTATTCTTTTTCATCAGTAATATAGAACATTGCAGTGAGGTGATGGAGAAATAAAGGTCTTAGACTACTAACCACAGCAAAATTCGTTGCTTACATGAGGCTTAATGATCTTTACATTTGTTAAGTATTTGAGTATGTAGATAGTCCTTTACCATCCTCAACCAGAATGTGATACTTATTTAGATTCATACACTCAGGAGATTGTATTAAACATGAGCAAAAGTGTGGTTGTTGATATAGAATTATTTCTTAAATATACAGATTTTAAAATTTGAGTATAATTTAAGAAAGTAAGAATTTAGCAGCATAACTCAGCGAGAATCAATGTTTTAAAGGAAAACATTTTTGAGATTGTTAATGTAGCTATATTAGTCAGTCACACCTCGTTCTCATTTAGTTGACCCCTAACCAACATCAGTCACAAGCCTTATTGTGTAAAAGGAAGTTAAGTGAGATATGAGTGAGGTAGAAGATACAATTTTGATCAGTATACAATTATCAGAGTAATATTTTTAAAACACCTGCTTCTTGAGATTGATTTCACAGCTTTGATCTTTTAAAAGCAACCTAGAACAAATAAGCCTCCTGCCATCATAAATAATAGTATTTAGCAATGGTTCCAAACATGTGTATTACCATGTACATTGGCTATTTCAGCCTTTTCCAACTCTTGTTAATAATGGATGCAATAACTATAAACTGTAGTACAATGCTGAAAGTACAAGTCTTACAGTTACATAATTTATCTTTTTTAGGTAATTAATTATGATTCAAGTATGGAGAGATCAGATTATTAAGAATTCCATCTCCTTCATGGGAATCTTCTCTTCACTTTTGATTTTCTGAAGACTACAAAAATCTTGTGCTGCCCAAAAGAGGTGTCAGTCTGATTTCCATAAACAACTGGGAAAGGTCCAGTGCCTGAATTGCAGGCTCCTACTGCTTATTATTTTGGTGCACAGTATCACTGCAGAAGCTCCCCAGACTGGCAGGTCTTTCTTTCAATATGAAACCATTCTAAGGCAGTTTTCCATTCTAGTAAAATAAGGAGAGTTCTCCCACTGCTTCCAGGCAAAATTAGAAAAAAAAAATCTTTGTGAATTTGGATTTCACATATATTTTTTAGATAAGATACCAAAAGCAAAATTCCTTTAAAAAGATGCATAGGATTTCATCAATATTAACATTTCTTTGCTTTTAAAGACACTATTAAGAGATTAAAAACACAAGCTAAACCTGAGGAAAAACATATGCAAAACACAAATTTGATAAAGACCTGTATCTAGACTACATTAAAAGTTAAAAATATTCATGGGCTGGGTGTGGTTGCTCATGCCTGTAATCCCAGCACTTTGGGAGGCCAAGGTGTGTGGATCACCTGGGGTGAGGAGTTCAAGATCAGCCTGGCCAACGTGGTGAAACCCCGTGTCTACTAAAAATACAAAAATTAGCCAGGTGTGGTGGCACGCGCCTGTAATCCCACCTACTCAGGAGGCTGAGGTAGGAGAATTGCTTGAACTCGGGAGGCAGAGGTTGCAGTGAGCCGAGATCGCACCACTGGACTCCAGCCTGGATGCCAAGAGCAAAACTCTGTTTCAAAAAATAAATAGAGAAATAAATACTCATAGCTTCATAAGAAAATGCTCAAATAAACAACAGCAAACTAACAAAACAATTAAATAGGCTAAAAATTTGAGCAAAAGATAAATGGATGACAATTTAACACATTTAAGATGCTCAACATTATTACTCTTTGGTAAAATGTAAATTAAGACCACAATAAAATATCACTACACACATATTTGGATGGATTAGAACAAACATACAGCTGAAAACCTGGCTATATCAATTGAAAAAAAATTAGAATACTCATACATTATTGGTAGGACTGCAAAATAGGAAAGTCACCTCAAAAATATTTTGGCAGTTACTTTTAAACACATTCAAGAAACAACAAGGAGGCTCTTTCAGTTTTTAAATATAAAAAATTTTAAAAAGAACTAGTGGGAAATTTGGAGACAACGCCCTCCGTAAATTTTAGGGAAGGCCTTCCAGAAAAAAAAGAAGCTTAATTTATTTTTTCTATGAAGAGTCAGCTATTTGAGAGTTTTGATTGGGGTAGGGAAAGTAAAAATTATTATTTTGTCTGTTCTTTGGTACCTCTGAATTATAGAGGTACCAAAAAGATACATAGGATTTCATTAACATTTCATCTGTAATCCAGAGGTACCAAAGAAAAATCAAGTACACAGGTTAGATAACACTGCAATTGTCTATGAGGAAATCATCAATAGATTAAGTTTATAGATTTGTAGGTAGAGTGAAATGGAAGGATTTCACATGTGTTTTGAAAGGATAAGAACAAATATTTTCTGATTTACAGCTTTGTGGCTGTAGCAACTGCATAAATGATAGAACATTTGATGAGAAGGGTAATAATGGGGGAATAAAATGTTCAGGGAAGATGGGATTCTAGTGGCAAACAAGATTTAAGATTAATCTAATCTTAATCTTAAAATGTAAGAACTTCTCCTTTCATTAAGCTATGTTTCTCTGTGTCCACGTAGACACTTGAAAGAGTTTTCTAGGCATGGTTACTGCAATGCCGATGGCCATGTCTATGTCAGGATTATGGAACTTCTTATCAAAAAGCACCTTCCTAACAAAACCCACCGTGCATCCCCTTTAGCACATCCAAACTGTAGTGTAAAAAATAGATGGTGTTAAGATAAGCTGGGAAACAAGTACAGAATAAAGGAAAAATGAAATCTTGCCAAAAGTATAGAGTAGATTAAGAACCAATAAACCTGGAGGAATTCCTTGCAAATAGAGCAAATACTTTTGTATTTATTTAGAGTATGTGTTGCATGATTGCATTCATGCAAATAGTAATCAAGTGTGAAAAATGTAGCCATTTCAGATCAACTCTACTAGGCATGGCAGGCCCAAGTTTTCTTTTTTGTACCCAATAGAAATACATCACACTTTGGAATTTCTGATAGTGAATTTGAGGCTCCTCTGGCCATTTTTTCTAGACTGCAAGGATCTTTGTGTTTCATATTGGTCTAGGTGAGAAAAGACAAATTGTGCAAGTTTAAGATGAAGAGCAGAATTTAGTAGCGTACATTTAATTGATATCTAGAGGGCTAGTTTTACATTAACTGTGTTTCATACATATAAGGCAATCTCACTGATTAATCTCTTCATTTGAAGAATTCTATATAACAGTCTTGTAATTTGAGATATCAGTACATAGTGGGTAGAAGGGAACCCAGCTTTTCTTTCTACATGGCATTAGGCCTGGCAAGATGAAGGCATTTATGTCAAGAATAGTGACATAAAAGGGAAGGTGTGAATTTTTTCCCGAGGAGCAGGCTTCCTTCAGTGAGACTGAAAGGAGGTAATGCTAGGTAGCCCCTTTATCAATTCCCTCAAAAGTATGTTTATGTGGTATGTGTCATGTCATGGCTCACCATCTTTTTTTTTTCTTTTTTTTTTTTTCTTTTTTATGAGATGGAGTCTCGCCCTGTTCCCCAGGCTGGTGTGCAGTGGCATGATCTCGGCTCACTGCAACCTCCGCCTCCCGGGTTCAAGTGATTCTCCTGCCTCAGCCTCCCGAGTAGCTGGGATTACAGGCACCTGCCACCACGCCCGGCAAATGTTTGCATTTTTAGTAGAGACGGGGTTTCGCCATTTTGGCCAGGCTGGTCTCGAACTCCTGACCTCAGGTGATCCACCTGCCTCAGCCTGCCAAAGGCTGGGATTACAGGCGTGAGCCACCACACCTTGCCATGACTCACCAATTTTAATACAAATTAAATTTGTATTAAATTTGCATGAATTTTAGTACAACTTTGGCTCTTCATGAGGAAAGGAGAATGGTCTGCATTAATGAACTAGTTTATATCTAATTCACTATCTACAAATTTTATTTTAGTAAAATTGGGAGGCCATGAAACCTGTGTGTTTTATCCGAGCTTTATCCACTAGGTTTCCTGCCCTGATATCTTCCTTCAACCCTTAACACTGCGTATGGTCTCATTTAAGCTATATAGAAAAAAATTGGAACCCCATGTATAGCTGGCTATTAAATATGCTTATGTTGGAGTCAACCACAATTTCACAAGGTGAACAAATACACTAGTCAGTGCTATTAGGTGATTCAGATGTTCTCAGTAAGTGTCATGCAGACTGTAGCACATATGGTCACAATTCTTTATGTTCTCAGTTAAGAAGTAGAAGAGAAAACTAACAGTCCATGTGTACTTGGGACTTACTGCACTAAAAAACATTCTAACTTAGAAAAGAGATACCAACCTTCCGCCTACCTTGTCCCCCCAAAGGTCAGTTAATTTTCTGCAGTTTGGAGAAACCGTAGTAGTACTGATAAAATTGTGTTTGGATAAGCATGATACTGTCTGTGTGCTCAAGGCCGAAAGACTCTGAACTACCTCCTTAATTCGGCTAGGGACACACTAAGTGATGTTAGATACAGAATCAGAGGGTGACTGACATTTCACTTTTTCTGAGACACTGAGGAGTAGAATTCTCAATGAACTTGACACCTCAAATGATTATTTTCTCTCTAGGTGGATGAGAGAAAAATGCTAAAGCCTAGTGTGTAGTATCCTGGCGCTCGGGATGAACATAGAAGCTTTTGCTTTTTTGTTGTTTTTTTGTTGTTGTTGTTGTTGTTGTCTTTTTTGAGACGGAGTCTCACTCTGTCTCCCAGGTTGGAGTGCAGTGGTGCTATTTCGGCTCACTGCAAGCTCTACCTCCCGGGTTCACGCCATTCTCCTGCCTCAGCCTCCCGAGTAGCTGGGACTCCAGGCGCCCGCCACCACGCCCGGCTAATTTTTTTTTTATTTCTTATTTTTAGTGGAGACGGGGTTTCATCGTTTTAGCCAGGATGGTCTCGATCTCCTGTCCTTGTGATCCACCCACCTTGGCCTCCCAAAGTGCTGGGATTACAGGCGTGAGCCACCGCACCTGGCCGAAGCTTTTGCTTTTTGCAAGTGGTTATAGGGTAGAAGAATAAAATATTGGAATCAGCTCCATAAGAATTGTGAACCAAGATCTTCCAGTAACACTGCTGAGAAGACCATGGTAACTTCTTTTAATATGTCTTATATGTGGCTTGAAAACAAAACAAAACAAAACAAAACAAAAAACTCTTGAAGATTTAAGATGTCTTTATTTGAATGTTCCAAAATTTCACTGTGATAAGCTTGGTATAGATGTTTCATTCTCATTAGCCAATTGGTTGGAAGGCTCTTTCAGTCTGGGCACTAGTAACCCTTAGTTCTAATAATTATTTTGATACATATTAAACTTTTTTGAACTTCCGCTCATCTGTTTTCACTGTTCCCTCTTTCTGAGACCCCTAGATTGAACCACCAATTTTCACATACATTCTCTCTGTATTTCTCTTTTTGTGTTCTTTAATTCTATTTCTTAAATGATTTCTCTTTCAGAAGTTCTACAGATTTTGTTAAACATAAGGTATCATGATTTTCTTTTTCAAATAACTTTCTACTGACTTTCTAATTTCACCTTTATTATGTTAGATCAAGTCTCTGCTTTCTATCATGTTTACTTCTGTTTCCTCTTAAATATGTTTCTCAGTAAAGGTGCATGGATCATAACTTACAATAAGCAACATTCTTATTTATATCTTTACTTTTAATTGAAAGTTTAAGGCTGTGGTTCAGTTTTCAATTCCTTCCACATAACAGCCCACCATACCCACAATCCGTATCTGTAAAACCCAGAATCATCTCACTGGTTTCTCCTATGTAGATTAATTCTCACCACCACTGAAGACTTCTTTTGCGTATCTTCTGCTTAGCATTTGGCTTTATTTATTCTCATCCTTTTATGCTAGTGTTCTAAACTGGTGACTACTGAAAAAATATAATTGTCCACTCAAATTACTTTCTCATTACTCCTGCAAGCAGGTATTGGGGTTGTGGTGGTGTTAAGAGCTGGTTTGAGTGGTTTTAAATTATTTTTCTATCTTAAGTATACCATTTTTTAAAAAATACTATGACATAAACCTGAAATACTACTGTTATATTGATACTTATATTTTTTTTCCTGAATTTTACTGTTTTGATTTGATTTGTTTAACTTGTATTGGTAGTAAGATTCTGTGTATAACATCATTGTTTCATCTTTGGCTGAGTAGAAGCTAATTTTTATAAAAAACCAGAAAACCCTAAGTCAGAAATTTTACTTGCATTCCAAACCTAACAAGGATTATGACCTAAATCTACATTCTGATAAAATCTATTAACAAATTTTCTCAGATTTTTCTCATTTAAATAATTTCATTATGTATTGAAAGAAATTATCAGCAAAACAACCCATAAGAAGTCAAATCATACCTGTAACCTTTAAAGAATTAGAACACAAGGGCTGGGCATGGTGGTTCACACCTGTAATCCCTGCACTTTTGGAAGCCAAAGCGGGGAGATCACTTGAGCCCAGAAGTTTGAGACCAGCCTGAGCAACATAGCAAGATCCCGTCTCTACAAAAAATAAAAGAAAAATTAGCCAGGTAAAGGGGTGCATACATGTGGTCCTAGTTACTCAGGAGGCTGAGGTGAGAGGATCTTTGAGCCCAGCAGAGATCGTGGCTGCAAGTGAGCCATTATCAGGCCACTTCATTCCAGCCCAAGTGACAGAGTAGCAAGATCCTATCTCAAAACAAAACAAAACAAAACAAAACAAAACAAAACAAACATGGGGTACATTGTTATTCCTCAATGTCTTCCTATAATACACTTGGAATTATAGGAAGTTAATTAACTATTTTTTACTCAAACATTTTCAAAGCTATGGTTCTAGCGCATACAAAGCGAGAATTATAATCCTATTAAAACATATAATTAAGCAGATCACATTATGGCCAAGGCACACACACTAATAATACATTCTGAGGAAAAAAATTCCTATTATATTTATAAGAATAAAACAAAAATAAATTATTTACTCAAAAGATATTATGAGCAATTGTTAAAAACTTTTGACCTATGATTTATCACTGTTATTGTTATATTTACACCAAATTCTCTAGTTCACACAATTACTGAAACTGTTGGTATCATAAACATCTAATTAGAATGGAAACTTTCTGTTCTGAGGAGAGAAAAATTGGAAACAAATTTCCAAAGAGTACTTCTTTACTATTTATATTGCAAAGTTTGCAAGGCTTCATAGGAAGCTGTCTATTTATGATTATATTATATTTATTGTATATGTTTATGATTATAGCTCTTTTTTTGTTTGTTCGTTTATTTTTGAGGCAGAGTCTTGCTGTGGATCCCAGGCTGGGGTGCAGTGGCTTGAATTCGTGAGCTCAAACCATCTGCTCTCCTCGGCTTCCCAAAGTGCTAGAACTACCTGTGTGAGCCACTCTGGCCAGCCTATTTATGATTATAGTTATAATTATATTTGTGATTATATGGTTTTTTGTGTATAAGTATGGTAAGCAGGAGTAGCGTGCAAAATTGGAATAAGACAAAGAAAGCTCTCTCCTTTCCCTGACCTAATGCCTTCTTTGGGATTTTTCAAGTAGTAGCACTCTGTCTCTCAACATTTCTTTGGAAGTGTACTAGTTCATAAATTGTTGATTAAGAAACATGGAAATCAAATTATATGTCTTTATTCATAGATGGTCATAATATTTGTAAACTAATCAGAAAAAATTCTTCTATTTGGTAAAAATATATTTATAATTAGAATTGCTTGAGATGTTTGTCATCTTTTCTTATTGTTTTCTTATTCGCTTGTATAATACATTAAATAACTACTTGCACATTAAGGCTCATTATAAAAGATGTGTGCTTGATAAGTTTGATTTTCTAATTGAACACAAACCAGAAAGTGAGGTGTATTCTTCAGTAAAGAGAGATTTTAGCTCTTTCAAAGATGAGTCCTTTACTAATATATCATATTTAACAGCTGGGATGAGAGTGGAGGTACGGCAAAGAGGTTGACTGTTTCAATCTAGGAGATAGCATCATTATGTTCCTATTGCTTCCTCATTCTATTCAGCTCATAAAATCATTTTTTCATGTTTTCTTATGGAATTTAAATGTTTCTTAACATATTCTAAATATGTGTTTGTAAGCAAAAAAATCATCATGTGCCAGAAAAAATTACAAGTTTGGCTAGCCAATGCTTTCAGCATAGTTTAATAAGAAAACTTCAAAATTAAAATCATGATATTTCAGTTCAGGTAATAATGTCAGCATATTCAATAGACTGACTATATTTTTGAGATATGCCCTTTGAACCACTCACTCAAAAAATAAATAGGAATGGTCTTTAGAAGTTCTATCATATAGTCAAGATGTTATTTATGCTGTCATTTTTTAATATATGTTCTTCCTCATTTTAAAAGTATGAATACCTGTCTCTGCAAATCAATTGTGCATCTATGTAAATTTAAAATATTCTATGTATATTTAAAATACATTTCCTCTTTGTTGGCATAAGGCACAGGAAATGCAAATTGTCTTTATAAAAATTACCTAAGATTTCAGGCAACATTGAGGCAACAAAATGGAGAAATGATAACTAACTATTCTCTGTGAATATTGTTCAGTAGATATCTAATTATATTTTTATTTGTATGATAGCACTTTTTCTGCTTTACATATAGTTGATACTCCAGCAGCACTAATTTGAAAACACCTATTGAGATTTACATAATAGTTTACAAAATAAACTTTAAATAAATGGAAATTTCCTCACAGTGTAATAGAGTTCCACAGATAAGAGTACAAAAACATTCATCAAACACATTGATCTCCTATATTTGCCACTTCTATGCCAGGAATTGTTTTGTAGTTTGCATATCAGAGGTTTAATCTGATTGTAAAGCAAAATATTTACTGGGTCATGTATGCATCAGTAACTGCTCTTACAGATTGTTTGCCAGTACAATTATGGAATGTGAAATAACACCATTTGATAATTTTTTTTCCTAATAAAATATTGTGTTTCTTTCCCAGCAGAGCGCATAATGCTTTCCATCAATTTTGTGATCAGTATTCAAGCTTCTCCAAAAAAGTACACTGAGTGGTACAATTCCATCTCTTAGTTTCCTTTGAGAAAATACTAAAAGTATTTTCTGATTGTTTCAGACACTTAAATTGTAACACCAGAAAGCTCCTTCTTGTAAAAATGAAAAGTTTTCACACTCCTTCTCCTTTATTTGGACAAAGGATTGTTTCGTTAAAACTGTCATACAGATTCAATTCTCCAAGCCCAAACAGATTCATAATAGCTTGGTCTCCATAGGATCATTTTACTATGCATATTTATCAAGTTATTCTAAGTTGTAATGCTTATATTAATATTTTTATCTTAGCTTTCTCTTTATTAATTCAGTTTTTAACTGTAAAAATGCACATGAATGACAAAGAAAAATACAAAATTAATGTAAACAAGCATAATTATTTACCTACCTTAACCAACTAGAAAAAAAGTAACACAGAATAACAATTTTTAAACAATGAATAGGCAACACAAAACAGCAATCCCTGAAAGAAGCCTTAAAAAAAAAAGTGAGCATGACAATTTCATCAGATTACTATCTATCTGAAAACAATCCCCAAGCCATAATTCAGGAAGGGAAAATTCAAACAGAAGAAAGCAGTTGTTATGTTCATCTTCATATGTCAACTTTGCTAGGTTATGGTGTCTAGTTTTTGGTCAAACACTAGTCTAGATATTGATGTGAGGGTATTTCCTAGATGTGATTAATATTTGCACCCCATTGATTTTAAGTAAAGGAGATTGCCTTTGATAAAATGAGTGGACCTCCTACAATCAATGGAAAGTCCTAAAAGCAAATATTGGGATTTCCTGTAGAAGAAGAAATTCTGCTTCAAGACGTTAACATAGAAATGTTGCTTGAGTTTTGATTGTGCTGGCCTAAACTACAGTTTTCAGACTTGCCAGCTCTCACAATCAAGTGAGCCAATTCTTTAAAATAAGTAAACAAAAGCGCAAATATGATAAGGAAAAACATCAGACACATAAGTGATGAAATAAAAGTTCTAGAGATAAAAATAGATCAGAGATTTTTAAAATAACCTGAAATGAATTAATATCAGAAGCAAAATGTCAATGAAATTAAAAATATACCAATAGAAACTCTCCAAATGATGCAAAAAATATGGAAGAAAATTCACAGAGGATCAATGACACATGGGACAATCTCAAATTCTCTAAAAAAATGTGTAAATGGACTTGCATAATAGGGAGAAGGATATAAAAAATATTTGAACAAAAAATGAACAAATATGATAAAAATATAAACCAAGACATCTAAGAAGCTAAAAAGCTACTCGAGCATAATATACATAGAGGAAAGCATATAAATGCATTTTAATTGAAATACATAGACCAAGTAATACAGAAAAATTTCAGAGCAGCCAGAAATAAAAATAATTTATATATAAATGAGTGAAGAAAGATAGTGAACTTCATATTAGAATATGTGCGAGCCAGAGGCAACTGGACAGCATCATTAGAACACAAAGAAAAACAGAAGACAATATGTCAACTTGAAATTTCAAGCACAACGAAAACACCTTTGAAAAATGAAAGTAAAATAAAGTACTTTTCAGCTAAACAAAAGCTGAGAATATCCATTGCCTACATACCTTCACTATAATAAATATCAATTGAATGTTTTTAAACAAAGGAAAAATTTGCCAGATGAAATTTTGGATCTGCCCAGATAAAGAGTGCCAGAAATTGCAAATATTTGAGTAAATGTAAGAATATATATTTTTCCTTTTAAAAAAACTCTCTTTAGAGGTTAATGAAAGGAATTCCGGGTACCAAGGCAACAGCAGAAATTTAGCTTTGATATTCCCAATTTCTCTTCTACAAAACAATGAAAACTAATTTCTATTATTGGTGTGAGGATATTTATATACCCAGTGGAGAAAAACACAAAATACAGAAGTAAGACCACATACTTAACAGCCAATTGTTTTTTAACAATGTGCCTGGGTAATTAATTTGGGAAGTAGTATTTTTTCAACAAAAGGGCTAAAAAATGTTACTTATATAAAAAAAAAAGGAATAAGGTCGACATTACATCGTACACAGAAAAATAAAAATAGACCATAAACCTAAAGGTAAGCCAAAACTAGAAAACTTCCAGAAGAAAACAAGAGAATGTTTTTGTGGCATTACGATAAACATAAAGTTATCAGTTAAGACAGGGCAAAAATATCCATGATGCATTAAAAAATAAATAAAATGATCTTTTTCAAAAATAAAAGTGTTTGCACTTTAAACAATACATTTAGGAAAAATAAAAGGTAATTCCCAGATATGAAGACTATATTTATAATGTATGTATGTGATGAAGGATATGTATCTAGAATGTATGAGAAAGTCTTATCATTCAATAATAAGACAGATAACCTGATACAAAAGTGGGCAAAATGTTTGAATAGAAAGTTATGATGAGTTTTTTAAAAAAGAGTAGATATGCAAATGGAAAGTAAGCCTGTTAAAAATAATATTTTCATCCACTAGGGCAATAGAAAATGAAATTATAGTGGCATAGCACTACACACTGACTAGCATGGCTAAAATGAAAAAAAAAAAAAACTGACAAAAGCATTTGTTAATGAGAAAATGGAGCAACTGAAATTCTGTATTGCTGGTGGAATGCACAATGATGCAGCCATTTTGAAAAATAATTGGCAATATCTTACCAAATTAAATATGTTTATATGATATAGCATTCCCACTCCTAGATATTTATACTAGATAAATAAAAACATATGTCCACACAAAGGTTTGTACTTCAGTGCCCATAGCAATTTTATTCATTATAGCTAAAAAAGCTGGAAACATACCATTGTTCAAAAAGAGGTGAATATGTAAACAAAATTTCATATGTTGACATAAAATTAAATACCAATAATACAAGCAAAAGAATTACTGATACATAGAACAACTTGGATGAATCACAGAAGCACATTGCCAAATAAAGGAAGCCCCAAACAAAAGAATGAATATATATTATGAAATTCAATTTCTATGAAATTCTAGATTCTAAGGCAGAACTACAGCATCAGGAAGCAAACAAATGGTTTCCAGGAGCTCAGGTGGGTATAAGGAATTGTCTGCAATAAAATACAACAAAACTTTTGGCCTAATGGAAGTGTTCTGTATCATAATTCTGATGATGGGTACAATACTGTATAGATTTGGCAAAATTTACCAAATAGTATACTTAAAATCAATATATTTTATTATATGTAAAGTATACAAGAATGAGGCAGCTTGAAAAGAGAAATATAATTGATACTCTATTAATCACCAATTTAGTGCCAAGACTTTTCTGTACTTGTCCTCGTTGTAATTAGTGATGACCCAAGATGGGTATAAAACTTCTGAAACTGCTTTATGAGAATTACAAGGAGTCTGAATCTCTCTCTTCCATCAGGATTCAGATTGTCTTTCATGTTCATCCTTCCTGTTGTTTATGCTATTCTCACTTTCAATTCTATTACATTTGTGTGTGTGTGTCGGGGGTGGTGGTGCAAAGTAGGGAATGATAGGACACAGATTTATTTCCTCTTAAGATAGGCAGACAAAAACTCAAGCCACAGTATTCACATTATTTGTCATATGGAGATAAGTTTATTTACAGAAAAAAATTAATATTTGTTAGGCCAGGTTGTGCTAACGAATGATCATTTATTTATTCTTCATATTTTTAAAATGATAGCTATGCACAATAGATAGGTATTTAGACTAATTTTCTAGACTGTAGCACTAAAAATAATGTGGAGGAAAATTCTAAATAAACAGAATGTTTTCATCGTTTGCAACAAGAGAACATGAAATGCAAAATTAAAGAATTATCCCCTGTACAATCCCAATTTAAAGATGAGGAAACCAAGGCTCGTTGTAGCTAAGATATTTGATAGCTAATAGATTGCAGATATGAAGTTATGGTAGTCAGTGAGATGCCCTTTACATTAGATTATTTTCAAATATATTCAGTCAATAATTTTTGGTCTGTATAGGCAGAATGAAGATAAGTTCACCAGTTATAAGAGCTATATAGCTGTTGACAAAAATTTGTGATACAGATGATTGCAGAGATGTGAGATTCTCCCTACCTGTCAGTTGTTCCTAGTTAAAAACTAAAAGTTCATAGGGTCCATGAATGCCACAGATGTGAACTGAAGGGGATATTGTGATGGGTCTCTGTAATCACTGCTGATGCCCATACATCATTCTTGATTGTAAATACACTCAAGTGAGTCTTCTGGAAATATTTCTTCTCATAAAACTGCAAATCCATGGTTACAAGTTAAGTGTGTGCATATATTTGTGTGTATTATATATATATTTGATACCTCACATCATGTATACATATATAATGCATACACTACATATATACACAAATGTACACATAATGTGAGATATACATTCTCTATATACACATTTTAAAGATAGATGTCTAATATATTAGGAGTACGTATCCTAAGTGTTCAAAACCTGTGCCTTAACTTTTAAATATTGGAGAAAAAATAAGCCATTTAAACATGATTAACAAAGTTTGAGAGAAAAATAAATACATTTATATTGAATAACTTAATTTCAGATTTCAACTTTAAATAGTGTTTTTCCTCCATCAGTGTAAGTGCTTGATGCCAGCTTGTGTGATATTTAAATTCATACTTTTGAATAAGTTTGAATATCTTTCCTCAATAATTTGACAGTTTAATCAGTAATGTCAGGAATAAATGTAAATTAACAATGAAGTAGAGTAAGATGCAGCTTTATAATTTTTTGTTAATATTTCTAGCTGTAACATTGTATTCAAAGAGATTATAAAATGTCTTAGTGAAATGAACAGGCTGTTATGCTCATTAAGAGCTCTTAATTAATTTACTTCCTTCAGGTGACATCCTTGCACACTGATTTAGGACACTGCACAAATGACAAAGATGCCACTGGGTCATTAGGAAGGTTATTTAATGAATGCCTAACCTAATAAAGCACTGTGTGAATCATTTAATTGGATGAGTTACTTAAACAACTGTTTTGTTCTGTTTTAGTTTAGTTTGGTTGTTTTTTCTTTCCTACTCCTTTCATCTCATGTACAGAGGTGACTTTTTTTTCTTTGTTATCATTTTAATACTATGTAGAAAAATAGAATTGAAATTGAAGTAACCTTTAAAATACCAATTCTTATTAGTCCTCAAAGTAATTTAAAATGTTAGTAGGGCCATTATTTTTTCTCTATATGATTTATTGTTTTTTATTGCTTCTCATTTACTATAAAAATGATGACATGTTTAGCTATTAATATTTGCTTGTGAAATACATGTATGTGGTGGTTTACAAACCACACTGATTTCAAAACACTTCATAAAAGGAAGAATAGCAAAGATGACGATAATTGGCAGGTACAATAATTGGCAGATGACGATAATTTTCTGTTTAAGTAGTAATGGCTGACTTGAATTGGCAATTCAACAGGTGGCGACAAGCTTTATTGGTTCTAAACATGGTTTCTATTAATTTTTCAGATAACAAAGAAGGTTATTATTTTAAAACATCTAGGTCACAGCAAGGATGGAAAGCTGCATAAAAGAGGATTTACTTTTACTATAATCCTCCTTTCTCCCAAATCTCATAGATGTTAGAATAATGTTATTCCAGGAAAGATGCCTCTGATAGATAGAACTGAACATTCCTGGTATTAAAAATTACTCTCAACTTATAATGATTTTGGAAGAGTCAAATACATGTGTAAAGTTTTCCTCTATTTAAAAAATAACCTGGTATAGTAAGTGATTGCTCATGGTTTATTGAATCTCTAAAACAAACTATTCTAAATATGTTTGAGTATAATAGGAGTAATTTGAAGATGAGGGAAATTCACCCTGTTCTTCCTAATTACTTATTCTTCGCTGTACATTTCCTTTGTCTTTATTCTGCTTTGCCCTGACAGTTATGAAATTTAATTCCTCTTTATTTTACAGTGGAAAAGTTATTTAAGAAAAAATCCTTTTGCCTCTACATGCTTCAGGTTGAATGTTTTCTTCTGACCTAGATTTAGTTTATTAATTCTTCTTTTTCTTCACGAGATCCTCTTGCAAAAATAAATAGCTACAGTTTTTTTTATAATAGGCAAACATTATTTATTTATATATGTTGCAATCACTGAAATTTACTTTTGTCATGTTGGTGTGTTTCTTATTTACTGGGTTTTCTTGTTTCTTTAATTCCGAACATTTCCTTCCCAACACAAAATTCTTCTACAATTTTGTAGATCACAATTTGCCAGGAATTCCAGAATGATTCTTTCTTTGTCAACCAAACTCCTTTGACAACACAATTTGGAACAGAAATTGAGTTGGTTAATAGACCGATTCTACTGCTCTGCTTCTTTGGCCTGAGGACATATTCTCAGACTATCTAGTTAAGGAGAATTTTTCTGGTAGCTAAACTTTTTAAAAGGTGGTTATTATTTACCTTAGTATTTGTCCCCAAACTCTTTTCTACTCTTTCCCTTCATAACTTGGATTTTTAAGCAAGTAAATCACGTAGTCTGACCTTGGTAGTTGCCTTTTCCTGTGTGTGCCATGTTTGTTTGGCTTTGAGTATTATGTATAGTTTATTATTATTTTGGGGCTAACTCTTTCTCTGCTCTGTTGTGACTATAAATTTTGTCTTGTATTCTATTTGTGTTCCAGAAATTCATCAGTGTTTCTTTTTTTCTGTTGTTGTTTTGTATATGTATATTGGGTGGTAGCTTTATTGTTCTTGTTTACATCTTTCTGCCACTTCAATAGACTTTGAAGTGAGATGGAGGTAAATGTATCCCAGCCTTTATTCACTCAAACAACTATTGATTGTGGCCTAATTTGTGTCAAACATTATTCTAAGTGTTGGAGACATAATAGTGAATAAAACAAATTTCCTAATCTAATGGCCCTGGCATCATAATATGTGCTAAGAGAGATAAGTGCATCTAATATATTGATAAAACTATACTATTTAAAATACTGTGTTGCACTATTAATAACAACAAAAGATAAGGCAGGATAAGCAGGTAGAGATTGAAAAGAGGGAGGTGCCATTTCAGATACAATCATCAGGATCAGAGAAAGCTCCTTTGATAGTAGTCATTTTCTCAGTCACCTAAATGAAGTGAGGGATAAGCAAAAAGGAAAAGAATCATGAGAAGTAGTCATAAACATATTAGATAATGGAATACAATTAAGGAAGGCAAATAAGGATAATTTTGGCATACAAGAGAAAAATCTAAGGGATGGTGGTTGCCAAAACTTGAAGCCTTCTTCCCCATCAGATAAGGAGCATTCTGAACCATATGGCACATTTGGAAGACTTACATACTCCTCAACATCTAATGCCTTGGCTCAAACTTAATTCTTCAGGAGTGCTTCCATGGAGAGAAGGTTATTAGAATTAATTCTGCAGAGACAATATTTAAAAAGACAGCTTGAATACAGGAGCTGTGGGATCTATATCCTCTGTCATTTTCAGAATAGCACACTCATAACGGCATAGGGAAATGAGATTTAAAAATAAAATGGATAAATTTTCAACAGTGGAAAGTTATCTGGTATCTGAAATTATTACCAAGGATTTAGGGTTTAGATTACTGAAAATTGAGAAAACAATGTAGATTCAAATCCTTACCACCACAGAATGGGACATTCCACAATGTAATACAAATGAAAAACTGGCAACAAAGAACTTAGTACCAAGAATGTATGGAAATATGAAAGAAAATGTTGACTACTGGCTAAATAGGATGAATTAGGATTTAATGGATATAATAATTTCCTCTTTTTAAAAATTTTAATAAACCAGCAATAAGATAATGTATAAAGTAACATAGACAAATAAAACCAAATAGAAGACAAAGACACGTAAGTTTCTTTAAAAGATTGGAGGATGGAAAACAGAAGGAAGGGAGGTAAATCCTGCTAACAGCAGAGCAGAGGAAGTTGAAATGTTTTAGCTGTCTACAGGAAAATGAAGTTAAAAAAAAGATTTTTGTCGTCCTTGTTTGTTTGTTTGAGACAGAGTCTCTGTCACCCAGGCTGGAGCGCAGTGGCGTGATATTGGCTTACTGCAACCTCCGCCTACCAGGTTCAAGTGATTCTCATGCCTCAGCCTCCCAAGTAGCTGGGATTACAGGCATGCACCACCACACCCGGCTATATTTTTAGTACAGACAGGGTTTCACTGTGTTGGCCAGGCTGCTCTCGAAGTCCTGACCTCAAGTGATCCATCTGCCTTGGCCTCCCAAAGCACTTGGATTACCACGCCCAGTTCCTCAAAAGGTTTTTGAATCTCAAGAACCCAAATAGGCTGTAAAATTAGTTGCAGAAAATACCTCTGAAGCTTCAATGTTTATGGAGCTGAAAAGTGGTGATCTGATTGACACTCTGTATGTTAATTAACACTCTCAAGATTTCCACCAACAACCCCCACTAGAGATATAATTGCTTCTCATCCACAGTGGTCTATGACAAAAATTTACTATATGCAAAAGATGTGCCTAAGAAAATGTAGAATTTGGAAAATCAAAAACAACTGTGTTAGGCAAAGGTGACAGTAAGCAATATCTGCATACTGAATGGTTGGACATTGCACCAGCTGATTTCATCTTCCTGATTCCCATGGTGAGGGAATCTAACTGGGATAGTGAGGCATCTAACTGGGAAAATAAGGTCTTAGAATAAATACAAGGAAAAAACAATAAAGTAGAGAAAATTAGTGAATCATCAGAAAACCTAAAAGCACACTGCTCTCTACAAAAACATCAGGAAGTCTCCATGTCCCATGGTGCAGTGTGCAAAACTGGAAATTGGAAGTTTCATTGGTGGAAAAAAGTGAGTAGCCAGGTATTAATGTTTAGTGGTTTCCCATTAAAATACCAGACATGGCCAGGCACGGAGGCTCACACCTGTAATCCCAGCAATTTGGGAGGCCAAGGTGGGCGGATCACCCGAGGTCAGGAGTTCAAGACCATCTTGGAGAACATGGTGAAATCCTGTCTGTACAAAAATACAAAAAAAAAAAAAAATTAGCTGGCATGATGGTGGGTGCCTGTAATCCTAGCTACTCAGAAGGCTGAGGCAGGAGAATCGCTTGAACTAGGCAGGCGGAAGTTGCAGTGAGCCGAGATCACGCCATTGCACTCTAGCGTGGGTGACAGAGCAAGACTCTGTCTCAAAAGAATAAAGTAAATAAATAAATAAATAAATGAATAAAAAACACCTGATGTCTAGTTAATTCACATATGATGAGGAAAGAAAGTCAACAAACGCTACTCATATAAACATCACCTGATTTCATTTTTAGTGATCCATTATTAAATCCAAAGGAAAAAAAAAGAGTAAGTTACATTTGAGTGAGGCATCTAACTGGGAAAATAAGGTCTTAGAATAAATACAAGGAAAAAACAATAAAGTAGAGAAAATTAGTGAATCATCAGAAAACCTAAAGGCACACTGCTCTCTACAAAAACATCAGGAAGTCTCCAAAAAGAAACAAGCACTATAATCTGGAATATTCAAAGAACAAGAGTAATATTTTTTCAATTAAAAATTTGAACCCATACCCAAAAACACAGAAGTGCTGGAATTTTAAGCAATCTCTATCTCACAGAAGGTAGAAAAGCCCTAGTAACAAACATTGACAATATGAGCAAAAACTCTAAAAATCCAATCAAAGAAGGCTAACCTCATGTAAATAGATAGGCTTGAACAAAGAACAGAGAAAATGAAGATGATAAAATTATCACAAAATATGCAACAAAAAAATTCTATAACAGAAGAGTATGGGTCTTCAGTAGGATCTTCAAAAGACTCAAGACAATAACTAAAAATAGAATCCCCAAATATACCATTATGAGATTCTAGAAGATATATGTATATATATGGATACATCTTCTGTATATCTCTATATAGATATATATTGAAGATATATGTACTATATATAAATATAGATATATAGAAGATATAATTTATATATAGCCTATAGAACATATACACCATATATTTATATATAAATATATATTTATATATCTTCTCCCTATATATCTCTATATGTCTTCTAAATATTTATAGAGAGAGATATATAGAAGATCTATCGAGAGAGAGAGAGAAAGAAAGAAACAGCAGAAAGAAAGGGAAGGGATAAAAGAGTTACTTTCAAACATTCAGTAAGGAGAGTTGCATTGGGCTTTTCAAAAGTAATATTCCCTTTTAGCATAAAATATAAAGGATATTTCTAACTTAGAATTTGAGAGTTTTTAAAATAATTACACATATGTAAGGTAAAATTAAGACTTTTAAAATATTCAATGTCTCAAAAATACCACCTATGTACTATTTTTCAGAAGGTTGTATGATTTTATGATCCAGTAAAATGAGGGTCTGGGAAATAAGAGAATCAACGCAAGAGAGAAAGATGGGTAATTTGAAGAATGATATGAAGGGTGAAATAAAAGGAAATCTCTGAGTCCTATCCATCCAGAAATTCTAAAAGCAAACAGCAAGATGAAATGTGACCAGGATTCCAGAAACTTCCTGAAAATAGCCGTACCTCTCAGGCTTTTTATAACACTGGGTAGAGTTAAAGAAAAGTCTAGAAAATGTTAAGCAGATGTATATAAAGAAAAAAAATGGAAGAAATCATTGTCCAGGGCTGGACACTTGAGTGTGCAAACTTGGGTGTGCATCAGAATCTGCTGTGTGTTTATTAAGTTGCAATTTGCTGTATTGTGCTCTTCCCAACTCCAACCCCCAACATGCACACACAACACACACATCTGCCCAAGGGTTTAGTGTAATACTGGGGAAAGTAATGAGACTGGTTATGAGAGTATACCAAAGAAATGTTGGAAATAAAACAATAATTTTGCATGATGAGAAAAAACCTTTTCTGGGTTACTGACTAAAACAGAAAGCGGGCAGGAAGGTATAAGGCCCTTCTCCCTTTTCCAGCTTTGCTGTCTCCTTCAAGTACTTAAGACCAGAAATGAGATGTTAAGCTAAACTTAGAGAATATTTTAAAATTTAAATATGAGAGTAATGATGATGGGTATTGAGAAATTCATTTAGGAAGAATCCTACCAAAAGCTAAGTTGCCATACGGAGTTTCTCTAATGAGAGATATGTTGTTTTGGAAATACAAGACGTGGAGACAAAATAAATAAGGGAATTGTGTATGCTTTAATTTAGTTAACATTAGCCCCCAAATAATATTAGCTTTATTTTGTCTCTTACAAAAAAAGTAAAGTGAAACTTGGGTTATTTAGCAGCTCTGCGGAAATCAGGCGACTTCATTTCTGTTTCACTACACTAGTCTAGCACTGGCTGCCATCTTAAAAGTTATTTGATGCTCACAGATAACTGAGGAAGCTCTAACTGTTCTGGGATCTAGAGTGGCAGAAAGAAGAATGTAGGAGAAACACAATAGCACACTTCCCAACTTAGTGTCTTGCATGTGGGTTTTCCCCAAATCCCACACATTTCTGCTTAGATCTCATTGGTCTGAAGGTAGTTTCATGCCATACGTTGCTGCTGGTGAAGCACAGAAATGCCGTCTTTTAGCTAGGTTTTTGCATTTCTAAATAAGTTGTAGATTCTGTAATTAAAGAATGAGGATGTAAATGTTATTGGCAGGCAACTGGCAGGTGTGTCCCTGAAGCCCAATACAAAAGCTTAAATAGGAGTACTGTGTAATGTTTGCTATAGTTTGAATGTATTTATCTGTCTAAAATTCTTATGTCAAAAACTTAATCCCCAAGGCAATTGTATTAAGGCAATTGAGGGGTCCGTTAGGTGGTGATTGAATCACGAGGCCTCAACCCTCATGAACGAATTAGTTCCCTCTTGAAAGAGGTGCAGGGAACTAGCTAGCTCCTATGATCTTCTTGGAGACACAGCATTGGCCCCTTCTGCCATGTGAGGACACAGCAATAAGATGACATCTTGGAAACTAAGAGAGGATCTCACCAGACACCAAACAATGAGTTTAGGGAGAGAAGAGAGTTTCAGGAGAGAGAAATGAATGTGAGAAGTACAGGAGTTTCCAGGAGTCCAGATAATGAGTTCTTTTCAAGGGACTATATATATGTCCCTTCTCTAGCTTTGCCAGGAGAAGTTTAGAATATACAAATTCCATTTCAAAATAAGAAACCTCCTGTACAGTTTTGGGGGATGATAGATATATTATCCAAGCAATGCAAAATGATACATTATTAGCTGGAGTTTTTGGCTCCGAAGTCTGAGATAAAGCTACGTTAAGCAGGTTGAACCATCTGGGACTTCTTCATATGCTAAACTCCTAAGCAGTCTTAGACTAAACATGACAAAGCTCTATTTATCTCCCCCTACATTAATTCACAAACCTGACTCTCAGGCCAAACCACTGTGATGCAAGGAAATATAAAAAGCAGATCAACACACACACATGTCTGTCAACGTAAATGGAGAGGAGTCCTTGGCCTGGTGCCCAAGTTGAGCACGCACAGTACAGCTATTATGTGCAAGTTGCCCTCACATTGCCATGCCTGGCCACAGAGTGCTTTCCAGGGTACACATCTAGTACTTGATATGAAAGTTTTCAATTTTTCAGTCCATGACCTCACTGATTCTTTAAGGTAAGTACATTTACACAAGAAGCCCAGCTCCTAAAGAGGTTGTGTCTCTTGCCCTGATCAGAGTGGTTGAGCTGCTTTGTAAAACAAGGAGCCTGAGTCCATAGCATTCACTCTTAGCATTCACTCTTTCCCACTATGCTACTATTAATGTCTCGTTGACAAAATATTTTCATTCATGTTCTCTCAGTTGACCTTCTCAGCAAAACTGAGAAACACAAAGTAGGTATTGCCAGTATTTCACTATATAAGTTAGGAAACCAAGGTTCAGGGGATTTTATTCAATGTCCACAACAGCTAACTGGCAGAGTGGGGGTGACATGTTTTATAATCCCAAATCCAATTATCTTGCCACTCTGCTATCTCTCAAAATTTGTAAAGTTACTGCTGTTTTCTGTTTTTAACTCATATCTAGGCAGCTTCAATTCAGTCACATGCTTTGGAGAATAATATAATGCATTTCTTGAAGATCTGGGGTCATCTATTGGAGTTAGATAATGACTTGTACACTTATTTTACACATTACATTGCAGTTGATAATAAAATAGGAGTTCTGAAAACAGTAGAATCATTTGAGGCTTTACTAAATCATGTGGATCACTACCCATTTCTGTCTGGACATTTATAGATTCAGAATTCATTCATTTAAATATCAGGGCTCCTAAGTCAAATACACACACACACACACACACACACACTGAGTTTATTACAGAATTTGAGGTAGAATATATGTCCTTTAGTTAGGTTGCGTTTAAATTACTCATCCTGCCTATGGAGTCTGAAACAACAATATGGAAGAATAGGATTTCAAACATGTGAAACATTATTGTTGTAAAGCCAAATTAAGTAGATGGGAGATATTAAAGTTAAGGACTGAACAGAAAATGTATGGGACATAGATTCAGGAGATCTCAGCGAACTATAGGGAATGTTGGAAGAAGTTGTTGACACATACACAAAACAGTACTAGCATAATGCTGAGTCAATTTTCAACCCCAGCTTTTAAAAGCCAAAAGCAGTCTTTTAAAAAGAGTGACTGACATCTAATTAAGTTGCATTATGATCAGGAAAGACTGCCATTCCCAAACCTTTTACAAAGTCTTTATTAACTTACTCAAGTCTCAATGAAGTCGTTTTAAAGCCAGAGGGAAAACATAAAGAGGCATACATGTCTATTAAATATTTAAAAAGAAAAGAAACACTGTGCTCACTTAAGAAATATCACCACACTAAGTCATAATTTTCATTTTGCCATACATTTTTATCATATCTTTTTTTTCTCTTCTTGCCTTTATATTCTTTATTCACACATCTCCTTTATTTTTACTCTGGTTTCCTTTGACTTTGTACACAAACCTAGTCATGTACTTTAATACAGCTTATTTATTCCATGAATTCCCCATCCTAGAGTTTGTGATATATAAAATTGTAATTTCCGCTTTATAAACACAAAATACATTTCTGTAGTCAATAAATAGATTTAGTGTGTTATATTGAATTTATTTTCACATGTTGTTTTTAATTTCTCATTTTATCTTTCTGTCTTCATTTTTTATTCTCTATAAATATATTCTACACTAAATACTTCATCAAGGTTTTGAAGGTAATACATTTTGTTAGCTTTTTTATGTCTGAAAATATGCACCTTGATTAATACATTTGGCTGAATATATAATTTGAAGTGATAGTTACTTTCATTCAACATTTTGAAGACAATACTCATTTTTTTTGTATCTGGAATTGTTTATTCTGTTATTATTCTGTGATTATTCTGTAATTAGCCTAATATTGTGTCTTTATATATCATTTTGCTTTTTTCAGGTAGTTTCAATATTTTCTGTCTAACATTGATACTCGCAGTTTCACTCCTTTTTATCTAGGTATGAGTTTATTTTCATACATCTTTGTTGGCACTTTTAATAAATATTCCATCTATGAACTCATTTTTTATCAATTCAGATATTCTTAGTTATTGGATCTTTGAGTGTTTAATCTGCCATTACCTTTATTTTTTCTTGAAACTCCTCCCATAATTTATTAAAAAATGTGTTAATAATTTCCCATTGCCTTTTAAAACCTCTCATATATTTTATTGGTTTTTCTATGCATTACTATCTGGGTCAATTTCTTGTTAGTAGAATCCAGTTAGTGTATTTTCACTTTTCCCATGTTTAGTCTAGGTTTTCAAAACTGTCTCAAAATTAAAGATGGTCTCTGACTCCTTGAGGGTTCAACTTGTGATTTTTCAGCTTTATGATGGTATGAAAGTGAAACATATTCCGTAGAATTGTACTCTGATCCCCATAAAACCATTTTGTTTTTCATTTTCAGTATGGTATTCAATAAATTACACAACATATTCAACACTATTGTAAAATAGCCTTTGTGTTAGATGATTTTGCCCAACTGTAGGACTTAAGGGAAAGAGATATTACAAAATGAAAAGAGAACTTTGAGTCCCCAGACTTCTATGGGCATGAAGACAGTTGAGAAAACAACTTAGCTGCAAATACAAAATAATTTTTTATGAAAAATCATGGATAATTTAAGAAGTTAGAGCCAAGGTCCTAGAAGGGAAGAACTGAGAGTCATGATGAATCATTCTCAAGCAGTAGGACTGAGAACTCATCAAGAAAATAGCTTTTAACTGTCTGCCCAGTATCTTCCCTTTTCTGACCTACTTACATAGGGAATTAGCATGGCAGTCTCAGGAAGTGATCTCATTTTTTTTTTTTTTTCAGTCTACTGTTTTTTTTGAGAGAGAGACACAGTGTCAATCCACAAGGGCGGTTTGAAATATTTCTCTGGATAGAAAGAGATGAAAATGACCCAAAGACCATACAAATATTGAAATACTACATTCCCAGCTCAACTCTAACTGTAGGCCATCAAGTTGTTGTTACCCAGTGTGCATGGTTGCTTGCTTTTCTCCAGAATCTTGAGAAATCATAGATGGAGTGTCTGACAAATAAGTTGATCCAGGGCTAGAAGTTTGCTGGTGAATATAAAGAAAAGAGAAATAGGGCAAAAAGTTGTATATTCACACAAGGGTTGTTAAGCTTTGTATAAACCAATGTTCCAAATGTAGGCATGGACATTAAAATAGGAGAGTTTGACTCGGAGAAAGGCAGAGATCAGGGAATGAGCAACCCCCTTGCTTGGATGACCTAGCTGCTTCAGAACAAATGGGTGATGGATGGATGTGTGGAAAGACGCGTTTAGAAAATAGATGTCTGAATTTGATATTTTGGATTTAGACATTTTAGGATTATCTAATGACTCAAAATATGATCATGTGAATGAGTAGAATGGAAGTAATGTTTACCGGAATTGAATAGTTCCATTTAAAGCATTGGCTCGGCAATTCTCATAGACACCAATTTCCCCAGCTGATGGCAAGACCAAAGACAATTACCTACCTGATAGAATAAGTTAGTCAATGGTAGGAGGCTGAGATGTTGATGGTTTGACCAGATTGGTAACATGAGCAAGTAGTCATATTGTTATTTAGCAAAAGTAGATATTTAAACAGTGTATGTTATGTATATGAATGTTACAACCACCTAAGTAATGTATATATATATATAAAATCCTGAAAAATTACAAGAATTATATAGAACAAAATGTTAACCATGCTCAATATCTTTGTCTTTTCTAGTTTTGTACATTTTTCCTTCTTGTTCTATATAGTTTTTTCATAATAAAAAATGAGAAATACATCTCTTTAAGCCATATTTATGAACTTTGAAAAATATTAATGACATCTATAAATGTTTTAACTGTCTTTATCTTATTTTCTTGTGGTCACACGTTACAGTTCTCATAAAAAGTAATTTATCATTAAGTGATATTATATAAGAAAAATAGTCAAGAATATTAACTAGCTGAATATTTTCATTTTCATATCTCTTTGCCTTTAGAACAGTCATGTATCTCTCTCCTTTATGTTTACTATGTGTAAAAGAGTGAATTGTTCTGAACAGTCCTTAAAATGGTTTCCAACTCTAATATTCTAGTATTTTAAAGTGTTTGTTAATTACGTACAATGAACTAATTATTATAAATAGTCTCTAAGATAAAAGACACATTTTGGGAGGCCAAGTTGGGAGGATAGCTTGAGCCCAAGAGTTCAAGACCAGCCTGAGAAATATAGTGAGACCTCATCTCTACAAAACATTAAAAAAATTAGTCAGCGTGGTGGTGCATACCTGCAGTCCCAGCTACTTAGAGGGCTGAGGTGGGAGGATCACTGGAGCATTGGAGGCAGGGGAAGTCAAGGCTGCAGTGAGCTCTGATAGCACCACTGCACTCCAGCCTAGGTGACAAAGTGAGACCCTATCTCAAAAAAAAAAAAAAAAAAAAAAAAGGCAAAGAATGAGATGGAATCCCTGACTATAAAGCTATTAAAATTGAGATGATCGTATAACCATAATGTCCCAGAGGATATTTTCCTGACATATGTGTATAAGTATCACGTACAGTTTTGGGGGTGACCTTTAATAAGATTCTAACATAATTATGCTTGTCATGATTTTGCTTGAAAATAATTTTACTAGAAAGTTTAGTAATTTCTTTATACCTAGGGCATATGAATAGTGATGGAGGTATCATATCTAAAACAGTGACATCTGGTGGCTTTAAGTGAGTCTTACAAGGTTACTATATTTAAATTTTAATATAAATGAGAGTAGTGAGGCTAAGGTCCGTAATAAAATGCGACAAATATGTTTACATCTATTTCTTTTAGAAAAGATGCAAATATTTGTATATACATGTAGTTTTACCTTACACAATTATGATGTAAACTCTATTATTAAAAAGCAAAAGACACAAGATACCTTTGGTCCAGTATTCATTTTTGTCATGCTATAGAAATTAGAAAAGTCCCACGTTACCATCATTTTATGTTTACTTTATATGTTATCTATTCCAAAATGGAAAATTTTGATTTGAGAGGAAAAAGGGCTATTCATCTGAAAAGCCCTGTCATATTCCTTGACTTTATAAGATATAAGACGTAAATAATATGAAAAGTAAAGCTCTCTCTCCCTGTTAGACTATTTTTAAGGCTAAGTTTTCCTTAAGACCTTTACTTTTCAGAACAATTTTTCTTTTCTTGCATCTACTGAATCAAATATCTGAATTATGATCTCTTCCGAATAACCATAACTTCTCTCATCTCTACCATTTCAACTCTCCAAAAGGTTGAGATTATAACTAGAAAACACTTTAAGGGCATAATGCATCTTCGATTTCTCTGAAGTCTTCCCTGGAATTTGTACAGTGCCAATAGTGCTGAGAACAAAGTTATGCGTTCAATAAATTCTTACTGAAATGACAGTCATCCTGATTCCGCCTTATTTACCACTGTAGTCATTTCCCTCTCAACCCCAAAGTAAGCCCTCATTCATATAACCTTCCTCTTTCTAAGGCTAAACTTTCTGCCTAGTCTCTTGACCCCACCTCCAACTATCTCTTCAGGGAACTTGCTCTATCAATTACACATTCTCTTTCCAGACTTTTCAATCATTTGCCTTTCACTTGATGTCTTTTTTTTTTCTGCTTTAAAAATGTCTCCTCCACAGTTGAAAACAAATCAAGCCAGCCAACCAAAAAAGCAAGCAAGAAGCAACAAGAAACTTTTTACCTCAAGCATAATTGTCTTTATTTCCTTTCATGGCCAAAATTCTAAAATGTGTCAACTTTGGTGCTTCTTTTGTATACTCTGACTCACAACTAATTTAACAGTATGTCTCCAGCACTTTGTCAAAACTTTTTATTTGAATTACCTCTCTGAGTACTTTTTTGGTCCTAAAGAACTTATGTTGAGAATCCCACATTTATCTCCCCATACCCAATTATATCTGCTATTCAAAGTGGCATTATGTACATTGTGCAATCCCGTGCCTTTGTGTCTTGAAGATTCTGGAGTAATAGTGTATTTTACCTACATTAATGTCTCATCAGTTTGTCCCTCATTGATGTGGGGCTCCTACCTGACAACATTTTGTTCAGGCCTACTTCAATCATGCTTATACTTTTTTTAAAAAAAGTATTTTGTTGTTATTGGTACTGTGACTTAAATTATCCTTCTTTTCCTCAAATTCAGAGGCTCCTTTCCACCAAAGTCAAGTCTCGGTTCATAGAAGGTAATAAAAATTTGTTACTTTATTAAAATCAGTTGTAAATTCCGCTGAAATCTCTTCCACACTAACACGTTTGCTGATTTTTTTTTAAACAAATGTTTTAAAATCTCTTAAGTAAAAAAGCCAACAACTACTGAAATAAACTCACTGCTCTACCCCATCTTCATATTGAAGAAGTGAATGCATTAATTTATGTTTAAATAACAGTATTTTCAACTAGGTGCAGTGGTTTATGCCTATAATCCCATTGCTTTGGCAGGCCATGGTGAGAGGATCACTTGAGGTCAGGAGTTCAAGACCAGTATAAGGAACATGACAAGACCCTGTCTCAAAAAAAAAAAAAAAAAAAAAAATTAGTCGCATATGGTGGGGTGCACCTGTAGTTCTGGCTACTTGAGAGGCTGAAGTGAGAGGTTCACTTGAGCCTAGGTGTTCAAAATTACAGTGAGCTATGATTGCAATACTGCACTCCAGCCTGGGAGACAGAGCAAGATCCTATCTCTGAAGAAAAAAACAATTGATTATGCTGCATAGCAATCACGCCAGGTATTTTCTATAGCCTAAAATCTTGACTATGATTTATCTAATATTATTCTCACTCCAGTTCACTTCCAACAAGATGTCTTTTTATTACTTCAGCCTTAACATTTATTACTTTAGTCTTAAAATAGACTTCTATTTTACTTCAAATTGTCTGCTTTGTCTGATTTCCCTCTAGTTTTATACTCCTGTAAATAAAAATAATTTTTATTTATTTCTACTGTGAGTTTCTCACATGAATATGGTTCTTCATACATATTTCTTGTATATACATAATTAGATTTACTTGGTTATTCACTTGTAAGATTCATTTGTGGACTTGGTAATTTATGAAATTCCTGGACTCATCAGATTTAATATGAAATAATAATGTGGTCATTTCTTGTTAAAGAGAGAAGTATGTGTAAGGTGAGACATTTATAGTGAACATTCTCTGCTATATTTCTTAAAATGTACATATATATCAGGCATAATAAGTGTGTGTATTTGTACATTTTTCTGCTTTGTATGCATTCCATTGCATACTCTTTTTCTTGTAGGTACAACTTCAAAAACAATGACAAAAGGACTGACCTTGCTAAGGTAATATTCTGTAAGTCGTAACATCTACCTTTACCTGCACATCAGGAGGTTGATGTAATTGTATGTTAACTGAAGCTCACTTAAGTACTTCTCTTTAACTTATTTCTTTGCTCAGAACTTTATAAATTCAATCAAATAATTATATATAAAGATGATTATAAAATATTATATATTGTAATATATGTATAACATACATACAGACATATTCAAAATATATATTTTAACTGTAACAAAGTACAAGTTATGTACAGATATAATTACCACAATTCCAGCACAAGTAATGGGAATAGCTTAGGTCTGAATCTGATTTGAATCTTCTGATTTTATTATTTCAGCTAGTGATGCTCTATTGATCTTTGAATGTTCACATTAGTCTATGTCAGATGCTTAACCTTCTGCATCTGAACTCATAAATTAATTTGTCTGTCATTCTCAAGTTGCTGAAAACTCAAAGGTTAAATGAATAATTGTCATCTATTTCTATATCTTCAGTTCCAAATATTATTATTATATGTTTCACAGATTTATGCACATTGAAATGCCAGGCACATTTACTGCTTCCTAGAGTGCTCTGAAAACAAAAACAAAAACAAAAACCTTCTACCAAGTTCCTAACATCCTAACATCTAAATAGATTAATATCTTTGACCATGTTATGAGAGGTTAGATGCTTATACTGAGAATGCACATAGATTTGAGGCCTGAATAATAAAGTTATTCACAAGTCTATATCAAGTTCTGTTGTATAACTAAGGACCTCCAATTATGACAATAGAAAGTTTGCTGTTTAAATATTTGGCAACCATTTAGGTATATGCTGTACAAGGTATTAGTGGTTTTGAAAGAAAGTACAAATTCAAACTGATCAATAGAAAAATATAAAATAGCATGAATATTCAAAAAGTGAGAAAGTTATTTCAGTTTGAGAAATGAGTTTATGAAGATGATATTTAATGTGTATCTTAAAGGCTAAATTAGTCTGATATTTAATGTTGAGGGTAATCTAATCATCTACATGGCCTTTGAAATATTATGCTTAGATCACATTTAGGAAGAACTCCCCAGTCCCCTTTTGTATTTAGATTCAATCTATTCTACCTGTGATTTCCCATGGACATATAAACCTCTAGCTTTGCTTGTATATTTTTAGCATAAGATACCTCTCACTATATCTTGTAAAAATGGTTAGGTTAGGGATTACAAGCTTTTAAGGAAGTATCAGCTTTTAATTTTAGAGAAGGCTTGAGTCACCAACCATGGTGGCTCACACCTGTAATCTCATCACTTTGGGAAGCTGAGGGGTGTGAATCACTTGAGCTCAGGAGTTTGAGACCAGCCTAGGTGACATAGTAAGACCCCCTAGCTACAAAAACTAGAAACAATTAACCAGGTGTGGTGGTACATGCCTGTAGCCTCACTACTTAGGAGGCAGAAGTAGGAGGACCGCTTAAGCCTAGGAAGTCAAGGCTGCAGTGATTGTACTACTGCACTCCCACCTGGCAGACAGAACGAGACTTTATTTCAAAATAAAGAAAGAAAGAAAGAATAAGAAACGAAAAAATAAGAAAGAAAAGACCTGAGTCAGACAGACTTATGGTCAAATTCTTTATCATCTATGATTTCTTCAACTGTCAAATACTACAATAATGGTAATTTGCAGGGCTTATAATAAAGGTCAAATTAAATAATACATCTGATATTACATTAGATAGTTATACAATATTGCAAGTACTCAAAACATGGTAATTAATTTCTAATACTTGTTTTTAAAATTACATTGAGGTGATAAGATTTTTGTTTAAGAATGGTGTATTGAGTCCAAACTCTTGTTGCCTTATATGTAAGAAATTCTTCTAAAATAATAGAACAGTAAAAACTTAGCAACAACCAAAAGTGAATAAAATAATGACAAACATAATATACAAATAACATTCTACAATAAAATTTTGGAAGCTCGAATGCAAAGTAGACTGCAGTTTTCTCATTTAGCAGACTGGAGAAATCTGAACCTCAAGCCTACAACAGTAAGTCCACAATCCTAGAAAAATCCAAGGGCAGAAACATAAATACTTCTAATAAGGATATGAGTAATGATAATAAAAACTTGAATGTCTATCTGAGGCTCTTCAATTGACAGATCTTCTTCCCCTGCCACAGAACTATGCTACCTTGCCTCCCTAAACTCCAGTAGAAAACTTCAGGTATGTCTTCTAGTATAGAGATATTAAACTAGAGTTTCTCATGAACAGCCATACTGAAAATGGGGATTTATGGAAAACGTGCAAGGTAAATGGTAGCATCCTACAGAAAATACTCTCTGCACTTCAAAAATACTGTGTAGGACTTTTATCTTCTAGGAAAAAGATGAAATGATTGCCTTCCAAGAAAACTGACAAGTCTAAAATGAAACACCAGCATTTGCTGACCATTGGGCATATCTGTTATAATGACTACTGTTTATGGCAAAAGCTCACCAGTCAGCCATACCCTCCATACTCTCATACTTACAATCAACTAATTATTGCCCTGTTTTTAAATAAGAATGGGACATAGAGCCCAGATTTTTAGTAACATCTTCAATATTAGGCAAAGATCAAAAATAGAAAGAAGAAAAGAAAATCAGAAAGGAAAAGAAACAACAACATGAGTAGAAGAAAACCTTTTTTTTTTTTTTTGAGACAAAGTCTTGCTCTGTTGCCCAGGCTAGAGTGCAGTGGTGCAATCTCGGCTCACTGCAACCTCCACCTCCCGGATTCAAGTGATTCTTCTGCCTCAGTCTCCCGAGTAGCTGGGATTATAGGCGCCCACCACTGCACCTGGCTAATTTTTGTATTTTTAGTAGAGACAGGGTTTCATCATCTTGGCCAGGCTGGTCTCAAACTCCTGACCTCGTGATCCACCTGCCTTGGCTCCCAAAGTGCTGGGATTACAATCGTGAGCCACCGCGCCCAGCCAGAAAACATTTTAAACATACGATAATAGTCTCAAAAGATAAGACAAAGAAATTTCACTTATGAAACATGAATTGAAGTTATAAAGAAGACACTCAGAAAACAATGAAGAGTTCTAGAAAATTAAAAATTGATAGCAAGAATGAAAAATTCACTAGTTGTTTTCTCAATTTTGACTAAACTTCCACAAAGTAAAACATAATTAACAAAAAAAGTATGAATAGTAAGAGCAAAAAGGTTAGGACATTGGATGATTAGTGACAAAAGCTCAATTTCTACACCATAGGGTTTCCAAAATGAAAGAACCGAGGAGAGGAGAGGAGAGGAAATTACAAAGTAAATTATTTAATGAAATTTTCTGGAATTAATATACATTCATTTTCATTTGAGCTTACCAAGTGCCAAGGAAAATAGAGGAGGAAAGAAAAGCAAAGACACTTCATTAGAAAATAAAATGCGTCTGGAAATAGATTCTAGAAACTAAAGGAAAGAGGTGGGTGTTAGTAATCATTATGCCATTTTGAAAAATCAGTAGCATTTCTATACAGCACTTAACATTCAGGCTGAAAGCCAAATCAAGAATGCAATCCCATTTACAATAGTGACAAAAATATAAAATACCTAGGAATGCATCTAACCAAGGAGGTGGAAGATCTCTCCAAAGAAGACTACAAAACATTTCTAAAAGAAATGACAGATGACACAAAGAAATGGAAAAATATTTCATGCTTATAGATTGGAAGAATCATTATCATTAAAATGGCCATACTGCAAAAATCAATCCACAGATTCAATACTATTCTTATTAAACTACCAATGTCATTTTTCACAGAATCAGAAAAAAACTTGTTAAAATTTATACGGAACCAAAAGAGAGACCAAATAGCCAAGGCAATCCTGAGCAAAAAGAATAAAGGCTGATGCAACACATTACCTCACTTCAAATTATAATATAAGGCCACAGTAACCAAAACAGCACCGTAGTGGTACAAAAACAGACATGTAAACCAATGGAAAATAATAGAGAACCTAGAAATAAGCCACACACCTACAGCATGTGATCTTCAACAAAGTTAACAAAAATAAGCAATGGGAGAAGAACTCCCTATTTAAGAAATGATGCTGTGATACCTGTCTAGCCATATCCAGAAGAATGAAACTAGACTCCTACCTTTCACCATATACAAAAATTAACTCTAGGTGGATTGAAACTTTAAATATCAGACTTCGAGCTAGAAGAATCCTAAAAGAAAACCTAGGAAACAGCATTCTGGACATTGGCCTTTAGAAGAATTTATTACTATGATCTCAAAAGCAATTGCAACAAAAACAAATATTGAAAAGTGAGACCTAATTAAACTAAAGATCTTCTCACAGCAAAAGAAACTCTCAGCAGAATAAACAGACAACCCACAGAATGGGAGAAAATATTTGGAACTATGCATCTGATAAAGGTTTAGTATTCAGATTGTATAAGCAACTTAAACAAGTAAACAAGTTAAATAAAAAATAACCCCATTATAAAGTGGATAAAATCATGAAGAGACCCTTCTCAAAAGAAGACATATAAGCAGCCAAAAAACATGAAAAAGTGCTCCGTATCACTAATCATCAAAGAAATGCAAATCAAAACCACAAGGAGATGTCATCTCATACCAGTCAAAATGGCTATTATTAAAGCCAAAAAAGAACAGATTCTGGCAAAACTATGGGAAAAAGAAAACAGTTATATACTATAGATGGGAATGTAAATTGGTTCAGCCACTGTGGAAAGCAGTTTGGAGATTTCTTAAATAACTTAGAACTACCATAGGAGCCAACAATTCCATTGCTGCATATATACCCAAAAGAAAATAAACTATTCTACCAAAAAGAGACATGCACTCAGATGTTCATTGCAGCAATATTCACAACACCAAAGACATGGAATCAACCTAGGAGCCCATCAGTGGTGAACTGGATGAAGAAAATGTGATACCCATAGACTGCGCAATACTATGCGGCTGAAAAAAGAACAAAATCATGTTTTTTGCAACAACTTGGGTACAGCTGGAAGCTATTATCCTAAGCAAATTAACATAGGAAAAGAAAACCAAATACCATATGTTGGCACTTGTAAGTGGGAGCTAAGCATTGGATACTCATGGAGATAAAGATGGCAATGATAGACACTGGGGACTACTAGATGGTGGAAAGAGGTAGAGACCTAAGTGTTGAGAAACTATCAGATACTATGCTCAAAACATGGATGATGGGATCAATCATACTCCAAACCTCAGCATCACGCCATATACCCAGGTAATAAACCTGCACATGTACCCCCGAATGTAACATAAAAGTGGAAATTATGAAATTAAATATATGCATACATACATACTTAAATTTTCTATTGTTAACCTCTTCGTGTTTCTAAATATATGTTTTTCTGAAAAACAAATTTCCCAATTATTTCTCCTACACTGATTTTTTTTTTGAATAAGCTTAGTAAAGATTCCCACTCTCAGTCCTTGAATTTCTAGAAGTAAAATTGCTTAAAATAGAAAGTGTTTCTAAATTTTTTATATGAGACATTATTATTAGCTAATGGAAATCTAGGTGCCAAGGATATTACTTCAAAATGTAAAATTACTGAGTTCAAGCAATATTTAGAGACAACTTTTGCTTCCTAGATACCATAGCTTGTCTTCTGTGTACATGATGTACATTGGGAAGGGACTTCAGGCTTCTCTCACTTGTTAAGTAAATAGAAAAATAAGTACATAAACGAACAAAAAACGGAGCCCATGCAGACTCTAATGTCCTCTTTCATTGCCAAGTGTGACTATGCCACATGTGTGGGTATCTTGCTCCAGCTGCAGATACATCTGCTTATGCTTTTTTTGGCATCATAGTAGATATCCCAACAGGATTTCGCCAAAACAGCAATCTGTCAGTGCAAATGTTTACAAGCACCATTTTCTGGAAGAAAAGTCTTATTTTTATTGTCAGTAGAAATAACAAACTATTTACACATTTTAATTGAAATAAATCATTTTTACTTAAATAAAAAATCTTTCATTGTGAAATATTTCTATCTAGTTAGAAAAGATTGAAGAAAAATATAACAAGCACTCTTTCACACTCCTAGTTCTACCAATACTGGTTATTATGTGATATTTATTTCAGGTCTTCTAAGGAAAAAACATGTCAAAGATAGTTGAGAGCCTATGTTTTCTTACCTAATTTTTTCTTCCTTCTCACCTCAATGGTAACTTCTACCATAAATTCAATACTTACGATTTTTGTGTATATTTAACTAAATATTTATAAATATTACTTATTATTGTTTTGCATATAGACCATTATTTAGATAGCTGGAATCATGCACCATACATATGTATGTGTATACATGCATAAACCTACAAATTGCAGTTTTCTCTTAATTATTTTTTAAAATACGTGTATGTATATAATTTATTCATTTTTATCTTTTATCCAGTAAAGAGCTTGTACATATATAACATTTTATTTATCAGTGCTCATATTGATTGTCATTTATGTTGCTTTCAAACATATATTTTTTTAAATATTCAAAAATTCACATATTTGTAACTGAATGCATAGCTGTATGGTTTTCTAATGTGTAGAGAAATAAAGGGAATTCTTCATTTGAAAATCTTCAATTTTACTGTGTATTCTTAGATATCTCATACAACGAGATAAGGGCTTCTTGTTTTACCCATCTTTTCTAAGAAAAATATTTGTCAACCTTTCCAGGTTTGCAAATGCAATAGATATAAAATGATGCTAGTTGTTGAAATAATATATTGTTCTTAGAAAATTAGTAAAGTTTGAAATTTTTCAAATTACTGATCTTTTTTATTTTCTTTCCTATTTTTATTTTTAGTAAATTTGTCTTTTGAGCTTAGATGTGCTCTAGATAATTAAAAGGCTACATAATAAGACAGTGGTAGCTTTTACCCTCTTTTGTTCTTGTATTTGATGAAAATGTTTCTTAAGCAAGCAAAAGTTTAATGCTTCTATTTTTAAAAAAAAAAGTTTTTAACAAGTCAAATAAGTTTTTTCTAAATGTATTTGGCTGAGTTTTTTTAAATTCAAGAATGAATTTTGAATATTTTCAACTGCTTTTTCTTCACTGCAATAATATTTAATTATTTTTATCCTTGAATTTTACAGTATGGTTTTTAAATAATTTTCTGATACTACACTCTCTAATTTAGATCAGCTAATATTTTATCTGGAACTTTCTTCTAGTTTTTAATGTGAAATTGAGCTATTGTTTAGTGTTTTTGTACTATCCTTAACTAAAAAAAAATTTATCAAAGTTTCAGTGTCCTCTTAAAGGAGAGATATGGCTATTTCTCTTTTGTTGTTTTCTATAACAATTAATATACACTTAATATGAGCCAGGAAATTTGACAACTCTGTGGTAGCATGACAGTATTTGCTTAGTATTTAAATTTTCCAGAATTTCTACATAAGTACACTAGAGGAACTAGATAGCAAATGAAAACCGATAAATAGCATTAACACTAAACTAGATGACAAGGTGTCCTCGTGGACCCCAAAGTATAAGTAAGTGCACAAGGGAAAGGAGGGCATAACAAAATGAAGCAAAACAAGGAGATAGAGGGGGAACCACAAATAGCCAAGATTCCAATATTCACTGGACTGGTCATTGTGGTAATTTGAGAATGTCAGTTGTATCTGCTAGATTTGCCCAACTGAATCATGGTTTAATGCAAGGAGCCAGCAGTAAGTTCTATGAAGCTTGAAACATATGGACTCATGTGTTGGAAACATACATAGAAGTTTCCTTACAGGATAGGATTAAACACTAAAGGAAAACTTCTCAGAGTGGAATCATAGACAAAAAGGTAAGGACAATAGAGTTGAAGGCAAAGAAGGTACAGATAAAGGCAGAGAGAATAACAAAGGAAATAAATCTCAAAAAACAAGAGCCATATTTTGGAGAACTTCACAGAAATAATGGCTTAGGGGACACTGGGAAGTTTGCAAAGCTATCCTGTTCAACGGTCCTTCTATACAGGCAAAGAACCATCGCATATATTAGAAACGTCACTAAACAACAAGGAAGCAAAATACATGTTAAAATTTTATTTTGATAAAACATTTCTGAAATTAAAAATATTAAAATACATAAACTACATACTGAAAAAGCAAGTCACATATCTAGAATAACTAATAACAAGCCATAGTCTATTAAAAAAAATTTCAAGAAAAAAATTCCTTTGGGCATCTCTGAAAATCATGTTCCTTTTTGTGGAAGAAAATGGATAGATATGTAAGAAACAAGTGATTAAGTAAAAACTCCATAGTTCTAAATTGAAGTTGAGAGTATCAGTGTAAATACAAGTGAATATTTATCTTTAGAAATCATAATATTGTCCACTGAAAAGGCCAAGAACTATGATCAACCAGTAAGAATTAGCCTTCCCAGCATCCAGATTGTGAATATGAATTAGCATTTTTATCTAAAAGGAAACACAGCTTCTTGAGTAAATGGATGATTCCAGGTCTTAAGCAGGAAATGTGTAAGCCTACACCAATGTTAATATACCACCACAGAAGCTAGTAATTGAGCATAGAAGGGCAGATATTAACATTTCTTTAACATACTAATTTAATTTCCTTTTGATATATACTCAGAAGTGGGATTACTGGATCATATAGTAGTTCTGTTTTTAATTTTTTGAAGAAGTTCCATACTGTTTTCCTGAGTGGCTGCTCCAATTTACACTTCTACCAGTAGTGTACAAAGTTTTCCTCTCCTCGACATCCTCAAAAACACTGGTTACATTTTACTATTTGTTTTTATTCTTTTTTTTTTTTTTTTTTTTGTAGCTCCAAATAAATTTTAGAACTCTTTTTTCTATTTCTGTGAAAGATGCCGTTTGGTATCTGTGAAAGATACCAAAATCTAATTTTGGTAGCAATTGGATTGTATCTGTAAATAGCTTTGAGTAGTGTGGTCATTTTAATAATGTTAATTCTTCCAATCCATAATACGGGATATTTTTCCATTTATTTGTGTATTATTCAATTTATTTGATCAATGTTTTGTAGTTTTCAGTATACGCATCTTTCATCTCCTTGGTTAAATTTATTCCTAGGTGCTTTATTTCATTTTTCTGATATTAAAGGGATTTTAAAAAAATCGGGAAGGAAGAGTTTCATTTATTTGTGTATAGAAATGCAATTGATTCTTGTATGTTGATTTTGTATCGGAAACTTTGTTGAATGTATTTAATACTTCTAACAGATTTTTGATAGAGTCTTTATGGTTTCTATATATATAAGATCATGTCATCAGGAAATAGAGACAATTTTATGTCTTCATTTCTGATTTAGATGTCTTTTATTCTTTTTTTCTTGCATAATTATTCTGTCTTCCAGCACTGTATTGAGTAGAAGTGGCAAGAATAGGCACTATTGTCTTGTTCCTGATCTTGGAGAAAAGACTTTCACCTTTTCACTGTTGAGTATGATATTAGCTATGGGCTTGACATATATGGCTTTTATTAGGTTGTGGTACATTACTTCTATACTTATTTTGTTGAAATTTTTTAATGTAAAAAGATATTAAATTTTGTCAAATATTTTTCTGCATCTATTGAGATAACCATAGATGAATGATTAATTTCATCATTCATTCTGATAAAGTAGTGTTTCACATTTATTGATTTCCATATGTTGAGCTATTCTTACATTCCAGGGATAAATACAAATTAAACATGATATATGATCCTGATAATGTGTTGTAGAATTTGGTTTGCTAGTATTTTTTTTTTAAGATTTTACATCTACTTTCATTGGGGAATTGGCCTATAATTTTCTTTTCTTGCTGTGTCTTTGTCTGGCTTTATTCTCAGGATAAGGGGGTAATTACGCCACTGTCAATAAGTTTGGAAGTGTTCTATTCTTATTAATTTTTTTGAATACATTAAGAAAAATTTGCATTAATTCTTCTTTAAAGTTTGGTGGAATTCACTAGTGAAATTGTCGTGTCTTGAGATCTTTTTTTGTTGAAAACTGTTTGATTACTGATTCAATATCCATACTCAATATTAGTCTGTTGAGATTTACTCTTTTTCATGATCCAGCCTTTTTAGGTTATATGTTTCTAAGAATTTATCCATTTCTTTTGATTATCCAATCTGTTGGCATATAATTATTCATAATAGTCTTTTTTGATACTTTGTACTTCTGTGATATCAGTCATAATGTCTCCTGTTTCATTTATAATTTTATTTATTTGAGTCTTTTTTCTCTTTTTCATAGTCTAGTTAAAGGATTGCCAACTTGTTTATCTTTTCAAAAATCATCTCTTAGTGTCATTGGCCTTTTCTATTGTTTTTCTGTTTTCTTTTACTCTGATGTGCATTATTTCATTACTTTTTCTGACTTTAGAGTTGGTTTGTTGGTCTTTTTCTAGTTCCTTGAAGCATAAAGTTAAATTGAAATCTTTCTTTTTTTTAATAATGTAGGCATTTACTGCTATAAACTTCCCTCTTAAAATTTATTTTGGTACATCCTATATGTTTGGGTATTATGTGTTCCCATTTTCATTTGTTTCAAAATGCTTTTTATTTCTGTTTTGATTTATTATTTGATCTATGGGTTATTCAGGAGTGTGATGTTTAATTTCCACATCTTTGTGATTTTTCAGAGGCCTCATCTAGGAAGATTTATGTAAGTCAAATAAGTATATGTAAAAATGCACAATATTATTTGTCATTAGGGATTTCCAAATTAAATTAAAAATAAGATACCACTACGTGCCTATTAGAATAGGTAAAATCCAAAAATACTAACGGTACCGAATGCTAATGAGGCTGTGGAACTCCAGGAACTTTTATCCATTGCTGGTGAGAATACAAAATTGTGCAAACATTGTGGAATGTATCTTGGCAGTTTCTTACAAAGCTAAACTGAGTCTTATTAATATGATCAAACAATTGTTCTCCTAGGTATTTATACAAGTTATTTTAAAAGTGATGTCTACAAGAATCTGTATATATGCATTTATAATGGCTTTATTCACCCAAACTGGAAGCAGCCAAGATGTCTATCATGGATATACAAAGTGTGATACATTCAAACAGTGAAATATTCAAAAATAAAAAGAAATTAGATATTAAACAAATAAAAGATACGGAGGAAACTTAAATATATATTGGTAAGTGAAGAAACCATTCAGAAAAGGCTCCATAAAGTTTAAGTCCAATTATAAGACATTCTGGAACAGGCAAAACTTTTCAATCATTAATGTTTGCCAGGGATTTGGATGGAGGCTGGGGGACATGAGTAGATGAAGCACAAGAGATCTTCAGGGTGCTGAAAATATTTTGGTAATATTGTAACGGTAATACAAAACATTAATTGGCCAACACAAAAGTGACTCTTAATGTATGCAAACTAAAAAAAAAAAATCATTTAAGGGGTCAGAGATCCTTAGAGGGAATACAAGTGTCTGATAACAGAATAGAAATATATTACAAATGTATGCTACCACCTCACTGGAAAAGGCAGGGGAAATGCCAAACTTAGTAACTTTGGAAATGAGTGGAGTCTGTACTACTAAAGACGAAAGAAACTGCATGCAAACACTGTACCCTTATTAATAAAATTGTTTCCCAAGGGAGTTCAGGTTAACCATTCTGATACTGCTATGTATTCATAATGGAGTTTGTGAACATGTGTGTGTGATTATACATAAATATATTTTATTTATTTATCTGCCTGCTGAAAAGCCTAGAGATGATGAGAACTCAGTCACATTAAGCACACTTGGTACCCACATCTTTGTTTCTAATATTATTTTTCAGTAAAAGAAACCTGGGAAACTGGGATAAATGACTGACTCCAGGACTTAGGTAAATGTATAAGATGAGGCTGTAGTATTTTATCAAGCCAGAAAGTAATAAAGTGCTAAAAATAAATAAGAAGACACACATGAAGGGAGTATTTCAAAGGGTCAGAGAAGTTAGTTGAAAGAGCTCTCAATGGCCAAATTTGGAAAATTTGAGCAACAAAATAAATAAAGAAGTACTAAATTATACTGTAATGTAGGAAATAAATATTCATGAGTTTACAATGATGTAAATAAATAATTGAAAAGATTCATAAGTGGGAGAGAAGAGACAAATGTCCCATGCAGAATAATTACAAAAAGTTATGTGGATAATCCATCCTCAATTAGATGGAGCTTAACATTCCTTCAGTGTAAGCTGCACGTAGTGACTTACTTCCAAAGAGTAGAATATCAAATGAGAAAATATCCAACTTCGCCAGGTTAAACCTGGCAAGCATCACCTCACCCAGGTGACCATGACAACATCCACAGTGGTAAGTCATGTTGATAGCATGTACTATAGATATGATGTGATGAAAAGTGGTAATTAACCTCAGTAATCTTCTTCCCCCAAGCCAACAACTCCAATGTAATCATATGAAAAATACCCAACTAATTCCAACAGGGAAGCATATACCTGAGCATTACTCCTCAAAAACATCATGATCAACAAAAACAAAGAAAGTCTGAGAAGTTATCAGATCCAAGAGGAGCCTAAGTAGACATTATAGCAAAATTTAACCTAGTATTCTGAATGGGAAGCTGGGAAAGAAAAAGAACATTATGAAAAAGCCAAAGAAAAACTGATGAACTTTAGTTAATACTTCTGTATAAATATTTGTTCACTAAGTGAACAAGTAAATATATTAATGATGGAGATACTGGGTGTTGAATATTTAGGGCCTCCCTCTATACTCTCTTCTCCATTTTTCTGTGTATCTAAAACTATCGTCAAAAAAAGTTATTAAAATTAGAAAAAATAATCAAAATTAAAAGTGAGAAAGATTACATTTTACTTTTAAATTATGCACACTTTAGTAAAAATATAGAGAAGTGCAAAACAGTAATTATGAAAATCATGATGGTGGTTTCTTTTAGTAGGTGGGAAAGGCTTGTGATTGATAGGATCCTAATTCTTGATCTTGTTGATGATTTATAAGCATGTTTGCTCTATAATATTGTATTAATCGCTATACCAGCTTTTGTGTGACTTTATTAACATTGTAACTTATTTTACAATAAAAAGATTTAAGTAAGATTTTTAATACAATTATATGGACCTGCTTTTTGATTATTGGTATGGGAATTACTGTCAGTTGCCATTCAATGATACTGAGTTTGGTGTATTTGATTTATGTGTTTTTTTTTCCTTGGTAAAATTTTGGAAATTTTTTCTTTAAGTATGATACATACATTCTATTCTTATGTTTTCAAATTTAATAAATAAAAATTGTTCACAGTGTTTATCTGTGACTTTAAATTTTCCATTACATCTATACTTGTTACTGGTATCTCCTTCAAAATATTTTTTATGTTTGTGCTTTCTATTCCTCTTTCTATCAATAAACTATTGAGAATAAAAGCATTTTATAATTTTTAATCTACACAATACCTTTTGATATTCTTGATGTGATGTGTGTTTTGTATTGTACGTTATAGTGCATGAATGTCTCATTAAAAAGCACAGTGATTCTTTTATTCTTCTTTCTCTCATTTTATGTTGTGTCATTTTGCTGGCTTTATTTGAATATTTAATTTAATTTTTTTCAAAATATCCCATGTATAGGTGCATATAATTTTATTGTTATTATGGAATATTGTAATGCTATGGTGAATTCATATTTAATTCTCGAAGGAACAGGAGAATCTTCTAAATTATCTAATTTGTAATTGTTTTCATTTACATTTTTAATGTTAGTTCCTAATTTTATGTAATTGTGGTCCATTAACATGGTGTCTATAATATTGCTTCTTTGAAGAATGGTGAGAATATTTCTATGAGCTAGTATACAGACATTTTTAAATAAAGTTTTCATACATTTCAATACCTATTCTCAATTTCTTAGATGTAGCATTCTATAAATGTATATTTAATAACTTTTTTTGTTTTTGAGGTTTGAAACAAAGTTTTATAGCCTTATTATATTCTACTTTATCTCTCAAGTTTTGACAAATATGTAAAACCTTTTTCCCACTATAATTGTCTATTTTTCAATTGTAATTTTTAATTTTCATGTTGCTTGCTGGATATACTTACAGGCAAATTGTTAGGTCACTATATGTATATGATTGCCCTTATGTTTTTACAAGTTTTTATTCTGTTTTATAATGCATATAGCTCATTTTTCTAATCTGATTGTCTTTTAAAAAATACAATTCTGTATTCCCAGCTACTCGGGAGGCTGAGGTAGGAGAATCGCTTGAACCGGGAGGCAGAGGTTGAAGTGAGCCGAGATCACGCCACTGCATTCCAGCCTGGAGACAGAGCGAGACTCTGTCTCGAAAAAAATAGTATAAAATGTTAATTGTATTTATTTTATTTTTTAATGTTTTTATTTGTCTTTTTATTTTAAAAAAAAGAGAGTTTCTGCAGAAGAGAAAGCCAAAAAGAGTATGCTCTGTCTGACCTGGAATGAAAAACAAAACAAAACAAAACAACAACAACAAAAAACACATCTATTCTGTAAACTACCTAAGGGGACCCGTAGCAAGGAATTGTTAGGTGTCCTAGAGGAGCTGAGTGTAGTTTGTGAATGAGACATGGAAGGAAAATGGGGAGCTCTTTCCTACAACCATAAAGAAATTAATTCTGTCAACAATGAGTGGGCTTAGAAGACCCTGATTGTAAATAAATCCAAAGCCATGGCTGGCACCTTGATGTCAGTTTCATGAGATACTGAAAGGAAAATTCAGTCTGTCATGCTCACATATCTGATCCACAGAAACTATAACATTTTTTCCAGCTGCTAAGTGTGTAAAAGTTTATTTTTTCAGAAATAGTAAATATACCCCTGTAGTTCTTTGTCTGGCCTTAGGCAGTTTCACCCTATGTGTTACAGCTTAAATTTCTGTAATCCTAGCACTTTGGGAGGCCGAGGCGGGCAGATCACCTGAGGCCGGGAGTTCGAGACCAGCCTGACCAACATGGAGAAACCCCATATCTACTAAAAATACAAAATTAGCTGGGCACGGTAGTGCATACCTGTAATCCCAGCTACTTGAGAGGCTGAAGCAGGAGAATCACTTGAACCCTGGAGGCAGAGGTTGCGGTAAGCCGAGATGGTGCCATTGCACTCCAGCCTGGGCAACAAGAGCAAAACTCTGTCTCGGGAAAAAGAAAAAAAAAAAAGAAATAGCTCAATATAAGTTTAATTTATGTTTGCAAATCAAGCAAGATTAGGACAATTTATGAGGTTTAATTGGCTTTGTCTGCTCAGGGATTCATCATGGCTTGTCTCTGTTTTAATTTAACAAGAGCTATTGTTTCAAATATTTCGTCAGTTTTCTAGTTGTTTATGGAGGGAGCACTAGTTTGATACCATTTTACCAATAGACCCCAAAGTTGAATCTAGAAGATTCTCAGGATTTCATCATGCTTTCTTCATTATACAACCCTTCAAGTGTAGTATGGATACATTTTTTATCGGATATTATTTTTCTGTTGTTTGTTCCCTGCTGGTTTGGAGACTTTGAGTTATACTTACATAGTTTTAGTGATTGCCTTCAAATTTCTAAGCTATTTGGTAATCAATAATATTTTTTCCAAGAAAATCAGTCATTACTTTTATATTCTTTCCTTTTCACAACATACTTACTAGGAATTGATCATCATTTGAATACTCTTCTCCAATATTATTATTTAAATATTTAAATTTCCTTTTTGCAAAATAAAAGTTTTTCTTAAAGTGTTAAATACATTTATTGTTACATTATATCAATTTCTGTTCTCAACAGAGTTTCTTACATCTTTATCTCAGTATTTCATTTTTCTTTAATAGTTTTTTCAAGTCAAATTCTGTGGGTGGTCAAATTTCCTGTTATTCTGCGTGTCTATAGCTGAAAGACATTTTTATTTTGCTTACTCTTGAAAATATTATGCTTGGATATAAAATTATATGTTAGAGTTATTTCCTTTTAACAGTGTGAATATAGTACCCCATTCACTTTTGGCATCTATTGTTGCAAATAAAATGTTCATTGTCAGTCAGGCACTTCCTTATTGTTAAACTATCTTTTCACTAGCAGCTTTTATGACCTATTTTATCATTAATGTACATTTTTCACTATAAAATATCTAGATATGGGGTTATTTATTCTATTTATCTTTAAGAACGCAAATTTTATTAGAGCTATCTTCCCCCCTTCAATTTTGAAAACATTAAAAATACTCAAATACAGTTACTTCTCTAGTTTTTGCTCTCTTGTTTTCAACTCTTAAATTATTATTGGAGATTTTGAGTGTATCCTCCATGTCTCGTAAGAGTTCTTTAACATTTTATAGTGCAATCTTTCTACATGTGTCCTGTCTGTTCTGCACGAGTTCTCTCACTATCTTGCATTGACCACTTAACTCTATCCAAGCTAGATTTGCAGACTTTTTTGAAAAATATTTTAAGTGAAATATAGTTTATGTTATGATTTCTAACCCTTTTTATATTAATGGAATATTATTCTATTCAAAACTTTATGCTAATTTTAAATGTAATATGATACATTATTTCTATACTTGAATTATTAATAGAGTTTTAAAAAGTATTTGCTGAGATGGTAATGCAACTTCAACAGATAAAAGCTAAAATTCTAAATATGATTTTTTTAAAAATTTTTTTTCCCTGACATTGAATTTCTTCAGGGTCTTGGGCTTTGTTTTGTTTTTGTTTGTTTTTTTTAGTAGTTGTTTTTCTTCAGTATAAAATCTAGTGCTCTATATTTGCATTAATGGCCTTGTAGTAATCTGGATAATATGGCAGATCTAGTCATTGACCCAAAATGGGATATCCTTTTACCTACCATTCGTTAGCTTGGCATTTGAAATTGCTCTAGGTACCATTGGGCATTATTATTTTTCAGGCTCCATTCTTTAGCATATGGGGTTCATATGGAGTCTCTAGTTCTAATATGTAAGCCTGATTCAGGTGTGCCATCTTGGTTGGGGGACACTTAGCTCTTTGTTTTCCATAGAAGCAAAATTTCTGGATGCTGCCACCCACTTCTGTACTCATCAAAGCTCAAGAAGCCCATTGATTCAACACATTTGCCATTGTATCTTCTGTCATTGTTATAAAGATGTTTGTCTTGTATTTGATTTTTTTACTGGTATGTTTTCATATTTTATATACTGTAATTATTTGCCTAAGAGGTGCTTGAAACAAAACCTCAATTTACCATCCCAGATTTTAACTCTGAGAATAAAATATCATTCAATTATATGTTGGAGAAATTGGCAACTGTATTTCTAGTAAAACTTTTAAAACTATTTATTAATGATTTTCCCTGATGACAAATTTTTATTATAGTCATAGTATTCTAGAAAAAAAATTACCTTCATTTTAAACATACATAAAACTAAATTAATTTTCCAAGAAAGAATACTTGTTTTATGCATATACGTTTCAATGTTTAAAAAAAATTTTAAAACTTAAAAATGACAAAATCTTTTTTGTAATTTTGAAATATAAAAAAGTTTGTAATTAAAATTCTACAATTTTGCACACTGACAGTTGCATTATTAGAGCAGTTGTTTTCCTAAGTCATTATATATAATATAAAATTTGGGCTTAAATATTCATTAGAAAAACCTCAACCAATAGAAACGAATGAACTCTATGCTATTTTATTCAAAAAATTAGGATTTTTTTTAACACTTAACTTCTATAATACAACATGCTTGAATGGCAATCTTCTTATATAAATAAAAATAGATTTACTGAAATGCTGTTTTATAAGTTTTAATGGAAGCAAATGTTTGAATTACCTTATTTAAATTAAATTACATAATAGATTCATAGTGTTAACATTTTAATGTAGACTATTCCCATAAAACTAAGCTGGCATTTAAAGCTGAGATGATTTAAAAAAAATAAAGGTGGGGTTAATCATTCTGATTTCTGATTTCCATGTTTGGATATTTACGTCTTTTGGAAACAATGATTATCTTTATGGTTTAATTAACTTATGGTCAGAACAATACTAGTTTTATGATACAGATATTTTTATTTTAGATACATAGTAAATGTAGCATCACAAATCACAAATTTTCTCAAGAGAAAATAAAAATTGCATTCAGTCTTATTAAACTTTGTGTGCATTGTGCCATAAAAGAAGAAAAATGTGTTGTTGAGTCTTTCTGGACTGTATTAGTAAATCAGGTTTGGGCTTTGTTTTATTTTAAGACTCAGTACATGGTATCCTGTGTGCATGCTGCCATGGATTACCCACATATTTTGCTAAACATTATTTCTGGGTGTGCCTGTGAGGATGTATATGAATGAAATTAGCATTTGAATCAGTAGGTTCTGTAAAGAAGATTGACCACCCATCAAAGTGGGTGGACATTATTCAATTCATTATGGCCTAAATAGAAGGACAAAGGAAGGAATAATTTACCCCTTCTCCCTGACTGCAGCAGCTGGAACATAAATCTTCTCCTGCCCTCAATCTGAGACTCTCACTATTGATTCTCCTAGTTCTCAGGCCTGTTGATCTACATTATTGGTTTTTTTGAATCTCCATTTGCAGATGGCAGATCATTAGATTTCTCAGCCTCCATAGACATGTGAGTGAATTCTCCATAATTAAATATATTACACACACACACACATATGGACACATATATATTTAGTATGTATTATTATATTAGTATACATATATTAAATATAATCTTCTATTGGTTCTGTTTCTCTACTGAAGCCTAATAGCACACTGTCTTAATATTTAATGTGTTTTTATCACAAAAAAATGTTACTACACATAAAGCATTGGCAAAGTATTTTTGTTTCAGCCTTGGAATTACAATAATATAATTTGTAGGATTGCAATAATATCACATACACATTGTTATTTTCCTTTTGGTAGATCTTTATCTCAGTTGTTTTTTGTTATACAAAACTCATAATTGTGCTTTTTAATAAGCAAAATATTTATTTGAGAAGATATAAATTACTTTAAGACATTATTATACTGCCCTTGATGCTACAGCTGATAGTTTAATAAACCATCCCAGAGTCTCTGCCCTCATTCAGCCTTAGAAGTCTAGAGTAAATAAAAGAGTATCCCTATACTTTGTTGAAAAATCTCTCTGAGCTGGCTCCGGCTGGCAATTTTTTCTCAACTTTTCCTCTATCCCAACAAACAACCTCTGTCCATCTTATTCCTGACTCATTCTCTAAAACTAGGCCTGTCTGTAGAACAAACCATGGGAGAGAATCTACAATACCAACTTATTAATTAATAATGAAAAATAAAATGTCAACTGTACCAAAATGCTTGACTTGGAAGAACTGCTGCATGAAGTTAATTGTAATGTGAGGCTCAGTGTATTACTTTACTGTGAGGAAGAACATTTTTAAAGCACACAGCCACATTCTTTGAGTAGATCATTCCCTCCTTGTGGGCATAGTATTTGGAAGGCAAAATTATAATCAAATTTGTATAATCATAATTTCATAAGTAGTGCATGGTATATGATTTGATTTTTAAGTGACATCTCATAAAAGGAAAATGATGTTTAAATCACACAGTCTACATGAAGTCTATTTGGACATTATCTTTGAATTCCTGCACTCATTTCCCTGGACAGTGCTGGAACAGCATTACTATTCTTTGTCTCTTTAGGTTTCCCCTATATAAAAAATATAAGAGATTGTGTATAATCAGCATTGAGTTGGTATATAAAGAAAAAAAATGACATATCAGTAATATAGAAAAATGAAGTGAACAGAGGATGTATAAGGAATACAGCACTAAAGTAAGAGTATCATGAATTGGTAGGCCATGAGTTCAGGGGTAGTATAAAAAAGATATTACATTAAACTCTTAAAAGAAAGTGGGTTATATATTTTGTAGCTGTCTTCTCAGAAGAGTAATTGCAAATTTATGACTTCCATGATGATGAAGTAGTTTTAGAAGTTAAAAGGACTTGGTGGTAATGCTGAATAAATGCACTCTGCACAGGCACAACTGCCCACTACATCCATTTCTCACATCAAACAACACTGTAGAACTATAAGTTGGATCCAGAGGCATTGGGTCCATCTGAGACTCAAGCCAGTCTAAATTTAATCAGACCCTACAACCAGCCAGAGTCAGCTTTCAAACAGGTAGAACTACTACTCCAAGTATTTTGTTGTAAGGTCACAGATAATCACAGATGGCAAACATGTGGGCTCATCAAAAGAATAAGGAATTTGGGAAAATGTTGCCTCTATAGGCAGTCATCAATACTGCCTTAATTTTTGCATCATACAAAGCTACAAACATAGTTACAGAAAAATATCCAATGAAACATTAAAAACAGCTTCTCTCTGAAAGGCCTGCTAATAAATGTATATATCTCAACAAGAGAAAAAAGGGAATAGACCAACTCTCACTTATTCATTCCACCATTGACATATCTAAGACCTCTTGAACGACCTCAATTATGCCAGACATAGTAAAGGATACTTACTAACAAGTGATTATCAAGTAATTGACTTCATATTTTATCTTCTGTTTGGTGGACTCAGAATATCTATAGTTAATTAAATTAGAAAGCAATATCTGATTCCACAGTACATAGGTGATATCCAGGATGAATAAGTAGAAAAAAAAAATCCCATGCTATTTTGGTTACTGTAGCCTTGTAGTATAGTTTGAAGTCAGGTAGCGTGATGCTGGTACCAAAACAGATATATAGACCAATGGAACAGAACAGAGCCCTCAGAAATAATGCCGCATATCTACAACTATCTGATCTTTGACAAACCTGACAAAAGCAAGAAATGGGGAAAGGATTCCCTATTTAATAAATGGTGCTGGGAAAACTGGCTAGCCATATGTAGAAAGCTGAAACTGGATCCCTTCCTTACACCTTATACAAAATTTAATTCAAGATGGATTAAAGATTTACACGTTAGACCTAAAACCATAAAAACCCTAGAAGAAAACCTAGGCATTACCATTCAGGACATAGGCATGGGCAAGGACTTCATGTCTAAAACACCAAAAGCAATGGCAACAAAAGCCAAAATTGACAAATGGGATCTAATTAAACTAAAGAGCTTCTGCACAGCAAAAGAAACTACCATCAGAGTGAACAGGCAACCTACAAAATGGGAGAAAATTTTTGCAATCTACTCATCTGACAAAGTGCTAATATCCAGAATCTACAGAGAACTCGAACAAATTTACAAGAAAAAAACAACCCCATCAAAAAGTGGGCAAAGGATATGAACAGACACTTCTCAAAAGAAGACATTTATGCAGCCAAAAAACACATGAAAAAATGCTCATCATCACTGGCCATCAGAGAAATGCAAATCAAAACTACAATGAGATACCATCTCACACCAGTTAGAATGGTGATCATTAAAAAGTCAGGAAACAACAGGTGCTGGAGAGGATGTGGAGAAATAGGAACACTTTTACACTGTTGGTGGGACTGGAAACTAGTTCAACCATTGTGGAAGTCAGTGTGGCGATTCCTCAGGGATCTAGAACTAGAAATACCATTTGACCCAGCCATCCCATTACTGGGTATATACCCAAAGGATTATAAATCATACTGCTATAAAGACACATGCACACGTATGTTTACTGCGGCAGTATTCACAATAGCAAAGACTTGGAACCAAGCCAAATGTCCAACAATGATAGACTGGATTAAGAAAATGTGGCACATATACACCATGGAATACTATGCAGCCATAAAAAAGATGAGTTCATGTCCTTTATAGGGACATGGATGAAACTGGAAACCATCATTCTGAGCAAACTATCGCAAGGAGAAAAAACCAAACACCACATGTTCTCACTCATAGGTGGGAATTGAACAATGAGAACACATGGACACAGGAAGGGGAACATCACACACCGGGGACTGTTGTGGGGTGGGGGGAGAGGGGAGGGAAAGCATTAGGAGATACACCTAATGCTAAATGACGAGTTAATGGGTGCAGCACACCAACATGGCACATGTATACATATGTAACAAACCTGCACATTGTGCACATTTATCCTAAAACTTAAAGTATAATAATAATAAAATTTAAAAAAAAGAAAAAAAATCCCTCATATATTTACTTTATTTTAAAGTGATGGCTTTCACAATAAAAGAGATTCAGAGAGATGTGCTGATATTATTTTAGATATATTTCATCTTATATATGACTAGTACAGTGCTTGTTGCAGAAAGTTCACATTAGACTTGATGTATACAATTGAGTCATTAAATTTCAGCAGGAATATCCCACATATTTGTGTGTTTGGAAAAGATAAAGGAGGTATTTCTTCTGTACAGTGGTAGTCTGGCTAATGCAATTTGATGTTTTTATCAGTTATTCATAGCAGAGTTTCTATTGGGGTACAAAGATGGGAGTATGGGACAGGATTTAAGTTCTTATTTTTCAGCTTTGATTAGTCCTAAAAAGAGTAATTGTACTGCAGGATGAGGATGAATGCCATTCTCCGGTCCTTTATCCAGGTTGGTTAGGTAGATGGGCTTAATCCTATAATCCATACCTTAAATATCATTAGAAGAAAACACATATCTCTCTTCAAACACACTAGTCCTGCTGATTGTTGCCACGTGGAAGGCAACTGCTTAGAATATAGTCTTTTCCTATGTTTTATTAATGATTGATGCTAATAAGGCTAATCTGACTTGTAAGAATAATTGAGGTCAATATGTTCAGACTAGAGAGTGGAAGACTTACCGTTAAATACAAATGAAATTATAATCATCTCTATCTGAACAATAAGCACAGAGAAAGTCAGGAACACTCAAGTTAACTGTAGTCTAAATAATTATAAAAATTGAAAGACAAAATGCTTGGGTTACAATGTCTACCTACTTGACATTTCATGGTAGACTGAGCAGAGGATAAAAATATTATAGCATAAAATAACCTACATATCTCAATTCTTACTAAACATAATTAAAATTTCTTTATAATTTAATTGCCTGCCATCATGGTACATACAGAAGAAATAAACACATTTCTTAGTAAAATATCACTTGAACCTCTTTTTTCAGTAGATTCACATTCAGGAAAACACTTGGTAAATAAAGTACTGTAGAAAGAATAAAAATATAATTAATTTTTAAGTATATGTACATCATTGTAAAATAATACCCAAAGAAAGGCAATGAAAGCAATTTATCTGATTATAAATACACATCATAGAATCAATAAGGGCATGAGACTTCACTCATTTATTTTTTCTTTCAAAATATTTTGTTGGACACTTCAATATACTGAATATTGTCCCCAGCACAATGTAGGCAACAATGACTTTTATGTAATAAGTATGAACAAATATAGGTGATGATGTATTAAACCCGTGTACTTACAGCTTTTAAAGAATTTCTTTTTTATTAGAATAACGTGTATCAATAAAATTAGTAAGCCAAAGAGTAGAAACATATTTACTGTTAAATTTGACATCAGACCTGGCACAGTGGGTGCAAGCCAATAATCCCAGAACTTTGGGAGGCCAAGGCAAACAGACTACTTGAGCTTAGAAGTTTGTGGCCAACCTGGGAAACATAGTGGAACCCCCTATCACTACAAGAAATATATATATACAAAAACAAAAAATTGGCCTGAAAAGGTGATGTGTGCCTGAGTCCCACCTACTCAGGAGGTGGAGGTGGAAGGATCCTTAAGCCCAGGAGGCTGAAGTTACAGTGAGCTGAGATTGTTCCACTGCACTCTAGCCTCCAGCCTGGGCAACAGAGTGACACTGTGTCTAAAAAAAGAAAAAAAAATTAACATCAAAGGTACTTTTGACAAATAAATTTAAAAAAATGAGAGTATTGTCTGCCACATATTTTTAAATATACCCAGTTTGTGTATAAAATTAAAAACAGCTTTGCTAAGCACTATGTTGACGATGACGAAGAGTCACATGCCTTCGTCTGTGGACATGGCAGCTCTATTGTGGCTTTTTCTTCCTAGGCCTCTGTACTCTGTCCCGTGTCTCCCTACTCTGCATCCAGTGAGGTAAAAGCTCCCTTTGGAAGGGAAGTTACTACTGAGAAGTCACAGCCTCAATCAAAACGACAGAGCAGTTACATTCAATAATGCTCTGTTGGAAGCTGGATGCCCTGCTGGAAGAGTCCAGCTGTCAGCCAAAGGCCTGAATTTGAAATTAATTGAGACTGCAAAGAAAATTACCTTAGGGAGACTTCAGGGATAAAGGAGTTTGAAGGAAGAAAATGTAGACTACTTAGTCTCTAACTTGGACAAGCTAATAGTATCCTGAGGTGTAATTTGCTACGGCATAGATTCTCATCCAAAATGAAGCAATAGCCTAAATACTTTGAATATATTATACTGATCTATTTCCTCACAGAACCAACAGAGTAAAATGCCAAAAAAAAAAAAAACAAACATGATATGAACAGGCTCTCATAAGTCCACAGCTTCTGACATGAGAAAAATAAAAACAATAACACAGGAAGTACGTTGAACATCAAAGTTACTATTAGCTTCCAATCTGACCATTTCAGCATCACTCATTCAAAGGGAGCTGATGATTTGAAAGAAAAATATAGTTTCATTGTTTGTATTTTTAATTGAGATATAATTGACAAAATAAACTCCACCTATTTAAAATATATTTTTTGATAAGTTTTCATGTAGGTAGCCCTGTGAAAACATCACAACCATCAACATAGTGAACAGATCCTTCACCTGCAAAAGTTTCCTTTTGCATCTCACTGCTTCTCCATGCCTCCCTCTATCCTCATTCTCAGGCAACTGTGATGGTTAATACTGTCAACTTGATTGGATTAAAGGATACAAAGTATTGATCCTGGGTACATCTGTGAGGGTGTTGCCAAAGGAGATTAACATTTGAGTCAATGAGATGGGAAAGGCAGACCCACCCTTAATCTGGGTGGGCACCATCTAATCAGCTGCCAGCAAATATAAAGCAGGCAGAAAAACGTGAAAGGAGAGACTGGCCTATGCTCCCATCCTACATCTTTCTCGAATGCTGGATGCCTCCTGCCTTCGAACATCGGATTCCAAGTTCTTCAGTTTTGGAACTCAGACTGGCTCTCCTTGCTCTTCAGCCTGCAGACAGCCTATTGTGGGACCCTGTGATCGGATGAGTTAATATTTAATACACTCCTTTAAATAAATAAATAAATATCTATTTTATATATATATATATATATATATATATATATATATATATATATATATATATTCATTCCATTAGTTCTGTCCCTTTAGAGAACCTAATACAGCAACTATTGATCTAATTGTTGTCCTTATGGATTGGTTTGCATTTATATAATTTTATATAAAAGCAACAAAAGAGAATGCCTCTTTTTTTGTCTAACTTCTTTCATATAGCCTTATCATTTTGAGCTGATGATGAGAAGCATTCCACTGTAATGGTTATACCACAGTTTGTTCATCCATTCACCTGGTGAACACTTGGGTTATTTTGAGTTTTGGGTTAGAACAAAGTTGGATAGAAATATGTGTACAAGTATTTGTATCAAATGTGTGTGTGTGTGTTTCAATACATCCTCAGGACTAGAATGGTTGGATCATATGGTGAGTGTTTAACTTTATAAGAGGCTGCCAAAATGCTTTTCGAAGTAGTTGACCCATTTTACATTCCCACTTGAAGTGCATGAAAGGTCCAGTTTTTCCCTTTCCTTGTCAATACTCAGTATGTTTAGTATTTTTAATCTTAGCCATTCTAATAGGTGTGTAGTAGTATATAACTATGGATTTAATTTCCATTTCCCTAATGACTAATGATGCTGAGTATTTTGTCATGTGCTTATATATCATCTGAATACCTTCTTTGGTAAATATCCTATTCAGAATATTTGCCATTATTTTGTATTAAGTTGTTTACTTATTAAGTTTTGAGAATTCTTTACATTTACGGGATATATTTCTTGAAAATATTTTCTGCTATTTTGTGGCTTGTCTTTTCATCTTAATTTTATTTTATTTATTTATTTATTTTTTTAATTAGAGTCTTGCTCTGTTGCCAAGCTGGAGTGTAATGGCACGATCTCGGCTCACTGCAACTTCCTCCTCCTGAGTTCAAGTGATTCTTCTGCCTCAGCCTCCTGAGTAGCTGGGATTACAAGAGTGTGCCATCATGCCCGGCTAATTTTTTGTATTTTAGTATAGATGGGGTTTCACCATGTTGGCCAGGATGGTCTCAATCTCTTGACCTCGTGATCTGCCCGCCTCGGCCTCCCAAAATGCCGGGATTACAGGCGTGGGACACAGCGCCCGGCTACATCTTCTTAATTCTTAATGGTACCTTTTGATGAAGTCACATTTGTTCTTTTATGGATTGTGTTTTTGACCTGCCCTGAGAAATCTCAAATATGTGATCACAATTTTCTCCTGTGCTTTCTTCTAGAAGTTGTACAGCTTCAGGTTTCATTTTTAGGTATAATCCAGTGAGATATAATATTTTCAAATGGCATAAGGTCCAGGTCAAAGTTTACTTATTATTATGATTATTAATGTTACTTTTATTGTATTTTGCCTGTGCTATTCAATTGTTCCTGTACTATTTGCTGAAAAGTCTATAGTTTCCCCAACAAATTTCTTTGGTTCTTTGTGAAAAGTCAAGTTATCCACATATGCGGCTCTGTATCTAGATTTTCTATTCTGTCCCATTAGTCTGTTTGTCTATCTTTATGGCAATGCCCTAGTATCTTGATTACTGTAACTTTATAATAATGATAAAACTCAGGTAATATTAGCCCTGAAAATTTGTCCTATTTTTAAAATTTTACTTTAAGTTCTGGGATACAAGTGCGGAACGTGCAGGTTTGTTACATGAGTATACATATGCCATAGTTTACTGCACCTATCAACCCATCATCAAGGTTTTAAGATCCACATGCATTAGTTATTTGTCCTAATGTTTTCCCTCCCCTCATCTCCCAACCCTCGACTGTGTGTGTTGTTCCCTACCCTGTGTCCATGTGTTCTCATTGTTCAAATCCTACTTATGAGTGAGAATATGCGGTGTTTGGTTTTCTGTTCCTGTGTTTACTGAGGATGATGGCTTCCAGCTTCATCCATGTCCCAGCAAAGGACATGATTTCATTCCTTTTTATGGCTGCATAGTATTCCATGGTGTATATATACCACATTTTTGTTATCCAGTCTATCATTGATGGGCATTTGGGTTGATTCCATGTCTTTGATATTGTAAATAGTGCTGCAATAAATATATGCGTGCATGTGTCTTTATAGTAGAATGATTTATATTCCTTTGGGTGTATACCCAGTAATGAGATTGCTGGGTCAAATAGTATTTCTCATTCTAGATCCTTGAGGAATCACCATACTGTCTTCCACAGTGGTTGAACTGATTTACATTCCCACCAACAGTGTAAAAGCATTCCTGTTTCCCCACAGCTTCGCCAGCATTTGTTGTTTCTTGACTTTTTAATAATTGCCGTTCTGACTGGCCTGAGATGGTATCTCACTGTGGTTCTGATTTGCATTTCTCTAATGATCAGTGATGCTGAGCTTTTTTTCATATGTTTGTTGGCACATAAATGTCTTTTGAGAAGTGTCTATTCATATCTTTTGCCCACTTTGCGTTGGGGATGTTTTTTTCTTGTAAATTTGTTTAAGTTTCTTGTAGACTCTGGATATTAGCACTTTGTCAGTTGGGTAGATTGCAAAAGTTTTATCCCATTCTGTAGGTTTCCTGTTCACTCTGATGATAGTTTCTTTTACTGTGCAGAAGCTCTTTGGTTAAATTTGATCCCAATTGTCAATTTGGCTTTTGTTGCCATTGCTTTTGGCAATGTAGTCATGAAGTCTTTGCCCATGCCTATGTCCTGAATGGTATTGCCTAGGTTTACATATGTTGTGTTTTCATCTTTGCTCACTTCAAAAATATATTTTAAATTTTCCTTCTAAAATCTGTTTTTGATTCATGAGTTATTCGGTATTTTTTATTTTGTTTCCAAATATTTAGTAATTTTTTATAGGTCTTTCTGTTTTGGGGGGTTAATTTATTCATTGTGAACAGAGCATATACTGTGTATGGCTTTACTCATTTAAAACTTGTTGAGACTTATTTTATGATCTATTTTTGACAGTGTTCCATGTGCACGTAAAAATAGCTTGTATTCTGTTAATGTTGGGTTGAAATGTCTACGTGTCAATTAGATAAAATTGAATGATAATTTCTTTCTATGTATCTACTGACTTTGTGTCTACTTCTCTGTTATTGAAAGTTGTACTGAAATCTCCAACTATAGTTGTAAATTAGTCTAGTTTGCTCTTACAGTTCTATCAGTTATTGCTTTGTGTGGTTTGAAGCTCTGTTATTAGAAGCATAAATATTTAGAATTGTTATGTCCACTTGATGTATTAACCCCATTCAAGATTATAAAATGGCCTTCTTTACTGTATTGATATTCTTTGTTCTGAAAACTTGTCTGTGATTAATATAGCCACTAAAGCTTCCCTCCTCTCCCCCCAGCTCTCCTTCTAACGCCCATTTGTTATCTCACAGTTGCTTAGGTGAGGAACCTTGGTAGGCTCAACTGGGGTCTCTGCTTAGGCTTTCAAAGGCTAAAATCAAGATGTTCGCATGCATGGGATGTCATCTGGAACATGATGAAAATAATAAGCTTCTAATCTCATTCAGGTGTTTGGAAGAGTCCAGTTTCTTATGGTTTTAGGACTAAAGTCCTCATGTCTTTGCTAGCTTTTGTCTGGGGGTTGTTCTCTGCTTGTAGAGACAACTCTCCTATTCTTGCACTTGGCCCTTTTCATGAACAAGCCAGAAACAGTGTATCAAAGCCAATAATACCTAGTCCATCTCATACTTTGAATCTCCTTTACTTCCCTTCTTGCAACCAGCCAGAGAAAACACTGCTTTTAAAGAGCTATGTGAATAGATTAGCATCCTCTTCAGTCTTCCTTTTAATTCAGTCCTTTTGAGGATTGAATGATACGTCATAATAATTAATATTATAAAAATTACCTTTGCACCAACCTAAAGTAATTAATATTAATATTGTACCGAATATTAAGTTAAAGTCAACTAGAGACATTAATTAAATATTTGATATCCTTTTACCGACAAACATAACAGAATCAGGATGTGATATTTTATCACATTCATATTCTCAAAAATTTAGGTAAGAATTAAGGGAGGGGCATTTAGCAGTCGGCCAATCATATTCCCTTAGACTTCAACATTTTTTTCTCCTAAATATCACCCACTGAAGCCATGGTAATGTTCAAAACAAAGCTTATTCCCGTATTTATTGGCTCTGCTCTTATCAACATACACGTTAAAAATTTAGTAATTTTTAGCTCTTTTTTCTCCTGTAATTGCTGTCCATCTATTTAGCTATATCTATACACTACTGTCTAGTCTGCCTCATTTTAATGCATTCTCTTTATCATTAGTTTTCTATCATACTTGGTGTTTTGTATGTCTGGCTTATTGTATGTATAGTTTATAATTTTCATCAAATTTGACATTTTAGACCTTATATTTTTCAAAGTTTCTATCATTTTTTAGTGGGTTTCAATCGATTATTTTTTCTCTCTTTACATGGGTGATATTGTTCTGCTTATTTGCATGCTTGTTTATTTTACTTATCTTCATTTTACAGATGAGAAAAACTGAGGTTCACAAAGGTCAAGTAACTTTCCCAAGATTAAACAGCCTATAAGTAGAGTAGAGCTGGGAGCCAAACCCAGGAATATCTGAGTGTGTATTCCGATATGTAAGGGCATGCCCTTACCTACTATGTTATTCTCCCTCCTAAAGGCACATGGTAGTGAAACACAGCTACTACTAGAGTCTTAGTAGGGCAAAGAGCTAGTGGAGAGAATTAATCCTGTAACTTCCTGATTTTACCTTTGTTATAATCAGAACTCTGTCATTCTCCTTGCAGAATCCAACCAGCAGCCAGACGACAAGGGAGCCAGGGTACTTCAATTTGCAAAGTCAGTCTTTCAGCACAAAGCAGTGTAGAGGAGAATAAAATAAATAAATAAATAAATAGAACTAGAAGGTAGGTCAAAGATAATCAGCAATGTATATTGCTAAATATAACAAATTGGATGCAATTAAAAATAATAATAGTATTTATTTTAGACAGCCAAATCCCTCCTCTACATTAAATATTGAGTGAAATCTCAGCATAGAAAATACATAAACATGAGGCTTCTCTCACTGATGGCAGGGAAGCATCAGAGGGGTCCATCACCTTTGGCTCTTCAGCACTCTCATGGTGGACTCTGGGGCATAGTCACTCCCCCGACGACCTTTGTTAAACACAGCTGAAACACATAGTAAGAAAAGAAACTTTAGTTTCAGATGCAAATTACTGACCACATGCCCTTGTTTAAGTTTTGCATTACCTTAACCATACATAGTTTATGTATTAATAAAGCAGGGATAATGGTATTTTGTTTGAGGAATTTTGAGGGCTGATTTTTTTTGTTTTATTTTTATGTGGAGGCTTAAACAGAAAGGTCATTAACAAAGCATTTATTATTTCATTTACCTGCCACGGATTTAATTGTTTTTTCTTTGATGACAGGTCATTAAACAATGGTATCAGTTTGTTATGGAAACTTAAAATTTTGATTACACATTTGGCATTTAACTGGAGTGATTTTGCCCTATTTACTGTTAGTAGTAGCAGAATTAAGAACTACTAAATTATATTAAATTTTGTATAAAAGCTTTACTGATTTGGGATGGAGTCTTATAAAATATGCACAAGCAGCTGAAGTAAAGGAAACTAGCATTAGAAACAAAGCAAAATGGATGCTGAGTTTCTTATATTCTCAGATATGTTCCCTTCTTCTTACCTCCTAATTCAGAGAAAGATAAAAATATCTTCTGTGGTCATTGAGTCATTCAGGGTTCATGTCTGTGGAAGAGTTTATAGATATAAACATGTGGAATACCGTGTAATGTCATTGCATGATAGAGGAAACAAATGTCACAAAAGAATATTAAAACATGTGTTGTATATTAGGTTGGTGCAAAAGTAATAAGATGATATCTCTACAAAAATAAGTTATTCGATTATTTGCCATACTTTTCTAAAAGTCCCCTGGCCAAATAGAGATATGTGTTCATTCAGTGACCATGGAAACATCATTAGGGAAAAATACATCATCCAATTTGGTTGGTGCTTGAAATGTAAATTATGCTTATATTGTGGAAAATTTTTGATATGTTTTATGTAGATTTTGTACAGTGGGAAAACACAAAGTTTTTGATGAGAAATATATGATAATAGTTATGCTTGGGGAAGAATAATGAAATCAAATGATATACATATTTGAGCAGGGATGAGGTACAGACAGAACCGAGCTGAAGTCTAATTAATGTAAACAAAGAGATATACCAGATTAAAGCCAGGAGGGCATCATTTATTGGTTCCAACGGGACATTCACATACAAGTGGGATAATCCAATTCATTCATGTATTTTTCACACATAGTTATATCTATGTATTTTCCATCTGTAAATCCTCATATGGATGCAAAACATAATTTGGTTTTTCTACCTTTAATAGATAAGATGCATTTTTATATTGAACATAGAACAAGAAATGCAGTTGTTATACCATATTAAACGATCTTCTAAGATTGATTTTTATCATACAGGATCTTTAGTTTGCTGAGCATATAATCTCTTCATGCACACTATAACTTATTATATATTTGAAAAAATTAATAATCTTTGGAATTTTTAAGCTTTCAGATTGAATTGGGCTAGAATTATATTGATTTGAATAGACATGGCCACCAGTCACACAGAGTCCTGGACTCAAAAGAGCTTTGTTGGCTCACGCCTGTAATCCCAGCACTTTGGGAGGCTGAGGTGGGCGGATCATGAGGTCAGGAGATCGAGACCATCCTGGGTAACACGGTGAAACCCTGTCTCCACTAAAAAAATACAAAAAATTAGCCAGGCGTGGTGGCGGGCGCCTGTAGTCCCAGCTACTCAGGAGGCTGAGGCAGAAGAATACCGTGAACCTGGGAGGCGGAGCTTGCAGTGAGCCGAGATTGCACCACTGCACTCCAGCCTGGGCGACAGAGCGAGACTCTGTCTCAAAAAAAGAAAAAAAGAGCGTTGTACTTGATTTAATACTGTGTTATTTTCTCTCTCTCTCTCTCTATGTATATATATACACATACATATATAAATGTATATATGTATGTATATATTCTCTTTATGTATATATATTTTGAGATGGAGTCTTGTTCTGTCGCCCAGGCTGGAGTGCAGTGGGGCGACCTTAGTTCACTGCAGCCTCTGCCTACTGGGTTCAGGTGGTTCTCCTGCCTCAGCCTCCTGAGTAGCTGAGATTACAGGCGCCAGCCACCACACCTGGCTAAGTTTTGTATTTTTAGTAGAGACGGGGTTTCAGCACATTGGTCAGGCTGGTCTTGAACTCCTGCCCTCAGGTGAACCATCAGCCTCAGCCTCCCAAAGTGCTGGGATTACAGGTATAAGCCACCGCGCCTGGCTCTTTCTCTTAAAATTCTTCATAATTTTATCTTTGAATTATGATATGTAATTAAAGCCTAATGGGACAATGGAGCATGCATCAGGGGCTTGAAACTTTGGCTGAAATGCAATCCTACCTCTTACTGCCTCTCTTTTTTCCTACAATAAGTTTTCAGGTGCCCTCACCTCTGCTCCTGTCCAGCTACTGCTCAGGGAATAAGAAAATGTAGAGTTGGCAAATTCCCCATGTAACAAATAGTGGAGTAATTGGGGCATCTGGGAGCCTCCCAAGTGGAGGCCCCATGAGCATAACTATGTCAAAGGCAATGTGTCATTAACTAGCAAGTAGAAAAGCACTATAACAAGATTAGAAAGAGACTGGAAGTCCAGTCATAATGGTTTGCACCTGAGATTCCAGCTATTTGGGAGGCTGAGGTGGGAGAATTGCTTGAGGCCAGAAGTTTAAGACCAGACTGGGCTACACAGTGAGACTCCCCCCAAAAAATGTTTTTTAAAAACTAACTGGGTGTGGTGGTGCACACCTGTAGTCTCAACAACTTGAGAGGCAGGAGGAGCATTTGAGCTCCTAGGAGTCCAAGGACTCAAGCCTGGGTGAGAGGGTATGACCCCATCTCTAATAAATAAATAAATAAATAAATAAATAAATAAATAAATAAATAAAGTCCAGAGGAGAAAGGGAAGCCTTTTAGTTGCTTTTTAAACAAGAGACCACATTTTTATTTTGCACTGAGCCCAGCAAATTATAGAATTGACCCTGTGCTTAGGATTGAAGCAATGTGATGAGAACCTTGATAATCATACAGAAAAAAATTAATTAAGGAGGTAAAGATTCAAAACATTGAATGCTAGAGGTAAAAACAAAGAGGAGGCTTCTATAAGATCAAGGAGAAATGGATATAATAGGGACATTTTTAGATAAAATGCTGTTATTATGTCAAATAAATTTTATTGTCAAAATTTCCTGTGAATTATGTGTTTCTCACAAATCGGCTATAGAAGTGTGGTATGTTTCATGGTGAAAGAACAGGAAAGATAAGTAATATAAACAGTGTGATCTCATGTGAAGTAATCTCAAGTGAACAACATGCAATTATGAGTACTAAAAAACTAGTTATACCCAATAAATTAACATTTACAAACAATTTAAATATTATTTTTAAAGGGTCTTTAAAATATTTTCTTTTCCTGATAACACATCATGATTCAGAAGAGATATAATAAGAATTTGATAATATATAATAGGGATATGATAGCAGGTGTTAAAAGAAGAAGGAGCTATAATGAGTGAGTGAGAAATATAATCCTGAAAATGTGATATATGAATGTATATAAGAATTGAGGATAAATGAAAAAAAAAACTCTTCAAATTTCAAAGCTATTTGATTACAAAAGTAATAATAGAAATAGATAGTTGGAAATGTTGGTGTGTCTTAATTGAAAGACATTGAATAGTTGGAAGCATAAATAGTAAAAAAAAAACTAATGAGAAAAAGTATAAAGTAAATATATTTTATGTATAGTAATTATTCCAGGGCAAGTATAGATAAAAATGAAGCATTATTTTAGTGTCATAATCAACATAAGGTCATAAAAGTTCATGTAAGTTCTCTCCAAGGAGATTTTTTCCACTGAGAGTTAAATTATGAGAAAGAGTGAGCCATGTGAAATGAATAAAGAAGAGTTTTGCCTCAGGAGTTCTGCAAGAGCAACATGCCTAGTTTTGGAAAGTGCTTTAATTTTTGAAGAATAAAAAGAACACTAGAACACTAGTGTGTCTGGAGGACAGAAAGCAGAAAGAAAAGTTGTTTATGGGAAGTGCAGATAGGCTTTGCAGACCATGGGAGGAGTCTGGATTTTCATTTCTGTGGTAATTAGTGCCATTCTGAAATTCAGCTTTTCACCTGGCCAATAATATGATCTTATTTTGTTTTAAGAAGAACCATGTTGATATGGCTCAATTTTGTTGCCTGTTCTTTAAATATTATATCTAAAAAATTGTTGCTAAGACCAATGTCATGAAGATTTTTCACTGTTTCCTTCTATGAGTTTTACACCTACAGGTTTTATGGTTATGTCTTCAAGCAAATCAAATGTTTGATTTGATTTTTCTGTGTGGTGTAAGATAGAGGTCCCAATTTTTTTTTTTTTTTTTTGCATGGGGTTATCCAGTTTTCCTGACAATTATTGAAGAGACTATCTTTTTCCAATTATGTATTCCCAGCAACCTTCTAGAAGATCAATTAACTGTACATGCATGGATTTATTTCTGGATTCTCTCTTCTGTTGTATTGGTCTATATGTCGGTCTTTATGCCAGTACAATACTGTTTTGATAACTATTGTTTTTGAATATATTTTGAAGTTAGGAAATGAGATGTCTTTAACTTTGTTTTTTGCTCAAAATTGTGCTAGCTAATGAAGGCCACCTCCCTGGTTCAAGGCCACCTCCCTGGTTCAAGTACTTGTCCTGCCTCAGCCTCCCGAGTAGCTGTGATTACTGGTGCACACCACCACGCCTGGCTAATTGTTTTGTATTTTTAGTAGAGACAAGTTTTCACCATGTTGGCCAGATTGGTCTGGAACTACTGACCTCAGGCAATCTGCCTGCCTCGGCCTCCCAAAGTGCTGGGATTACAGGCGTGAGCCACAGCACCCAGCCCTGTATTTTTTAAAATTAAAAATGATAATTTTAGAGACAGAGTCTTACTCTGTTGCCCAGACTGAAATAAAGTGGCATGATCATAACTCACTGCAGAGTGGATCTCCTGGGCACAAGCAATTCTCCCTCTCAGCCTCCTGAGTAGGTAGGACAATGGGTACACACACCTATGTCTGGATTATTATTTATTTTGTGTTTTTGTAGAGCCAAGGTCTCACTATGTTGCCACGCTGGTCTTGAACTCCTAGCCTGAGACAATCCTCCTGCCTCAGCCTCACAAAGTGCTGGGATTTCAGTTGTAAACCACTGTGCCCAACTCTCCATCCCTTTTAATGGCTTCTTAGCTAATTTCCTTTTAGCACTGAACAATATTTAATTGTCTGGATGTATCACAATTCATGTAACCATTCTTCTACTAAGAGACATCTTGGTTGCTTCAAAGATGAATAAAGCTTCTATAAACGTGTGTTCAGGTTTTTGTGAGGTCACAAGTTTTGTTCTCCTTTATGTAAATACCAAGAAGTTCAATTGCTGGATCACATGGTATGAGACTATTTCATTCTGTAAGAAACTACCAAAATGTCTTCCAAAGTAACTGAACCATGTATATTTCCATGAACAATGAATGAGAGTTCCTGTTTTTCCATGTCCTTGGTAGCATTTGGTGTTATTCTATATGAATTTCAGAATTGTTTTATCTATTTCTGTAAACAATATCATTAGGTATATTTGCCAACTAAAAATATGAATATTTAAGTGGTATGGTTAATTATTTGATATACATTATAAAATAATCATAATCAAGAAAATTAGCATATTTATCACCCCAGTTACCATTTTTGTCTTTCTGTTTTTGTGGTAAGAACACTTGAGATCCATCCTGTTAGCAAATTTCAAGTATATAATATAGTCACATGTTTTATAATAGATTTCCAGAACTTATTCATCTTGCACAACTGAAACTTTGTACCCTCTAACAAACATCTCATTTCTGCCCCCACAAAGTAAAACATTAAAAAATTAATGGAAATTTTGCCTGCCACTTAGTAAGGAATCAATTTTTGGCAATGTTACTATTATTCAGATGACTTCTCCTCTCTAATGAGAAGCAACATCTGCCATTAAAATATATATGCCAGTTGGATTTGGTAGGGATTACTTTATTAAATGTGTGAATCACACGGGGTAGTATGGGCATTTCAACAATATTAAGTCTTTCAATCAATGAATGTGGAATATTTTCCCATTCTTTTGTGTCTTCTTTCATTTCTTCATCAAACTAAAACACTTCTGAACAGCAAAGAAAAAAAATCAGCAGAAAGAAAAGACAACGTACTGAATGGAAAAAAAAAAAGTATTTGTAAACCACATAGACTTGGGGTTAATTTCCAAAATATTTAAGAAACTTTTACAATTCAATAGCAAAAAAGTACATATGCAATAACCCAATTAAAAATGGGCTAAAGATTTGAATAAACATTTCTCAAAAGAAGAAATGTAAATACTCAGCATGTATATGAATATTTGCTCAATGTCACTACTCCAGAAAAATGTGACCCAAAACCACAATGATGTATATAACCTCACTCCCATTACGATGACTGTGATCAAAAAGCAAAAGACAAGTATTGACAAGGACGTGGAGAAACTGGAACCCTTGTACACTGTTGGTGAAATGCAAAATGGCTCAGCTGCTCTAGCAACAGCATGGAGGTTCATAAAAAAAATTAAAAACAGTACTACCATATAGTTCAACAATCCTACTTATGTTTATTTGTCCAGAATAATTAAAATGATAACCTTGAGGAGATAGTAGCATCCAATGTTTACCATATAACTCTTCATAATTTTCAAGATGTGGAAACAATCTAAATGTTCATTGAAAGAAGAATAAAGAATAAATGAATAAATAAGAATAAAGTAAATGTGGTACATGTATACATGTAAGTATTAGTCAAGGTTCTCCAGGGAATTGACACAAATAGGAATTGACACAAATAGGAATTGACTCACATGATGTGGGGACTCAGAAGTCCCAAGATCTGCCATCTGCAACTTGGATAACCTGAAAAGTTTTAATTAAATCTTAGTCCAGAGGCCTAAGAACCAGGGTAGTTGATGGTGTAATTCCAAGCCCGTGTCTCAAGGCCTGAGAACTAGGGGTGCTGATGGCTGAGGACAGGAGAGAATGTATGTTTCATTTCAAATATGGAGAAAATGTTTCCTTTTTCCACCTTTTTATTCTATTCAGGCTCTCAGTGGATTGGATGATGCCCACCCTAATTGGTGAGGGTGATCTTCTTTAGTCTGTTCAAATGCTAATCTCTTCCAGAAACACCCTTACAGAGAAACACAGTCAGAAATAATGCTTTACTAGCTATCTGGGCATTCCTTAGCCTAGTCTAGTGGACACATACAATAAGCCATCATAACATACAATGCAATGTTAATTATTCAGCCTTATAAAAGGACAAAATCTTGCAATATGCAATAACAGATGAACCATGAAGATATTATGCCAAGCAAAATAAGACAGTAATGGAAGCACAAACACTGAATGATTCCACTTATACAAGGTAAATAAAATAGCCAAACTTGAAAAACCATAGAGTAGAATGGTAGTTACCAGGTCCTAAGGGGTGGGGGAGGAGAAAATTTAAAATTGCTAATAAATTGTTATAAAATTTCCATTAGGTGAGATGAATACATTCTAGAGATCTGTTATACAATATTATGCCTATGGTTAAAATATTGTATTGTATACATAAAAATGAATTAAGAGGCCGGGCACGGTGGCTCACGCCTGTATTCCCAGCACTTTGGGAGGCCAAGGTGGGCGGATCACCTGAGGTCAGGAGTTCGAGACCAGCCTTACCAACATGGAGAAACCCCGTCTCTACTAAAAATACAAAATTTGCTGGGCGTGGTGGAGCACGCCTGTAATCCCAGCTACTCGGGAGGCTGAGGCAGGAGAATCCCTTGAACCCAGGAGGCAGAGGTTGTGGTGAGGCAGAGAGAAACTCTGTCTCAAAAAAAAAAAAAAATGTATTAAGAGTACATCTCATGCTAAATTTTCTCACCAGAATAAAAAATATTTAAAAAGGAAGAATTTATTTAAATTAAAAATATCTTCTATATAAAACATTTGTCATACAGACACAAAAGTGGAAGTATAAAGACAAATCCAGGAGAGTTTGTAACTTATAGGAGAGAACTGATGGGGACTTAGACCACAGTGGAGATACAGATGCCAAAGGAAAAAAAAAAAAGGCTGGCTATTTGATATATTTTGTAAATAGAATTGATTTTGTGTCTTGCAGAATTGAGTTTAAGAATTTTTTGAGACTGAAGGAACAGTTAAAGAAATCTAGATTTCATATTGCACAACTTCTTAATATTAATATAAGTATAAAACTATAGAAGGAATGGAATAATCAGGTGAAATTTTCATTAAAGAAGTTTCTATTTAAAAAAAATTATTTTGAAATGTTTAAGAGATAGCCACGTGATGAAATCAAGCAGAAAATGGTTATGGGCTTCTTAAATTTGGGTAATAAATCTATGTTAAAGCAGTAGATCTTAGGATCAACATAAAATTTGTGGACAGAATTAACTCACAGATTCTGCATTGTAGGTTAGAGCAATGTCCAATATTGTAGATCAAGTAGAGAAAGAGCATATAGCATGGGAGACTGGTCAAAGATGAAGAATGCTATTTGGTATTGAGAAATATGAGGATCAAGTTTGTGGCTCATTGGATATTGTCTGTAATACTGTCGAGAATGGTTGAAATAGCTATTTTAAGCTCAGCACTACAATTTTAAATAGTTCATTTAAAAAGCTGGTAATGAACGCAAGCAGGAAAATACAGTAGTTGGAGAAGAATGCAGTCAGGAAATGATTTTCTTTAGATGGGAAATAAGATAATATCTTTGGATGGATAAAGCAAATACAGAGCAGACAGGGAAAGTCACACAGGCAAGAGGGGATAGTACATGCAGCATAACCTTGAGAGAATGGAGAGGACAGGATCAAGTCAACGTGTGGAGGGACTGCCTTTGAGAAGAAGGGAAGGGCTACTTTTTTTATAAAAGAAAGGATGAAGATGGTTTAGTGAAAATAAGATTGTGAATTTGGCAATAGGAGCATGAGGAAATTGAGTTGTAATGGCTTCTTTTTCTTCAGAATAGAGAAAAAAAATTGTGAGAGGTTTGAAGAGAAAGAAATCATTAAGTAATCTTCTCATAGAACAAAAAAGCATGGCCACTAGTGGATAGGCTTGCAGGACAAAATTGATTACTAAATTCTGATGTGAGATTGTTAAAGTGAAAGCAGTTTACTCAGTTATATGATTTTCTGCAGAAAACTCATGCGTATGGATGGTCTTGGACAGCATTAAAGTGTAAGGTTGCTGTCCCCAGCTTATAAAAAACACTTATACCAATTCAAGCCTTTATTACTCATTAAATTGTGTCAAATATTGGGAAACTATTATTCTGCAAGCCTTCATTCCACATAGGACCATTAGGGAGGAAGTCAGGTTGCCTACTTGCTTTACAAGACAATAAAGGATTGGTTTGTGTGTGTGTGTGTGTGTGTGTGTGTGTGTGTGTGTATACACACATTCTTTTATAGAGGAGAAATGGAAGCAAAGGAGATGACATTGAAAAATCCACAAATAATAATTTACATTTGAGAAAATCCCCCAGTACTTCTATGAATAAGATCAAGGGCAAAAGTGTGCTCTTTTACATGCCAGAAACCTCAAGAATTTTTCGTAAGGTACAGTTCAAGGAAAACCAAGCAGCTCTTGACTCAACAAATAAAAATGTAAGTCTGTCTGAAGAATTAGTGAACCAGGGCACCCAGTCAGCTTTCTCCTAAAATAAATTTGGAGAGCTGAAAGATATGGATGAGGTCAGATTTCTAAAAAATCAGTATACACACAGTGTTTTAAGAATAAAAAACAGATTGATTAAAGGGAAAAATAATTTGTAAATAACAGAAGCCATAACTTAGAGATAAAAATAACTGTCCTCTGATTAACAGAACTTTTAGAATGATGAGAAAAATTAATAACACAGTTAAAGATATCACAGTGATTTTTAAAAATATTTCAAGGTTGAAGAAAAAATATTCCTATGAGAATACAGGCTGAAAAAGATCAAAGTAAAATGAATCAGGTCGGTATCAGAAATTTCAGTGATATACAATGAAGGAATAAAATGGAGCAGCAGCTATAGTTTTGAAACAAAATGTATTTTCCAAGGTTCTTGTACCCAACCAAATTATAACTTATGTGTTAGGACAATAGAGAAGTAATTTTAGCCAAAGAAATAATCTGAAATTATAGCATCTATGCACATTTATTGAAACAAGAAACTCAGAAATCAAAATAGCCGAGAAATTAATAAAATATTCAAAAGGAGGAAAATACATTTTAGAATAAAGCATAATGAGGAATAAAATCACTATGACTTTTTGAAAGTATAAAAATTGTTATTTTTTTCTATGAATACTTGCTCAAATTTAAAGTAGTGGATTTAATGTTGTAGCGCTAAGTATTCAGCCAAGAGGTAGAACTAATAAATAAAAATGATAGTTCTTTTAAAAAAACATAAAAATAATTATCTCATGAGTAGCCTAAGAAAAAAGCAGAGAAAGCATGCAAACATATAATTTAGAATAAGGAAGGATGTAAAATGTGATTTGGAGAACATAAGAGTAGATAGATATGGACAGAATGTAAAATCTTGATAAAATATTTTTTTTCTAGAAAATGCTCATATATTTAAAAAATAAACCCATCCTGGTAATTGTGTTCTAGTTTTAAAAGACTACTCAATTATTAACTGATAATCTATGTAGTGGTGATAAAATATATTTTCATAAAAACTTTTATTTTCTATTAATTTGCTGTATCATTACCAAGCTTATTAATCATGAGAATAGGGAAAATTCTTCTCTTCCCAAGTGTGTTATAATATTCTGAAAAGAATTACACTATCTTATACCCACCCCTTAACCAATTGCCAAGCACATTGTGTATCCTCTATAATTGGGTGAGGAGCATTTAGGGTAATTTAAATTATCTTCCTTGAGGAAATGGTGTTGAGCTGAGGTGGGAAACATAAATAGGAATTAACTAAGAAAACAATGGTGGTAAATTATCTTTTTCAAACAGAAGTAAAGCATATGCATTATGAGAATATGTAATAAGGCTAATGTGACTAGGTGAAGAGAGAGTAATTAGGGACAAGGTGATGCTGAATATGTAAGCAAGCACTAGTCCAGGAAGGAAGTGTGTATATTAAGTGACTTTACCTTTAACTTTATGAAAACAAAGCATCATTCAGTAGTTTGAATCTGTTTCCCTGAATGGCTAACTTTCACTCTCAGAATGGCCTTTGGCTCTGCAGTGTCTACAGCGACCTCCTCACAGTCCTTAATTTTGAGTAGAACGTTTGACAACTTCAGTTTAGGAACTGTTTGTTTTCCTCTGACCCAAACAAAACCAGCCATTTGGCAAACCCAAGCCACATAAACAGAACTCTCAGTCAAGTTTTCTAATCCTAAAAGAATCCTCCGTAGGGGAAACATTTCTACATGTAAACAACAGAGGAAAATTATATAGATATAATAATCATTGTAATCCTTTATTTGTAAATATCAAAAGACAATTAAGAATTTCTGGGCACAGGTGAATGAATAACCAGCACCATAAAAAGGAAAGATTAAGATTAAATATACATGAATGAATTAATAAAACTAAACTCAATGGAACTGAAGGTAATTTAGCGCATCAAAAATAAATATATTGGTTTTTCAAGATATTTGGGAAAAAATATTACATCCACAAAAAAGCATAGAATGACCTTCATGCATGTGGTAATACAAATATTTTTGCCAGACTATGTTGAAGCAGCATTAGGTACAATCATCTGAAAAACAAAACACCAGAAGTTAAGAATCACGAGCCCCTAAGCTTGGTTGATCTTCAATCCTTTCTGAATATTTTAAACAGCTGTAAGAGCTTTGAGGCAAACCCAAAACCAAAACCTGGCCTCTCCTAACCCAGAAACTGTGATTCAATGGATTCAGTGTGATTGCTGGACATCAGAATTTTTTAGATTTCTCCAGAGTATTCGACGGTTCATCCAGGTTTGAGCCCCACTTCTTTAAGACAGATATCGCCACACAACCCTGACCTTTGTTATTTCCACATAATGTTTTAAATTCTGTCTGATCTCTATTCCAGGCTGGAGATAATTTTCATAAAAGCTCTTCACACTGTGCTACAGTGCTATTTTCCTCATGTGAATCCGTCTTCAGAATTCATAACAGTGCATGATACATAAAGTAGATTGAAAGGAAAAAATAAGTCTGCTTATTGATGGTACTCCTTAATTCCAACAGGAATTTACTAGTTCTAAAATGTATCATTTATAACTTATTATAATGTACTATATTAAGAATGCTCTCAGCTTGCAAATATCAGTCATTTGTGATTCTGTTGGATTTCATTTATTTTATAAATAGTTAGCTGTTCCTTTTCTCTGATGCAGATGTGACTCCAAACTGTACTTGAGGGGAAGGAAATGCATAGTTGCTGTGTTTTATAGTGGTACCAAAGTCATTCAATAGAATGATTGCCTTTTCCTATATAGTACATAATATATTAACTTTCTGCCATTGAATAGCAAAAATATCTCTACTCCATTGTGTGTTCCTACATATCATGTATCACAATATTAATAAATCTACATTCTCTTAACATTACTCGCTGAATTGATTTAGTTTTATGCAGCAGGACATTCAAACAGCCTTGTCAATTCAGATCATATGTATCATTAAAATTGTAATTGAAATAACAAATCCATGAGAGCCCTTAAGATTTCAACAATATATTTATACGGTACACAGCTACCAAATGAGGACTGGTAATTTTTCTTCCTTTTTTCCTGCGGTTTCTGTTTCCAAACGTAAAATTTACGTCAGTGTTCAAATATACTGGTGTTCGTAAAAATGCAAAAATTCATCACTTGCCATTAACTATTATGCCTATAGGCATAAAGTTGTAAACAATTTTGTAAATGCCACACCCATGTGACTACAGTAGCATTAAGGCTTCTGAAACTGGGGTTAGAAATTGCCAAGAGTTCCCTGAAATGGCACAGTGCTCTTAAACTCTTAAGTAGACAGTAATTGAATGAGCAGACTTCTATATAAACTGGTCAGATATAATAGATGTCATATGCAAATTATGATCAAGTACGAATTAGTTGAAAGTTGAGAAAGATAAACAGATAATTTATCTTTTCAGAAAATTAAATAATCCTCTGAAAACAAAATTTGGTGAGTATATTTTAAAAAATAAGAATTGAAATACAAATCTGTCTTATGGGGAGTGGAACTGTTCTGGAAGGGCTCTGAGTCAATTAATCAGCTCCCTTTTTAGATGAATTTTATTCCTTAGCTGAATTTCTACAGTGTGTTTCTTAAAATAATGAGATGCAATTTTCCAGCCATATCTTATGTTTTTGCATGTCTTTCAACAAAGTCTGTGTACACAGACAGCACAGACTTTAATTCTGCACTATGCTCTTTCAAAGATGTTTGCATAACAAAGAGCATTGAACAATAGAGATCACACTGGCTTCTGGAGTAGAGAGCTGGAATGTTTGCTGTTCAATGTAATTAATATAAGATCTCACTCTGGGGCTGTGGTTTGGCACATTTGCCTGCAGCCCATTACAAAACGTGGGTTTCTTAAACTCAGGATTACTTGGCTATGAAGCAGTCTCACTGCCTATGAGGCATCCATGTGCCTACTTACCTCTCTTTCTTTGGAGACAAACAGTTCTTCCCATTAGACAGCCTCTCATTGACAGACAGCCTCTCAACAGACAGCCTTCACATTGAATTGCCATAGTTTACTATGACTTGTTATATTACTATCAATCTAGAATCTGAGGAGGGATGGCTACCTTACAAAACGTGGCTTCATTAAGAATAAAAAGGAGAAGATGTACTCTATATAAGAAACCAAATATCATTACTTGTGAAAATTTCTGGTATTTTAATAAGATAGCTTGTATCTATGTGTGGTCTTGGTATTAATATGTATTATCTGGACACTTTAGACTTATTTATAATTTGGAATGATTTTCAAAATTATCTTCTGAAATTTTCTAGGTATGACATTATGTTATCCACAGAGTGATGATATTTGAAAAGAGGAGGCAAAGAAATACTTCTCATCATTTTCTCTTTTAAGCTGGTTAATCCAAACAATATAAAACTATTTTGATCAAAATAACCATTCTTACTATTCTTTTTTTTTTTTTTTTTTTTTGAGACAGGGCCTTGCTCTGTCATCTAGGCTAGAATACAGTGGTGTGATCTTGGCTTACTGCAGCCTTGATCTCCTGGCTTCAAGCGATTCTTCTACCTCAGCCTTCCTGGTAGGTGGGACTACAGGCACATGCCACCACACTTGGCTAATTTTTCTTTATTTTGTATATAGATAAGGTTTCACTATGTTGCCCAGTCTAGTCTCAAACTCCTGGGCTCAAGTAATCCACCAGCCATGTCTTCCCAAAGTGTTGATATTACAGGCATGACCCACTGCACTTGGCCAAAATAACCATTCCTGACCAACCATTTCTAAATTTTATTTTATTATGTTTAAATAAATATGTTTTGGCTGGGCACGGTGGCTCACGCCTGTAATCCCAGCACTATGGGAGGCTGAGGCAGGTGGATCACGAGGTCAGGAGTTTGAGACCAGCCTGGCCAATATGGTGAAACCCAGTCTTTACTAAAAATACAAAAAATTTAGCCAGGCGTGGTAGTGGGCACCTGTAATCCCAGCTACTCAGGAGGCTGAGGCAGGAGAATCGCTTGAATCCAGGAGGCAGAGGTTGTGGTGAGCTGAGATTGTGTTGCACCACTGCACTCCAGCCTAGGCAACAGAGCAAGACTCTGTCTCAAAAAAGGAAAAAAAAAGATATGTATGTTTTATTATTTATCATTTTATTTTTTTTAGCGACAGGTCTCACTCTGTTGTCCAGGCTGGAGAGGAGTGATGTGATCATAGCTCACCGTAGTCCTGAACTCCTGGGCTGAAGTCATCTTCCTGCTTTGGCCTGTCAACATGTTTGGATTACAGACATGAGCCTCCACACCCAGCGTGACCAACCATTTTAAAGTCACATTATTTTCTAAATGAACCAATCAGTAAAAAGTGGCTTTAATCTAACAGAAATTTTGAAGCTTAACAAATGGCTGTAAAATTAATCTGGAAGAAATACAAAGAATAACAGTTTTAAAAGGTATATCATGTAGAAGCTCCCTACTAGGTAGGAAAAAAACATTATAAATTTACAGTAACTAAATCAGCTTGATTGTGGTATAGGAATAGACAGATAAATTACTGAAGGTATGCATCCTTTTTAAATATGAATCCAAATGTGTGAATATTTAGTGTATGATAAATATGGAACTTAAATTATTATGAAAATAATATATTTCAGTAGTTACGGGACTGCAAATATTCTGGTTGTCTAAATTATTATACTAAAGATAATGTTGAGATGTATTAAGGGTATTTATGTAAAAATGCAGAATAAAAGCACTAGATTAATTATTTTAAAATAACCAAATAATCTCTGGGTAGAAATGATCTTTTTAAGCATGTCAATATTTTAGGCATAATGTATTTAGACACATTCTACTCTTAAATAAACTGCATATATGATTCCAGTAAACCCAGTAGTCTGTACTTTGAAAATAAAACCAAGGCTTGGTTTTGAGATCCAGCAACTATACTGGAACATTCTAGACGTCTTGTGCTAACTGTAAGATTGGTTTGTCATAATTTTTACGGCAACAATGGAAAAGTAATACAGGAAATCTTTGCTTATGTGACACTCTGAGATCAATTTGTCAGAACTAACAAAATTACAAAATTAATTATTCATTGACTTAAATATGTAATTTCTATCAACTTACATTTCAGCCATCCTCAGATGGACACACAGAAATAAAAGATCCAAAGATATTAATTTTTAGCATTGTTTGTACTAGCAAAACTAAAACAAATAAATGAGAACTACATAAATAGCCATAAATAAATTTAATTTTTGTAATACACAATATAATAAAATATTCAGCAGTATATTGACATAGACACCTCACTGTTGACACAGAAATATCACTAAGATAAAGTGTTTGCAGGCTTTTAAAAAAGTTAAAAAGATTTGTATGTGTGACATGGGAATATCATGATTCTATATCATTGATAAGTGGAATATATTTCTGACTATAGACTCTCTCTTTATATGAATACATTAATCTAGAATGTTTTATATCTAATACCCAATGTAGGCACATTTTTCAGTAATAGTTTAGGGGGAATAATAGGAATAAAATAGGAAAGTTTTCATTTATATTTTTCACTTTTTTACATTTTTTAGTTTCTACAAATGCTGGCATTATTTTAGTAATCGTGACATGGACAACAATTACTTTACACCCAGAGCATGGTTTGTGTTTCAGGAGGTGGATAAGGTGTGCATGCATACCTATTATCATATGTGCTCCATATCCCAAAATAAAAGATTTCCATTTACATGACATAATCATAAGACTATACCTCATTGGATACTGAAAACTAGAGGAAGTAGCCATCCAGTTCTGAGAAAATTCAAGGAAAAAGCAGTGGTCGTAAACATAGTTCAGTTTATAGACTGTGCTATGGACATTCATACAACTTTCTTTACTGAGAAACAGCAGCATACTTGGATAACAGGGGGATAACACGTTGCAAAAACCCTCAAACACCTCCAGATTTGTAGGTCAGGGTAGGAGACATGCTTCTCCCATGGGTCACCGAAGCAGCAGGCCACATACACTGTCCCTGATGGTGTAATCAATTACAATTCCACACAGCACAGTGGAAAACACAAGTAGGAAGACTGAGGATTTGGAGATCACCGCTGTTACAGCAAGCCATAGGAAACAGAGAGGGATAAATGCAGCAATGAGCTGGCAGAACGAGTAGACTAAGAGAAAAGCTATGAAAGAAAAATAACCAGCTTCATCAAACACAAAATAAAAAAAAATACAGAGATCAATTTCTCTTGGACTGCCAACAGCTCTGACACCCTTCCCAATTAAGCTGATTCACTGCTCAAGTGGTAACATAAATTTACATTAGCCAGACTTGCAGCTTAAGCTTTAAACGGACCTTCTAACAGATTACAAGTGGACAGTTACTGGTACCAAGGAGAAGCCACACATGAAATTTTTAGTAGAGTAAAAAACGTCTAGGTGTCATTGATGTCAGCTAATGAGAAAACCATTCAGAAAAATAGCATAAAGTCTATAAACTAATTTTGCAGCTTAAAGAGAAGATTTGAGACTGAGAAAAGTAACCACTTTTATAAAAATAAATAATGTAGCAACAAAATTGATAACATATCAGCTTTGTATTTTCCAAATCTTGTTTGAAAAAACAGAGCGCCATTAGACAGTACATATTTAAACTTCTGTGAGAGAAGCAAAGAAGTGCTTGGAAGAAAATACAAAGCCTGAAATGTTATTTTCAAGGATGAAAGAATAAAAATAGTAAAATTAAGCATTCAATGCAAGAAGGCTAAGAAAACTACTAGGAGAAATGAATTCACAAAGACAAAAAATAAAATTTCCAGAACCTAAAAACAGTGAAAACAGAAAAAATTTAAAAATTAACCCAAAAATTGGTTCTTTGAAAAGATTACTAAAATTAATTTAAAAATAGTTATTTAAAGCATTAGGCGATATACCTAATGTAAATGATGAGTTAATGGGTGCAGCACACCAACATGGTACATGTATACATATGTAACAAACCTGCACATTGTGCACATGTACCTTAGAACTTAAAGTATAATAAAAAAATTAAAAAAATAAACGTGATGCACTTAAAGTAAAAAAAAAATAGTTATTTAAAAATAACTATTAAACATCTAGTAAGTAAGCATATTGAAGAAAAGTGGGAAAATATCTGTAAAATGTGAGTCTGTAATAAAACATGCTGCAATATATTTTGGAAATATATATTTATGTGTATATACTTAACACATAAACACACAGAAACAGAGAGAATGTGTGTGTGTGTGTGTGTGTGTGTGTGTGTGTGTGTGTGTGTATGTGTGTTGGTTTTAAACTATAAACTAAAGCTGTTTAGATACTATAATTGAGATATATTTAGTTCAAGGAGTGGTTAATTATGATTTAATCAATGATTATAATTCAGAAGTAGCTATCATAAATGCTTCAACTTCCTTTAACTCTAAGTCACCATTATAGGACTTTTAAAAAATTAGCTACATGAACGCTACAGTTATGTTTTCAAATTGATAAAATTGTGGTAAATCAAATATATGGAGTTGCTACAAATATAATATAGACACAGTCTACGATTAAATAAATTGTGCATAATAGTCTAGTGAACACTATAGTCTGCACTTTGAAATTGAAACTGAGCTTGGTTTTGAGTCCCGCAACTATATTGGAACACTCTAGGTTTCTGATGTCTAGATAACTGTAAGATTAGTTGAATCCTGGATTACTGCTATATGTCTCTATGGAAGAAATTTAGTCTCAAACACCCATTTGTCCCCTTTTTCTAACTTTTGGAACCTGTAGAAACCAAATGAGAAACTTGCGCATGAGCAAAGTAGTTCAGGCAAATTTGCAACCTGCATACACAACATGTTAGAATAATAAAGAAGACATTGTCATATATTTTGTAAGTTACGAACAGTTTATTAGACAACCACATGTAGACTCAAATCTATGAAATAAGAAAATCCTCGGTGAACTAAATAATCTTCTAGGAATAAGCCCTCAAAGACTAATGAACATAAAACTAAAATTTAAATATTGCCTTAGATTTAAAAGAATCAAACTGCTTCCCCAAACAAGGCTTAAGATTATTTACAAGTTACAAAAATATTTAGCACTCAATTACATAAAGTTTACAATGTCTGGTATCTAATAAAACATTATGAGGTATGGGATGAAACAGGAAAATATGATCTATAATGAAAATAAATGAATTAGTTGAAAACCACCCAGAACTGACACAGATGTTAGAATGGGCAGGGGCAGGCATTATAACAATTAGTAAGACTGTATTCCATATGGTGACCCACTTTGAAGAATAGTTTAGCAGCTTCTTAAAAAATTAAAAATATACCTACCATCTGATCCAGATATTCCACATCCAAGAAAATTAGAAGCATATGTTTATACAAATATTTGTAAGTAAATGTTCATAGCAGTTTTATTTTTAATACCTGAAACCTGGCCAAGCACAGTGGCTCATGCCTATAATCCCAGCACTTTAAGAGGGTGGAAGTGAGCGGATCACTTCAGCTTAGGAGTTTGAGACCAGCTTGAGCAACATGGCAAAACCGTGTCTCTACAAAAAATACAAAAACTGTAATAGCTGGGTGTGGTGGCATGTGCCTGTAGTCCCATTGGCTGGGGAGGCTGATGTGGGATAATCACCTTAGCCTGGAAGGTTGAGGCATCAGTGAGCTGTGATCATGCCACTGCAATCCAGCATGGTGTCAGAGTGAGACTCTGTCTCAAAAAAAAAAAATAATAATAATAATAATACCTACAACCTAAAAACATATCAAATATTCAGTCACAAGCTATGCGATAAACAAATCATGGTACATCCATGTAATGGGATGTTACTCTGCAATATAAAGAAATGAGCTAGTGACACAGACAAGATGAATGAATCTCAACATAATTATGCTACATGAAAGAAGACAGAGTACATGTTGAAAAATTATTTATTTCTATGAAAGTCTAGAAAAAGCAAACAAATCTATAGTGACAGAAAGGAGAACAATTGTCTTGTGAGGACTGGTGGTAGGATAGAGGGTTTACACAGACACACAATGATATATTGAAGGGTGATGGGTATATTTATTATCTTTATTGTGATTATTGTCTTATATGCATATATACACAGAGAAATTTTTCTCTGTATATACACACATGTGTATACACATATATACAGACATATATGTATAACCTACATATATGTGTGTACTGCCCAAATTTATCAAACATTAACATGTATAATAGACAAAATGTGAAAACAAGCCAGTGTCAATCCACAGGCTAATGGATAAACACTGCTATTTATTTTACGTCAATTTATACTTCAATAAATCTGTTTTAAAATACCAAGAAAATGTAGTTTTTACTAGCTGGAAATTAAAAATTACCAAGCTATAGAAAATATCTATACTATTTTAACTGTATGTCATCATAGAAAACTAAAAAATTTCTTTCATATATTTTTACAAAACAAACATGATTTTTAATTTTTAAATAGTACAAAACTGTAGTGTAATTTCATATTTAGAAATTTTAAATAACATTTTGGACAGACTCCAGCATTAACCCCAATAAGTTAGAAGAACAATTATTATTGTTTTCTCCCACAGTATTTTATAATTCTATTTTAAATATGAAAAATTAATTAAAAATAAAATAATGCACACAAGAAAAAGTATTTCTATTTTATAATAAGTCTCTGCAAAACTCCTTAAAATACTTAGAAAAACCATGAGAAAGTAGACAATTATTAGAAGAGCTGATTGAAATGTAAAAATACAAAAAAGTAGTTTCTCATTGTTCTCCCATTTATAAAATAAAAGAAATAAAAATTTTACTAAAGAATACAAAATATCCAGAAGTATAGTTAACATGCAATAAATGTCCTATGTGAAGAAAATATTAAAAATTTACTGACAGCTCTATAAGAAGACATAAAAATGTTTAAGACCTTTCTTATTTTTGATAGGATAATTTAGCCTTGTAAAGATGTCAGTTGTTCCTAAAAGCTTGGGAATATTGTCTTAGTTTCATGTTGCTGTAATAGAAAACTGGAGACTAGATAATTTATAAGAAAAGAGGTTTATTTAGCTCACAGTTCTTCAGGCTGGGAAGTATAAGAAGCAAGGCACTGGTGTCTGGTTGGCTTCTGCTGAGGACCACATGCTGTGTTAAAACATGGTAGAGAAGGTCAAACGAGAAGTAAACAGGTGAGAAGAGAGAAAACCTGAGGGAAGCCCTGGTTTTATCACAACCTGTTTTGGAGGAAACTAGCCCATTCCAGTGAGAACTAATCTAGTCTCACCAGATTGAGGACACACTACCACAAGAAAGGCACCAAGCCACTCATGAGGGATTCGCCCACATGACCCAACACCACCCATTAGGCCCCACCTCTCAACACCTTCACACTGAGAATTAAATTTCAACATGAGTTTTGGTGGGGACAGTTGTATCTGGACTATAGCAAATACCTATATTTAAATGTATGGTCTTTGTTCCTGTAGCTCAGTTTTCCAAACATTGTTTTCTGAACTTTAACATCACTGTGTTAATTTGGAAATAATCACTGATTTTACAGTATAAGTTTTCTATTGTCATTAACTTATTATTTTGTTTTTTTGCTGAAGATGAAAAGCAAAGAGGGATAATGTGAATTTCTGTTTAGGAATACATTCCATTATAAGGGTACTCACAGACATAGAGAAATAGCTACCTTTTCAAAGAACTCCTGTGCAAAAGTAACCTGTGTGAATTTGTCCCGTTTCTTATAGGATATTTCATAATGTTCTAGGAAAGTCATTGTGTCAAATTTCTGTTTCAAGAGTCGAGGTCCTTAGTGGCTTCACTGTATGAGCCCTATAACTTATATTGCAAATTCCCTGGAATATTGAATGCTAGGAGTGGTTTTTGTTTTTTACTATCAGCTCTCGGCAGTAAAGTCAACCCTAGCATTGTATTTCCAGTTCATCTGTATCTCTGTGTTATATCATATCTTTGGTCTTCCAGACAAATTCTTTAGTAGTAGTTATTAGATAGCATAGCATATTGAACATTACAGCATAAAAAGTTTTAAACCCTATTCTATTCTCTAGCATTTTTTAGGCTAGTACATCTGGGTAAGAGTACTCAGCATTAAATAACTACAGTTCAATCTAGCTTCCTGCTGTTTTGAATCCCCCTTTAGATTCATAATTATTGCTTCCAGTGTTGTTGAGTGTTTTCCTATGGTTCTGTTATGAAGAGTTCATTGTTTTTCTCCAAAAATATCAGGATATCAAATGGAAAAAAAATTGGTACAAATTCTTATTCTGCATGAGTCTTTCCACAATGCTCAGGGACATATGAAATCATGTCCTTTAACTATCCGTGGGTCTATCTTGATAAATCGCAAAAAAGGTTAAATTATAAATTAGCAGATCTTGGTTATAAAAATATTGAGAAAATATTATGTACTTAGTACAGTTCTGCCACTAGGGAATCATTTGAAATTTTTAATTCAACAATTATTTATTGAGTACCTACTCTCTCTCTCTGTCTGTCTCTCTCTCTCTATATATATACACACTTTTGGTTATGTGCTTCACAGGACATGAAGGTGAATCAGAAACACTCCTTTTGCTCAAGCTACTAGTATTTATCTTGACACTTAGGCAAATGAACACATTTTTACAATACAAAGTGTATTTGTATAAGAAGAACAATAAAAATGCTTTGTGGGATTTGATGTTTCAAAAGAGGAACAATTAACTTCCTGAAAAAAAAAATACACCATGAAGTCAATACTGAAAGGAGGCATTTGAAATGAAAGAAAAGTTGAATTCTACCCTCTCTTTAAATCTGTATTGAGAGAGTAAAATATAGTTGTTCTGAACTCTGCATTCTTAGATTGAATTATTATTCCATCATTGTTGTAATGAAATTGAGCAAGCAATAAAACCTTTGTAAGGCTTCAAATACAGTATATATGATAGCGATAATAGCATGTTAACGCAGTGATGCTCTTAAGTTTAAATGAGAAAATATTTATAAAGCATGTAGCACTGTCCCTGGTATATAGTTCAAAGTTAGCTATTATTAATATTGCTATGATAGTAATTGTCATTATTACATCTACTGGTGGAAAAGACATAAGAACAGTGAAACAAATTGAGCAAAAGCCTGGAAGCAACAAAACATGAGGTTTTCTGAGAAACAGTCACAGTTAAATTTGATTTGATCATAAGGTTCATTTGGGAATGAGTGACAGAGTAGCATTACTGGCAAAAATAGATTGAGGATCTGTGGAGGGGCTTAAGTGCCAGGTTAATAAATTTATAATTAATTTGGCATACAACGAGTTACAGATGTTAATTGAGCATGGCAGTGGCATAATTAGGCCTGTTGTTTAAGAAAATTAGCCATGGAGTTCAGTAGAAAAAAATTTCTTTAATCCCTAGGGCCTGTAAAGAAAAATGCCACAGATTCCTAAGAGACCATTCTTAATAGGCTTTTTTCAAAAAGTCCATTTTATCACAGCTAATGTTATTTTTCCTAAAACTTTCAACATCTACCTTTGTCTGCAGGGCACTGTCTATCACTCAGGAAACATGAATTACACTGCTTAGCACCTGTTAACACTCCCTCCAGTTATACCATGCCCATTCTAGACTTTATATGTCCCTTTGAATAGCTCATGACTATCAAATCCTAACCACAGAATATTCTTACTTCACTGTAATCCTCCAATTTTCTTGACACTTCTAATTCTTTCTACAGCTAACATTCGTATTCATAGCATTCTACCTTATACTTTATTAAATACCTTCATATGAATATCATATATTAGTAAGTTTTGCTATCTTTCTTATCCTGGTTCTTGAAGCTAGTCCATTCTATTTACATATAATGAAAAAAATATAGTAACATAATAATTGCTTGTCTGTATCTATCTGTATTTAAATACTTTCATAGATATTATATCTTATTCCCATTTTGTAACTGAGAAGAAATCAGTTCAAGGAGGTTAATTGACTTGTCCATATAAGGTAGCTAGTACATGGCAGAGGAAGTCCCCAATTTCTGTACCTAGGCCATTTCCTATACTTCGAGCTCACTATTTTCTTTCATTTCCAATTACTCTCTCCACATAAATATAAAAAGCCCAGCACTACAGCACAAAGTGCTGTATATAGATTAGCATTTTTATTTTCTATTTCTTCAAAGTGCTGAAGTGCTGTCATTAAATAAGAACTTTGGGTTTGACTTTGTTTTGGATAATACACCAGTTAAGAGATGCAAGCTTCAATCATACAGGATAATAGATAATCGGCTGAAGAGAGAAATTGATTTTAAAGATGTAATTTACTTGAAGTGTTTGATGATCTCATAAAATACAGGCACAAAATTGAAGTTATTTAGTATTTCATGGCTCTTTTAAAGCTTGAATTACTATTTCAGTGCCAAAGTCCTCACAAAAGAGCCACAGGTTCCTGTATTACAGACTACATATTTATTGCAGTGTAAATATATTTCCTGGTACAGAAGCTTTTCCTTTACTCTCTTAATATCTCATTCATAACATTTATCTCTCTCTGTCTCTCTTTCTGCACCTCAAAAATTACCCAATCCCATGTTGTTTGGCTGTCTGGTCATGGTCTATATTTCTGTCAAAAAAAATGGTTTTGTTTAGGGAAGTGGAAATGACACTGCATGTATCTTTAGCTATCAGCCACTTCCCTTTAACACCTTTCTAGTTTTGTATTATTATACAGGACTTTATAACTTACCTTTACCATTTACCATTATTGGGCATATTTAAGCAAGGACAGTAACATCTAGAAAGGGAATAAGAGAAAAGAGTCTTCTACGGCTATTTTTTTCATTAAAAGAGAGTGAAATAGTTGCATAAGAAGCTTGGAGGGTTGCTCTAGTGCAGTGGTTCTCTATCTAGGAATCATAATAGAGTCGCCTGGAGACCTGACGAGACAAATCAGAATCTCTGGAGGAAACAGATTTTTAAGCTCTCCAGGTTGTTTCAATGTGCAACGAATGACAAGGACCACAGCTTTAGTGGAATCCCTTTATCTGAAATATGAGAACATTGGAACGAACTACCCTTCCAGTCATGTATGTGTGTGGAGATGTATAGGTAGGTAGGTATGTAGGTAGGGAGGCAGGGAGGTAGATAGGTAGGTAGGTAGGTAGATAGATAGATAGATAGATAGATAGATAGATAGATAGATAGGAAAAGTAAAAATCAAATTAAAATATGTATTGTATCTCTAAATTGGTCCAAATCTACAAAAGTAAAATGAATGTGATTAATTATCATTAACTCAATGCTTTACTTGGGGATAATATGTTGCCATATCTTCTATAGATATCTGGAAGTATGAATGACATAGATGATATGGATCATAGATATATATTTTTGACAACTAAATTTCTATACACCTTCTGCATTCTTTTTAGTAATGTCTAAAGACCAATTTTAGAAAGAATAGTTATTTAAATAATCAAGTTTGTAAAAGCATGTATAGTAAATAAAAGTAATTGGGACTTTGTTTTGTTGCTGTCATAGTGATGATGATGGTTTTTGAAGTGTTGTTAGGCTGTGCTTAAAAATAGAATTTTAAAATTACAAAGGTATTGAATTTAAATACTCATGGTAATTATAATAAAATACTCCTATAATCTTTGTGTATATATATGAATACCAATTTAGTGAATAATTTAGAAGTATTCTGGTACTCAGCAAATAACTGCATAAAAATTTACACTAACATTATACATTTGATCTTTGGGGGGCTGGCAAAGAGACTAGGTCTATTTTATTTTCACTAATCTATAAAGAATCATCCATAAATTCTGATAATAAATCTTTCCATTTGTGGTATAATTTTAAAGCCAAAAAATAAAGCAAAGAACTATTTTGCAAAACCTATGTTTTAGAAATAATAAACGTTCAATAATCATAAAAATAAATATGCAGTGAGAATTAGAATGATAATAGGAAACCAGTATCATTTATACTCCTGTATTTGATAGGGATATAAAATCAATGTACAAATATCAGTAGCATTTCTATATACCAATAACGTGCAATCTGAGAACCAAACCAAGAATTCAATCGCATTCACAATAGCCACAAAAAAAATTGAATACCTAGGAATACCTTTAATCAAGGAGATGAAAAATCTCTACAAGGAGAACTAGAAAACACTGATAAAATAAATCGTAGATGACACAAATGAAAAAAACACCCCATGCTCATGGATTGGAAGGATCAATGTCATTAAAATGGCCATACTGCCCAAAGTAATATACAGATTCAACACAATTCTTATTAAATTATCAATTGTCATTTTTCACAGAATTAACAAAAATAAAACTAAAATTTATATGGACTAAAACAAAAGTGCAAATAACCAAAGCAATCCTAAGCAAAAGAACAAAGCCAGAGGCATCACATTACATGACTTCAAAGTATACTAAAAGGCTGATGTAACCAAAATAGCATGATACTGGTTCAAAAATAGACACATAGATCAGTGGAATAGAATAGAGAACCTGAAATAAAGCCACCTATCTATAAGCAACTGGTCTTCAACAAAGTTGATAAAAACACAATGAGGAAAACATACCTTATGCAATAAATGGCACTGGGAAAATTGGATAGTCATATGCAGAATAATGAAACTGGACTCATACCTTTCACTGTATACAAAAATTAACTCAAGATGAATTAAAGACTTAAACATAAAACCTGAAGCTACAAAAATACAAGAAGAAAACCTAGGAAAAACTTTTCTGGACGTTGGCCGACACAAAGAATTTATAACTAAAATCTCAAAAGCAAATGCAACAAAAGCAAAAATAAACAAATGGGATTTAATTACAATAAAATCTTCTGCACAGTTAAAGAAATAACAAAGTAAATAGACAACCTACAGAATGGGAGAAAATATTTGCCAACTATGCATCCTATAAAGGACTAACATAAAAATTACCTATTGAGTACAATGTTTACAATTTGTGTAATGGGTACACTCAAAGCCTAAACCTCACTATTATGCAATATATCCTCATAACACACTTGCATATATATCCCCTGAATCTATAAAAATTTTAAAATGGCCAAAAGCAAAAAACATTGAAACCACAGAAGTAATTGTGAAGATTCTTTTTAAAATTTGCTGGGGTTACTTTAATGGTAAACATATAATCAGCAGCAAAATATGCACAATGTTTGATGTAAGTTAAACAATATGATATGTTACAGAATTATAGACATGACTGGAATCTTATCAATGATTACACCTAGTAACAAAGCTAATACTCTTCACTGACAACTGTTGATAAGACAAATAAATAAATTCAGCCAACTCTTTGGCATTTATCAGATAGTAGCTGCGTAAGAATTTCCAATTTCTAAATAAAAAAGTCTGTAAATTTGTCCCATACCTATAACTGAAAAAGATCATTTTCAAACTGATTGCCAACTTACTTATTTGTAAACAAATGAAACTCAGCCTAGAAACTAGGTTTTAGAAAATGCACACAGCATGCTAAAGGTATAGTGAGTCTAATGTGAGTATTGTTCCTCAAATCCAAGTTATGAAGTTACTTCGATTTTGCGGCTTTGGGTGCAGAATGGACTCAAATATACACACATGAAAGCCCACTTCCCCACATACACTACATGAAGAAATGTGTAAATCATATTAATAACAGACCATTCAATTTTTATTCTCTCTCTTTCTCCCTATGCCCCTCTGTCTCTTTATCTCTCTTTCTGTTAGACCACAAACAACTCCTTTTACAGTGATGCTTGTTTGTTGGCCTTTTCTACACTAACATATTCTGCCTACATTATTCAAAGAATCTAAGGTCTTCTGAACAAGACTTTTGTTTCAGAGATAGTATATGCATCCTTTGTTTAGCTTTGCATGTTAGCAGACTTTGTTATTTCACTTATCTTTAGAGACACATTTATATCAGAAAATTTAACTTGATGATTAAAAAAATTGGTGAAATACGTGTAGACTTTTGTAACTGGATTATAGTTTCATCTAAGAACTCACTAAAAATATATTGAACTTCAGGAAGAGATTTTTAAATGGCTTTGGTAAGCCATTTAAAAGCCTTATTTTCCCAAACGAATTAGTGTTGGTGTGTGGATGAGGAACTTTGCTGTTATTCTGTGAGCATTACCTGATAAGAACTAATCAGATGACAGATGGAATCTGAAGCTTGTTCTGATGAATTTTTGAGGTGAGTTGGTTACACACAATTTCTATTTTATTAAGAAATTTATGCATAATAACCTATCCTAGGAGAAATCACAGTTAAACAATTTTGACCATTTGTGACTAGATATCTATGAGTAGAAAATCTCAAGATATAGAGCATCATAACTGTAGGACAGAATTAAAATTCTTGTGTTATAATTTCTAATTTTTAACTAGGTCACATCAATCAATTATCAAATGCTTTGACTGTTTTCAGCCTCATGCTTTTCTTTTAAATTATTTATAGATACATATCTTTGCAAACTAGGTCAAGACTTTTGTTTTGTAATCTATCTCATTTTAATATGTTTTTAATTTAATTATATGATTTGATCTATTTTAAATTGCATTATTTTACATTTAATTTGGCAAGTGATATGGGTGTTTTGTTTTTTTTTTAAGACAGTCTCACTCTGTCACCTAGGTTGGAGTGCAGTGGCACTATCTTGGCTCACTGCAACCTCCGCTTCCTGGGTTGAAGGGATTCTCCTGCCTCAGCTTCCCAAGTAGCTGAGATTACAGGCATGCACCACCATATCCTGCTAATTTTTTTGTATTTTTAGTAGAGACAGGGTTTCACCATGTTGGTTAGGCAGGCCTCCAACTCCCGACCTCAAATGATCTACCCGCCTCGGTCTCCCAAAGTGCTGGGATTACAAGCATGAGCCACCGAGCCCAGCTGGGAATTTCTTTAAATGAAATGAGATATAATTCTCAGTATTTTTTTAAAAATATTGAGAAACAAGTGGATTTAAATAAGTAATAGTAACACAGTGGTGTGCAGGTACACTATATAGTTAAGATGATATAAAAATGACTGAAGTTGTTAAATATTGCTTACATCAGTGCCAGTTATTCTCCATGCCACTTATTTTATATTGACTTATTCTCTTAAAATATTATCCCCTTATCAAATATGAAAAATACTATATGAGCAGAAAGATATCAGACTAGTAGAAGTACAGCAGATAGAATTAGCTGTCTTTTTATCTGATCGGCAGAGATTGTTTCCCGGATTCAGGGAAGAAAACAGTGGGGAATAATAATAATAATAATAATAATAATAATAATAATAATAATAATAAAAATAATAATAATAATAAAATCTCACTTTCACTGAAGCCTTACTGAATTTATTCTGTTTCTCCACTGTCCCCACACCATTCCTTGAAGTTCTATCTCCATAATAGCGTATTCTAATTTAATCTGTGAACTTCTAAAAAATATTGGCTAGCAAAATTCTGTAAATGTTATTCATTTAAAATAACAAAAAAGTGGCTGGGAGCAGTAGCTTATTCCTGTAATCCCAGCACTTTGGGAGGCTGAGATGGGTGGATCACCTGAGGTCAGGAGTTCATGACCAGCCTGACCAACATGGTAAAACCCCATCACTACTAAAAATGCAAAATTAGCCGGGCATGACAGCACATGCCTGTAATCCCAGCTACTTGGGAGGCTGAGGCAGGAGGAGAATGGCTTGAATCGAGGAAGCGGAGGTTGCAGTGAGCCGAGATGGCACTATTGCACTCCAGACTGGGCGACAAGAGAGAAACTCTTTCTCAAAAAATAAATAAATAGGGCTGGGCGCCGTGGCTCACGCCTGTAATCCCAGCACTTTGGGAGGCCGAGGCGGGTGGATCACGAGGTCAGGAGATCGAGACCATGCTGGCTAACACGGTGAAACCCTGTCTCTACTAAGAATACAAAAAAAAAAAAATTAGCCGGGCGTGGTGTGGGTGCCTGCAGTCCCAGCGACTTGGAGGCTGAGGCAGGAGAATAGCGTGAACCCAGGAGGCGGAGCTTGCAGTGAGCCGAGATCGCACCACTGCAATCCAGCCTGGGCAACAGAGCCAGACTCCGTCTCAAAAAAATAACAATAATAAATAAATAAATAAATAAATAAATAAATATAAATTAAATTAAATTAAATAATAAAAAATGAAACTAATATAATGAACAACATGTTCCACTAAGTCTTCTGCCATATTTTTTTGCATTTTCCATCAGCTAATAAAATGAGATGACACAAATACAGCTGTCTTTGAAACATACTTTGTACCCCCACTTGTAACATTGTTTGAATTAATATTTATTCATTCCTCTCTCTCTAAAGGAAATCCATTTCTGTATATTTTAAGCATCTATATATCTGTACTAATGTAATTATTCTTTAACATAGTATTATGCTTTTTAACATTTACATAAATCTATCATACTATTCATGCTTTTTGACTTTTTTATTCAAGAAATATGATGTTTTAGAATTAGATCTGTAGAGAAATACAGTTTATAAGTTGTAAGTGCTGTATTGATTCAATAAATGAATATTCTATATTTTATTTATGTTTTCTTCACCTGGTAGGTACTATGTTGTTTCCCAGTTTTCAATATCATAAATAATTGTGAAGATACTTTGAAAAATTTGCTGGAGTTCTTTTAGTGGTAAACATAAATTGGTATTTCAATATCATAAGCATATTCCATGATTTTTCTTGTGCATGTATATTTTTGTGTATATGTAAACATTTATCCAAGAAAGATTCATAAAGGAAACAATGGATAGTGTTACGGTCTTTCTGCTCCTTAGGTCAGGTTGGTCTAAGTTCTTGTCTCACCAGGAAGCATTAGGTGCGCAGACACCGTAGAGGGAGTACAGTAAAATTTATTAAGCGAAAGGCAAGCTCTCAGCAAAGAGGGGACATGGGAGGTGGTTCCCCTATCCAAAGGTGGGACAGTCTCCCAGGTGGCTGGTTCTGGGGCCTCTTATGGATTCATAAGTGTGCTGATTGGTTTGTGAGTATGCAAAAAAAGGTTAAAGTGAAGACACCACTCAAAGGTAGGCACAACAATGTAGAAAACCAATGAGGAAAGGGTAGGTATATGTAAAATAGGTGAAGGGTGGGGATCAATCAGAGGAAAGCATGTCAAACAGGAAGACAAGTTCTCAATCCATTCTGAGGATCTAACTTGTAGCTTGCATTTCATGCTTTAAACTGTCTTCAGCTTGAAGGTGGAGTTTTACTGGGGACCTGCCCCTATCTGCCTAGGCATTTGGTGGTCTCCTGCCTCTCTCAGTAGGCAGTTAGATATTTCGATCTTAAAATTTAAAATATATTGCCAAATTGTTATCAAAAGTGAATTGGTCTTTATATCCTATTCTACAGTAACAGAGCTCCACCTTTCCAAATCCTTAATAGAAAGTGACAATGTAAATCTTTGCAATTTTGCTAATCTCATAGACATGAATTTACTTGTTTTATGCTTTCTTGATTCCTAGTGAAAAGTACTTTTCGCATACACGTTGACTATTTTAGTCTCCTCCTCTGTTAGTTGTCTGTTTATATCCTTTGTACGTTTCTCCATTTAGGCTGTTGAATCTTTTTTAAATGAAATAAATTTCTGTAAATTCTGAGTATTCAATTTTGTTGGTTATATACATTGAAAATATATTTTCCCCAGTGTGGCATTTTTTTAACCTTACCTTATAGAGTATTTTGCCATACTAATAATACGTTTTAAATTTTAGTCTGATCAAGTTTTCTTTCTTAATGGCTTGTATTTTTGTGTCGTTGAGAAATGCTTCAATTTCTAGATGACATGAAAACATACTACTATGAATACTTACAAAAGTTTCAAAATTTTCATTTTACCAATAGTTTTATAATCTATCTGGATTTTTTGTATGCTATGAGGTGGCAGCATAATTTTCATTTTTATATGGAGATCATATTATTGTATACAATTTATTGAATACTTGAATTAATCCCCACTGATTTGTCATGCCCTTTCCTTCTCTGTCACAATTGTCCTTAAATGTTTGGGTCAGTTTATTTTGTTCTCTATTTTTTAGTATTGGTCTGTTAGCTTTTCACTCTGCCAACTCCACAGTATTTTTTTTATAACTTCAATATGTCTGTCTATAACTTCAATAAGTCTTAGTAACTGTTAAGTAAAGGTCAATTTTTCTCATATTTCTTCTTAAAATATAATCTTGGTTATTTCTACTTCTGTACTCTTCTTTATATAATTGTGATCAGCTTAATATTTTACATGTCTTTATTGAAGCTGCTTGAAATTTATATATAAATTTGGAAAAAGTTGATGTGGTTATTTATGATATGCCGCATGTGACGTGATTTTGAGTATTCTCATCCATGCAAATGGCATTGTCTGTTGCCTCCTCCTGAACTTGCGATACACAACTAAGTCTTATATTTGTGGGTCAGAGATCCCATAGTATAATGATATTTGGAATAGTCTAAATTCAGTTGCTGGATTGTCCTTTCAGTAGGTGCCTTGTCTTTCTTGGCGGCATGTTTGCATATGTTCACTCCAACTTCTCTTTCTAAGCCCCTTTATATAATCCAAAAACACGTGCTGTGTTTTTCAGCTTCTTTTAAGATGAATATACAGCTTCAAATTTTAAGCAATGAAGCTGATGTTGTTCCTTATCTTGAATCAACAATTTTTGTTGTTGTTTTTCTTTTCAGCAGCTACTTCTCATTTATATTTACAGAATAAAAGGCAGCCGTCAATCAGCTTCAGTTCTAGGAACCCTTTTGTTTATAATCCATATTCTGTTCTTTCACATGTATATTTTGTTATTGAATGTAGATATATTTATTTCATTTTAGTTTAATATTTAACATATCATTATTCTCTATTTGGTTCTGAGAATTTCAAAATATTAACTCGCAATACTGTACTGACCAGAAATCCACTGCTAATAATCTTGGAAAGTTTGAGGGATGAGGCATTTTATATTTGTTTGTTTTGTTTTCAAAGGAAGTTGGGAGAAGCTATATTGGGGCAGTCATTAACAGAATCAGTTGAATTAGATGACTGAGAAAACCTTACTAAAAAGATAAATATAGTGAGTATAATGAATCTATTACCTATATTCTGATGAAATTATTTAATGATAAAACTGTTTGCACATTTATTACAATATCAGTGGTGATTGGAACTCATTAGGCATTCTTAAACTGCTATTCCTTAAAATAAAGAAGTTAATTCGTTTACTTGAAGTTCTTATTTACTATCAATTAAAATTTGGTAAAGATAATTGGTGTGCTCAATAGCTCACAATGACTTTTAATTTTAGTTGTAACAAAAATATTCTGAAGGCTTTGCTTTGAGGAATTTAAATCGAATTAAAGTTAAATAGGAATTAAAGTTATATTTGGCAATAATGATGTCAGGAAATTATAGCCATAGCTATAATTTTTGACTTCAATGTGGACATATGAATAGATATATAACCGAAATACACACAGACATATGCACAACAAAATTTAAAAAAAAAGTATGACATTACAGTCCTCACTGATGTATCTGGTCACATGTTAATTGCTGGTATTTATATCTGCCTCTTTCTGCTACTCATTCTGTATTCCCTTTGTCTTCAGCAAGCACCTTAGCTGGTCTTGCTTCTTCACCTGGTATGGTGACCCAAATCTTCATTCCAGAAGGGGCTGGGCCGTTAGTTGTCCTGCCTGAATTGAGTTGTTGTAGTTTTCCATTGACCTTAATTGCAGGGCACGGTAACACTGAGAGACACTCTAAGGAATCTCCTATATTTAAGACATATTTTTCCTTACATCTATGTTACAGTAGTAGTCCAATTTCCCTTTGTTCATCAGGATCAATTATCCCAAACAGCATTGTAATTCCTTCTTTGCCTATTGATTCAGAGGTATGAGGAGCCCAAAGTGGCCTGCTGGAAGTCTTACTTTCCAGGTCAATGAAATCACTGTGTGTCTCCTGGTAGAACTATCCCTCCTTCTGAAAGTAAGACCTACAGGCCCCTAGAGCATAAGGGCACAAGAACAGCAAGTAAAAAATTTGCTAGTGTGTCCAATTTCACCCCATGATTCCTGGGCCCATAAATTCTGCCTATTAGAGGAACAGTGCCAAATACTGAATGTTAATTTGGAGTATATAGACACCTCTGGGGGACCTTGCCCTAACCCTGCAAGGTACTGCCACCTAGCTTGTGCTGTAACTGAATCTTCTAAAGGCCTTTCCACTGTCCTAGCAAGCCAGAAGCTTTAGGGTTGCAGGAAACATGGTAGGACTAGTGAATTCCATGAACATGTACCCACTGCCACACTTCTTTGGCTAAATTGAATTCCTTGACCAGAAGCAATGCTACATGGAATAAAATGATTGCGGATAGGCTTACTCAATTCTGTAGGTCCATGGGTGGTTGTTTTGGAAGAGGTATTGCATGCAAGGAAGGCAAATTCTTCTCCAGGGTTAGTATCTATTCTACTAAAGGCAAAACACTTCCCCTTCCATGTTGGAAATAGCCCAGTTTAATTGACCTGCCACTAGGTAGCTGGAATGGTGCCATATCAGGGGGTCAGTGTTGATCTCTGCTGCTGACAGATTGGGCACTCAGCAGTGCTGTAGGCAGGTTGGCTTTGATGTGTGGAATTTCATGTTTCTGAGCCCATGCATAATCTTCATTCTTACCATCATGGCTACTTTTTTCATGAAATTTGAAAAATACATGAAAGTGGCTGCATTTTCCTTGGATTTATGGCATTAATTTTTCTACTCCCAGGATAAATAGAACCTTGGCTAAAATGTTAAATATTTTTGTTAAAAATAAATTTAATTTCTATATTTTTGCTTCAAGTTTTGCAATTGAAAATTCACCCAATCTGCATACATCTGTGTCATCACAATAGTACAAAATTTTTCACAGTGCTTATATTTTTATCACATCTATGTATCTATTGATATATCTGTAGATATAAAATCATATATAATTTCTTAGGATACAGAGAATTGTTTGGTAAAGTGAATAAACATTTCAGCTAATTAGTTATATATTTCCAGAATGTTTTTCAAATGTTTTTGATGAGTTTTTATTCAAATACAATTAGAATAGGTCTGAGAAAGAAAAATGAGAAAATAAAGAAGACAGGATAGGGAATAATTTTGAAAACATTGTGCTGAAAAGTGAAGAGTCATGGGCTGATGGCTAAAGTGTTGGATTCTCAAGAAGATATTTTCCTTAATGGAAAATATTATAGAATGTTTATATGCTGCTAGGTGTAATTCATGAGCTAAAAGAAATGAAGATAAGAAGATAAAAGGGGGAATTTCTGAACTGAGTTCCTTAAATTAGTAAGAATAGAAGATGCATTAGTCTGTTCTCATACTGCTAATAAAGACATACTTAAAACTAGTTAATTTATAAAGGAAAGAGGTTTAATTGACTCACAGTTCCACATGCCTGGGGAGGCCTCATTATCATGGCAGAAGGCAAAGGGGAAGCAAGACACATCTTACATGGCAGAAGGCAAGAGAGCTTGTGCAGGGGAGCTCCCACTTATAAAATCATCAGATCTTGTGAGACTTATTCACCACCATGAGAACGGTATGAGGGAAACTGCCACCATGATTCAATTATCTCTACCTGGTCCTGCCCTTGACAGGTGAGGATTATTACAATTCAAGGTGAGATTTAGGTGGGGACACAGCCAAACCATAGCATTCTGCCCTGGCTTCTCCCAAATCTCATGCTTTCACATTTTAAAACCAATCATGCCTTACCATCAGACCCCCAATTTTAACTCATTTCAGCCTTAACACAAAAGTCACAGTCCAATGTCTCATCTGAGACGAGGCAAGTCCCTTCTGTCTATTAGCCTGTAAAATCAAAAGAAAGTTAGTTACTTCCTAGATACAGTGGGGATACAAGCAGCTGATAACTACACCTTTTTCATATGGGAGAAATTGGCCAAAACAGAGGGATACAGGCCCTGTGCAAATCTAAAATCCAATGTGGCAGTCAAATCTTAAAGGTGCAAAATGACCTCCTTTGATTTCATGTCTCACATCCAGTTAACACTGATGCGTGAGATGGGTTCCCATGGTCTTGTCAGCTCCACCCCAGTAGCTTTTCTGGGTACAGCCCCCCTCCTGGCTGCTTCCACAGGCTGGCATTGTCTGTGACTTTTCCAGGTGCATGGTGCAAGCTGTCAGTGGATCTACCATTCTGGCATCTGGAGGCCTGTGGCCCTCTTCTCACAGCTCCACTAGGCAGTGCCCAGTGGGGACTCTGTGTCAGTGCTTCCACTCAACATTTCCTTTCTGCATTGCCCTAGCAGAGGTTCTCCATGAAGGCTCAGCCCCTTCAGCACACTTCTGCCTGCACACCCAGGCATTTCCGTACATCTTCGGAAATCTAGGTGGAGGCTCGCAAACCTCAATTTTTGACTTCTATACACCCATAGGGTTAACACCATGTGGAGGCTGCCAAGTCTTGGGGCTTGCATCCTCTGAAGCCACAGCCTGGGATGTACCTTGACCCCTTTTAGCCACAGCTGGGACACAAGGCACCAAGTCCCAAGGCTGCACAAAGAAGCAAGGCCCTGCACCTGGCCCAGGAATTCATTATTTCCTCCCAGGCCTCTGGGCCTGTGATGGGAGTAGCTGCCATGAAGTCCTCTGACATGCCCTGGAGACATTTTCCCCATTGTCTTTATGATTAACATTTGTCTCCTCTGTACTTAGGCATATTTCTGCAGCTGGCTTGAATTTCTCTCCAGAAAATGGGCTTTTCTTTTCTACTGCATTGTCAGGCTGCAATTTTCCAAATTTTCATGCTCTGTTTCCTCTTGAATGCTTTGTCACTTAAGAAATTTCTTCTGCCAGATACTCTAAATCATCTCTCTCAAGTCCAAAGTTCCACAGGTCTGTAGGGCAAAATGCCACCAGTCTCTGCTAAACACAGCAAAAGTGACTTTTACTCCAGTTTCCAATGAGTTCCTCATTTCCATTCGAGACCACCTCAGCCTGGACTTCACTGTCCATATCACTATCAGTATTTTGGTCAAAGCCATTAAACAAGTACCTAGATCCCAGTCCTGGTACAAATTTACCGTGTTAGTCTGTTCTCACGCTACTAACAAAGACATATACGAGACTGGGTAATTTGTAAAGGAAAGAGGTTTAATTGACTCACAGTTTCACATGCCTGGGGAGGCCTCACAATCATGGTGGAAAGGAAAGCAAGACATGTCTTACGTGGCAGCTGGTGAGAGAGATTGTACAGGGGAACTTCCACTTATGAAACCATCAGATGTTGTGAGACTTATTCATTACCATGAGAACAGTATTGGGGAAACCACCACCATGATTCAATTACATTCACCTGGCTCCGCCCTTGACTTGTGGGGATTATTACAATTCAAGGTGAGATTTGGGTGGGAACACAGCCAAATCCTATCAGAAGGGTTCTAGTGCTTAAATATTACATTAATCCTATATACAAGAATAAAAGTTTCAATTATGGCAACAAATATGAAGGTAATTATTTATACAAGCACACATAAATGGAGATGTGACTGTGGGCTTTTGTGGAGTTTTTAAGTTGATCCTATGTTCTGTAGAAAGAAAAACATAGTTGAAAGTAAGAATTAAGAAGTATTTGTCAGATAGTTGAGGAGAAAGAAGAAAGTATAGAATACTTGTCATGAGAGAATGTTTAGACTAAGGAAATATAATATGAATACAGGCAAGTGCTATGCAAACTATTTCTGTGCACACTCATGGTCAAATCTCTCTTTATTGAGTAAAAAGAAGTTACTCTTCCAAGCACTTTTGCAATTAGTTGGCTCAATGTGATGTGTTCTGCCAACTGACTCTGAGTAGAAAAGGCATGTGTAATTTCTCCTCTGAAGTCAATGGAAGCCACCTTTTAAAATGGTGCCATCAAAGAGTGGGCTAAGTCTGCATGCTGAATTGTAGGTTGGTTGTGAGATACCCTGGTAAAGTGACAAACCTATAGCAGAGTTGTGTGGGTGGAAAATAAACTTCTGTTTTTTCTTTCTTTTTCTTGCTTGCTTACTTGCTTGCTTTCTTGCTTTCTGTGCTTTCTTGCTTTCTTCTTTTTCATTCTGTCTTTTTTTTTTTTTTTAAATAGAGACAGGGTCTCACTCTGTCACCGAGGCTGGAGTGCAGTGCAATGGCAAAACATCCTGGGCTCAAGCCATCCTCCTGCCTCAGGCTTCTTAGTAGCTGGGACTACCAGTGCAGCACCGTGCCCAGCTATTTATTTTTTCTTTAATTTTTTATAGAGACACAATCTCTCACTACGTTGCCCAGGCTGGTTTCAAACTCTTGGCCTCAAGCAATCCTTCTGCTTTGGCCTCTTAAAGTGCAAAGTGTTGAAATTACAGGTGTGAGCCACCACCTGCAACCTAAAAGTCATTTCTTTAAACAAATATGCTAGCAGGGGTCCAGGCAGAAGGCAGGCAGAATATTGGCTTCTCCCAAAGCAGTATAAAAAAACAAGAAAGGGGCACAAAAGTTGACTGAATATACAATGAAATACTAGACTACTGGAGCAATGAATTAATACTGGGTTGGGTGAAAAAGAAGAAAAGTAAAATTCAGTAAAAAGCTGTAGCAGTAATAATTTGTGGTTTCTGAGAAGCTCAGAGAATTGTTGGTTTTGAGGTAATAGGATGAATATGGAAAGATGGAGTGATGTGGAGAGGTGGAGTTGTTGTAAAGAAAATGGGGCACTTGCAATCGCAATTTTTGTCTGTAGGAATATGAGCAAATCTATGGAATGCCATCAAAGTAAGGGGATAATATGGAGTAGGGCACTTCGACAGAGAAGGATATTGAAATAACCAAGAATTTTGTGAAAATAAATGACCATGTAGTTGGTGCATAATGGGCCCCATCTACTTGAAGATGCGTGTCTTTTCTCAAAATCAGTGCAATTTTCTGCTATTTGTTTTACAAATTTCTCTCGCCTAAAATAATTCTACATAAAAGTTTCTTCTGATTTTCTTTTTAATTTTGTTTACATTTGCTCTTATATTGCAATCATTATATTAGAACCATTTATCTATTTTTCCTAAGTTCAGGAAAAATGTCTCAAGATACCCTTTCTACTATACTGGTTACTATTCCCATTGCATAAAATATCTGGCACTGGTATATTTTAAATAAATATTCTATTTTCATATCAAAATATAAGATATGTAAGAATTACAGAAGAAGCAAATATATCCTGCAAAGAATCAAAATCCCTTAATTCTCTGGAAAATTTCTATCACATAAAGATCTATCTTATGCTTTCTAATGACTACTGATCTCTAAGTTAATACTCAACACTTTAAAAGAGCTTCCTCTGTGATTTCTTCTTGTGTTTAACTTTGAAATATGAAGCCTGCCTTCCCCCACTTAATCCTCACTTACTACTGGAGATAGGATTAAGTGCTTTACATTTTATTCCCATTCGTTGCCAAAATAATTATATATATTACATATATAGGATAAAAGATTTAATATATAATTGTTATATAAATTATATAGTATGTGCTATTAATCTGTTAGATTATGTTAATTATATTAATATGTTACATATTAGAATTCACATATTAAATCATCAAGAAAATAATGGGCTAATATGTAACATAATTATGTAGTCATATATGAGAAATAAAACATAAGACAAAGATTAATAAAGATAGTTGGAAATAGCATGATTAATGAGAAAAATTAGCAGATTCTGGAAATTCTAATATTTGAAGTATGTAAAAAACAAACAAAGAACAATTTACTTAAGCATTAGTATGATAAACTTGGACTTAAGGGAAATTTTTTTAAAAATAACATTATAATTAAATTTAAAAAGTGTGCAAGTTTTAAGTTTATATTGTATTTATTTGTAAAAATTGAAATTGCATAAATATCAACAGAGATTTGACATGTTAAAATGAATTATTTATAAGAATAAAATACCAGGTAATCAGGTAATCAACATCTCAAACACAAAGTTTTTAAAATTGAAATTTATTAAAAATATTATTTTGAATTAATGTAGTTTTAAGAGATAAAAAGGGTAGAATCTGATATCAGTAACATTTGTTTAAGAAAAATGGGTAGAAATCTAATTGAAGTAGCATTTCTTAAGAGTGGAGAGATATCAACTTAGAATATGAGCGTTTATAAACTTTATAAATGTGGTGAGAAATACCTTGTCACAAGTTAAGAGCCTTCAACCTTTATGTGAATACATAAATATATGCATATATAATTCCACTTATCCTTCAATAAAGCATGAAAATTCCACCTTTAGAAAAGTTTACCCTTCCTTATTGATCATAATATCAGAAGTATGAAAAAAAATATTTCCTTTCAAAAATTTTTAAAAAGGGCGAAAGAATTGCTTTTTAAACATGAAGTGATACTTTTATCATATATAATATTATTTCTAAATCTACAAATTTAATCTAAATTTGGCTGTGGAGATGTGTCTTAGGATGAGTAAAAATCAGAATTTTATATTCACTAAATTGCTTTTAAATGATCCTAAATTACAACAACATATATTTGTCTTATTTCATTTCCGTTATGTAATTTTCCTTTATTTTATAAATAAATTTATCATTTGTTAAAGAGTTTATCTGATTTATTTTTTTCCTCCTGAAGGAATATAATTCTCTGTCATTTGCTTTTATTTATTTATTTATTTATTTATTTATTTAGAGACAGTCTCCCTCTGTTGCCCAGGCTGGAGTGCTGTGGCAGGATCTTGGCTCACTGCAACCTCCACCTCCCAGGTTCAAGTGACTTTCCTGCCTCAGCCTCCTGAGGAGCTGGGATTATAGGCATGCACCACCATGCCCCGCTAATTTTTGTATTTTTAGTAGAGACAGGGTTTTACTATGTTGTACAGGCTGGTCTCAAACTTCTAACCTCAAGCTATCTGCCCACCTTGGCCTCCCAAAGTGCTGGGATTACAGACGTGAACCACCACGCCTGGCCTGTCATTTGCTTTTATAATAAAGCACATACACAGTATTTGCAAAGACAGTTACATATGAATAAAATACGTTTATAGATTCTTACAATATTTTCTCAAAATAGGTTTAACCACCTTTTAAATTTCAAATATTCTGTGACATTCTGAGAATAGAAGATAAAACTAAAAATGTTATAGGAACTAAGCAAATGGAGAACTCTGTTTAACTGGGAGATGGTGAGGAAAAGAAATAAAGGTGTTGACATAGATGTAGCCATAATCTAAAACACATCTCATTTAAATTTAAAGATTAAATTTGTTCCACTCTAGTAGAATGTAGCCTCAAATATTAATTTTGGTTTGGTATCACAAAGTGCATAATGCGATAGACCATGTAACAATTAGAGAAAGAGGAGAGAAACATGAAGGGCGGCTCGACAGTCAACAGTGACAGGTTTATTTTGAATAAACCTGAGAGGGGCAGCTGGCCAAGTTAGGTCAGAGCTACATTCTCTTATAGAATAAGAGTTTTTTTTTCTTTTTATTATTATTATTATTTTTTTAATTTTATTATTATTATACTTTAAGTTTTAGGGTAAATATGCACAACGTGCAGGTTTGTTACATATGTATACATGTGCCATGTTGGTGTGCTGCACCCATTAACTTGTCATTTACATTAGGAATATCTCCTAATGCTATCCCTCCCCCCTCCCCCTACCCCACAACAGTCCCCAGTGTGTGATGTTCCCCTTCCTGTGTCCATGTATTCTCATTGTTCAATTCCCACCTATGAGTGAGAACATGTGGTGTTTGGTGTTTTGTCCTTGCGATAGTTTGCTGAGAATGATGGTTTCCAGCTTCATCCATGTCCCTACAAAGGACATAAACTCATCGTTTTTTATGGCTGCATAGTATTCCATGGTGTATATGTGCCACATTTTCTTAATCCAGTCTATTAAGCTTGATTAATAGACTTTGGCTTGATTCCAAGTCTCTGCTATTGTGAATAGTGCCACAATAAACATATGTGTGCATGTGTCTTTATAGCAGCATGATTTATAATCCTTTGGGTATATACCCAGTAATGGGATGGCTGGGTCAAATGGTATTTCTAGTTCTAGATCCCTGAGGAATCACCACACTGACTTCCACAATGGTCGAACTAGTTTACAATCCCAACAACAGTGTAAAAGTGTTCCTATTTCTCCACATCCTCTCCAGCACCTGTTGTTTCCTGACTTTTTAATGATCGCCATTCTAACTGGTGTGAGATGGTATCTCATTGTGGTTTTGATTTGCATTTCTCTGATGGCCAGTGATGATGAGCATTTTTTCATGTGTTTTTTGGCTGCATAAATGTCTTCTTTTGAGAAGTGTCTGTTCACATCCTTAGCCCACTTTTTGATGGGGTTGTTTGATTTTTTCTCGTAAATTTGCTTGAGTTCATTGTAGATTCTGGATATTAGCCCTTTGTCAGATGAGTAGGTTGCAAAAATTTTCTCCCATGCTGTAGGTTGCCTATTCACTCTGATGGTAGTTTCTTTTGCTGTGCAGAAGCTGTTTAGTTTAATTAGATCCCATTTGTCAATTTTGGCTTTTGTTGCCATTGCTTTTGGTGTTTTAGACATGAAGTCCTTGCCCATGCCTGTGTCCTGAATGGCCTACGTTTTCTTCTAGGGTTTTTATGGTTTTAGGTCTAACATGTAAGTCTTTAATCCATCTTGAATTAATTTTTGTATAAGGTGTAAGGAAGGGATCCAGTTTCAGCTTTCTACATATGGCTAGCCAGTTTTCCCAGTACCATTTATTAAATAGGGAATCCTTTCCCCATTTCTTGTTTTTGTCAGGTTTGTCAAAGATCAGATAGTTGTAGATATGCGGCGTTATTTCTGAGGGGTCCATTCTGTTCCATTGGTCTATATCTCTGTTTTGGTACCAAAAGGCTATTTTGGTTACTGTAGCCTTGTAGCATAGCTTGAAGTCAGGTATCGTGATGCCTCCAGCTTTGTTCTTTTGGCTTAGGATTGACTTGGCAATGCGGGCTCTTTTTTGGTTCTATATGAACTTTAAAGTAGGTTTTTCCAATTCTGTGAAGAAACTCATTGGTAGCATGATGGGGATGGCATGGTATCTATAAATTACCTTGGACAGTATGACCATTTTCACGATATTGATTCTTCCTATCTATGAGCATGGAATGTTCTTCCATTTGTTTCTAACCTCTTTTATTTCAGTGAGCAGTGGTTTGTATTTCTCCTTGAAGAGGTCCTTCACATCCCTTGTAAGTTTGATTCCTAAGTATTTTATTCTCTTTGAAGCAATTGTGAATGGGAGTTCACTCATGATTTGGCTCTCTGTTTGTCTGTTATTGGTGTATAAGAATGCTTGTGATTTTTGCACATTGATTTTGTATCCTGAGACTTTGCTGAAGTTGCTTATCAGCTTAAGGAGATTTTGGGCTGAGACGATGGGGTTTTCTCGATACACAATCATGTCATCTGCAAACAGGGACAATTTGACTTATTCTTTTTTATTATTATTATTATACTTTAAGTTCTAGGGTACATGTGCACAATGTGAAGGCTTGTTACATATGTATACACGTGCCATGTTGGTGTGCTGCACCCATCAACCCGTCATCTACATTAGGCATATCTCCCAATGCCATCCCTCCTCCCTCCCCCCACCCCATGACAAGCCCCGGTGTGTGATGCTCCCCAAGAGTTTTTAAGGATTCAGGGTGGAAGAGTTTATCAGAGGCTCGGACTGCTTCTGTGCCTCTTTGTTGTGCTTATATGGGAGGGAGAGTTGTGTGTCTGTTCCCATACATCTTTCTGCAGGTGCAGGCGTACCCCCGGAGTCTGCTTTTAGCCTCCCTATCTTAGTGCACCTGAAGGGAAAGGAATGTGCTTGTTAAGGCCCACTGTTTTACTGGGGCCCACTGTATGAAAGTGAAGTTTGTCAGTTACTCAAGAGACTTTCCGCCCACCTCCCTCTGTATCCAAGCTGTTTTATCTGTGTTTTACTGTCTGCTCTTTCTGGCTGCTTTTAGTTCGAAGAGAAATGATATACTTGAAATGCATGAGGCTAGAAAGGGAGCTGGAATTTAAAGTGGTGGTGTTTGTCTGAGATCACGGTGCTCCTGCTCTATCAGATTGAAATTTACATTACATACGATTTTGTAATTTCAAAGAAGAGAGTACTAAGATATATACTGAAATATGTGTTTCTCTTTCTCTTTGGGCTCTTTGGTCTGCCTTTGTTTCTTTTTTATTTATGCATTTGCATAAAAGATTAATATGTGCTTTTTAATTTTATAGAAATGTTCTATTTCTAAAATTTAAATATATTTTGACACACTAGGACTTGATGTTTTCATTCAAGATTATGTTTTTGGAGAGAGTCACATTGATACATGTAGCTTGAATTTATTCATTGTAGCTGCTATATGGTGTTCCATTGAAAAAAGGGAAACATATATTTATTATTCTAAAGGGGACTGGTTTTAATTTGTTTTTTCCAGCTGTTGGAAAAAATGTGTTGCAATGAACATCTTCGATATCTTTCCTTAGATATAGCTGTGTGTCCAAGAATTATTCCAAGTAGGCACTGACAATTAGAATTTCCTGGTCGTCAGGGCATGCACTTCTATCTGTTTAAAACAGTTTTTCTGCCAACCCTCAGGTCACAATTTTCAGTACAGATTAATGCTGTGCCAGTTTGTTGGGGATAATAACATTCCTTTGCTTTGTTGGCTGAGGAAGGCAGAACTAAGTCTATTTCTCTTCACTGGAAGGGTTGTAGTAATTTAGGAAGCTCTGATTTCAGATTAATCTTATCAGCATACTCCAGAAAGGATGCATTTGCTCAGTTTTCTTTCTTTCTGACAACTATCACATCTCTGTCAAATATCTAAATCCTGTTGTATCACTTTTTGCAACTCTGCTTCGTCACAATCCATGGGAAATTTTGAAAGTCCATGATAAACGTACATGTGAATTCTATTAAGGGACATGGGAATTACCTCAGATGGCCTGTACTCGACCGTAATCTAGGGTGTGTAGTTAGTCAAAAATGCAATGAGTACAATAAAATACATCATAAATGATTTTTCATGTGTTTTTATTAGAAATAGGCACAGATCTTGCTCAACAGGATACATGGGTCTGACCTCTGTTGTCTTTATTTTTCCACAATTATTGCTTAATTTTCATCTATAATTCAGTCACTATTTCCTTTCTCAAGGAAATCTTGAGATAGGGATCTTGGTTTTATATTTTGTTTTTACATTACCTTCAAGCATACTGGAAACATTCTGCTATATCAGTATGATATAAAAAGTGAAGTTGACTAGATTTCTCCAAATCTATTTTTAAAATTGAAAAAAAAATACAGATGTTTTGCTGTTCCTGCTCCGTTTAGCAGTTTTACCATGTTTCTGAATTCTTCCTCAGATTAGGAATATATTTAACTCTGCTCTTGTATTATAAAAACTAACTGGGGTATCTGCCACTGTTAAATGCATGATAGGATAGTGTCTTTCAGGCTCATCCTCATTGTGGCATATGGCAAGATCTCATTCTTTTTTTAGGACTGAATAATATCTTATTGCATATATATATATTCCATGGTTTATGTATCCACTTATCCATTGACAGAGACTTCATATCTTGGCTATTGTGAATAATGCTACCATGAACATGGAAGGACAGGTATCTTTATTAGGTGGTAATTTAATTTCCTTTGGGTATATCCTCAGAAGATGGATTGCTAAGTCATATGCTAGTTCTATGTTTATATCTTTATTTTTGTTTTATTTATTTTAAGTTCCGGGATACATGTGCAGGATGTGCAGGTTTGTTGCATAGGTAAGTGAGTGTTTACCTATATAACATCACCTAATACCTAGGTAATAGTTATTATTCCCTAGGTATTAAGACCAGCATGCATTAGCTATTTTTCCTGATGCTTTCCCTCCCACTACACCCCACCCCTGACAGTCCCCAGAGTGTGTTGTTCCCCTCCCTGTGTCCATGTATTCTCATTGTTCAGCCCCCACTTGTAAGTGAGAACATGTGGTGTTTTGTTTTCTGTTCCTGCATTAATTTGCTGAGGATAGTGACTTCCAGCTCCACCCATATCCCTGCAAAGGACATGATCTCATTCCTTTTCAAGGGTGCATAGTATTCCATGGTATACCTGTACCACATTTTCTTTATCCAGTCTATCATTGATGAGCATTTGGGTGGATTCCATGTATTTGCTAATGTGAATAGTGCTGCAATGAATGTATGTGTGCATGTGTCTTTATAATAGAATGATTTATATTCCTTTGGGATTCTTGGCTCAAATAATATTCCTATTCCTAGGACTTTATGAATTGCCCCACCATCTTCCACAATAATTGAACTAATTTACATTCCTATTAACAGTGTAAAAGCACTCATATTTCTCCACAGCCTCACCAGCATCTGTTGTTTCTTGACTTTTTAATAATTACCATTCTGACTGGCATGAGATGGTATCTCATTGTGGTTTTTGATTTGCATTTCTCTAAGGATCAGTGATGTTAAGCTGTTTTTCATGTTTGTTGGCCACATAAATATCTTCTTTTGAGAAGTATATGTTCATGTCTTTTTGCCAATTTTTTAATGGGGTTGTTTGTTTTTTCTTGTATATTTGTTTAAGTTTGTAGATTCTGGATATTAGACCTTTTTGTAATGGGTGGCATGCAAAATGAGTAGATTTTAGCAGCTCTTACCATAAAAACAACAAAAAAAATGGGCAACTATGTGAGACAATAAATATATTCATTTGCTTCACTATAGTAACCTTTTTGCTATCTATATGTATCCTATAACATCTTGTTGTATACCTAAATATATAAAATTACATTTATTTTTAAAATAAATAATGCATGATAGAGCACCCTTCTTAGGGGCCCAACTGTATATGAACTCTTTTTATTTATCTAACTATTTTTTTCTGGAACCTATAGAATCTTAGTTTTGGTTACTGTATGATATGGATTGAAAGAACCTTTTTGCTATTGATTATGTATTCTTCCATAAACTTTGCTTTTACCAGGTCCTGACATTTGGAAATAAAAAAGTTAAAATCTGGCCCTCTTTTTCTTTCTGCCTGTACTCTAATCATCCAGCCCTTCCTTGAAGTGATAAGTGTAACATACCTTAGCTACCTTATCTACCATAAAGGACTAAAAAGTGATGCAAGGATTCAAAAACAGAACAACCAAATATTATTGATAAATGAAGACATAAAAAATATTAATTCCAGATTTACATATCTGGCTTTAAAAAGGAAAGGTAAGATGGTCTTGATTTATACTTAAATGAAAATAATTAGAAAACAAGGAAAAAACTAGCAATCATCTATTTTCAGTAATTGTACAATAGACAGTGGGAAAGTATGATTCTTGAGAAACAGGAAACAAATGAAGTGAGCCTTACTATAGCTAGTCTTTCTATCTAGAGGAAATTCCTGACCTGTTTTCCAGTAAGAAGAACAGAAACTATAATTTGGTGATCTTGATATGTTGAGAATTTATGATATGAATCTAGAATAGTCAAATACGCTTTGAAAAAGGAACAACTTTGGAAGACTGACACTGTCTGATTTCAAGACTTAACAAAGTTTAAAAAAACCCACATTTTGGTCTTATTGTAAGGATAGTCACATTGATCAATAGAACTGAATAGATAGGCCTATTCATATATAATCCATTGTTTTTTTTTTTTGACACAGATCCCAAAGATGACAAGTTAATATAACACAAGAAAAAATAGTATTTTAAACAAATGGTAGTTGGACATACAGATATCCACATGGAGAACAAAAAGAAAGATCAAACTCAAATTCCATTAAAACAATCCCTAAATAAATCATAAATCTTCAGGTAATATATTCCTTCCATAAACAATAAATTTTGAAAAATGACTTTGGGTTAGGTAGATATTTTTAAAATAGTACGCTAAAAGTACTCAAATTATACATGCAAAAGTATTGAAAGAAATGTTTTTATAAACAAGAAAACAGCCAGGTGTGGTGGCTCATGCCTGTAATCCCAACACTTTGGGAGGCCGAGGCGGGTGGATCATGAGTTCAGGAGATGGAGACCATCCTGGCTAACATGGTGAAACCCAGTCTCTACTAAAAATACAAAATATTAGCCAGGCGTGGTGTCACGTGCCTGTAGTCCCAGCTACTCAGGAAGCTGAAGCAGGAGAATCACTTGAACCTGGGAGGTGGAGGGTGCATTGAGCCGAGATTGCCCCACTGCACTCCAGCCTGGGCAACATAGTGAGAATCCATCTCAAAAAAAAAAAACAAAAACAAACAACAAAAAAAAACCAAGAAAACTTTTGCTTTTCCAAAGTCAATAAATACTAAGCAAATAAAAGGAAAACAAGAGATTTGCAGGTCAGAGTTGCAAATAATAGCTGAGAAAGTTCTTGAATATAAATATATATATAAAGGACTCTTACAATGCAATATTATAATTTTAAAACAATTTAAAAATGAGCACAATATATGAACAAATACATCACCAAATAAGAAGTACAAATAGTAAGTATATGAAAATATCCTCAACATGTTTATTCATTAGGGAGATGCAAGTTAAAACTACACTAAGATATCACTGTATAAAAACTAGAAGACTGGTGTTAAAAAGTTTCATAATACCAGTAATGTTTGTTATGATATGGAATAACTGGAACATTTCTGGAAGTCATACGTTGTTGATAGAGATATAAAATGATTCAACTGCTTTGGAAAACAATCTGTCATTTTCTCATACATTAAAAAACCTTCATTTAACATGAATTATTCTGATAATGCGTTTTTTTTTCTGGTTATATGTATACTCCTTGTTCTGTACTCTAGTTTTTCCAATATTAATATAGTCACTACAGCTTTCTTTTGATTAAACTTTGCATAGCGTATCTTTTCTCATCATTTTACTTTTAACTTGTTTTAGTGCCTTTATATTTGAGATGAGTTTTTTATACACCATATTGAATTAGGTTCTCCCTCTCCTTCCCACACATTTGAGATAATTTTTTCTTTTACTTCATACATAGTGTTGAACTTTGTTCTGGTACACAGATAATTTTACTTTGAATAAATTTCTTTTAAGGCTTACTTTCAAACTATATTAGGAAATGTCCAGCGCAGTCTTTAGTATGGGACTAGCTCACCCCTATAAATTACTAAGTACTAAGGCAATAACCTCTGAGAACTGTACACTGGATCTCGTATATGATGAGCTCTGTTTACTCTGGTGTAAGGAACTAACTCTTCACCTCTTGTGGATTTTAAGAATGCTTCCCTGCTGCTGTCTGCTGAGTTTTCCTTTAACATGCAGCTTGAAAATCAGCAAAGGACTGGAATGAACCCATCTACAGATCTTCTAACTCACTCACTCTCTTTTCATCTCTTTCTTAAGGTATTTTGGCCTGCAAATTCTAGCTGCCTCTCTACAACTTGATCTTTTGTCTTCAACCTAGAGACCCTGAGTTTGTTTGGTTTATCATTCTCTCTGCTGTGGCTTGGAAACTGCTCCTAGGAAGTGAGTGGGGGAAACTATATGGGACTCCTTTCTGTCTTCTTTCTCCCAAGGATCCCGATCATGTGCTGTCTGTAGTCCAATGTCTGGAACCATAATTTAATTGATTAGTCTAGTTTTTTTTTTTTTTTTAATTGTTTAAGGTAGGTTAGTATCAGTCCCTTTTCTCCCTCATGACAGGATGTAGAATTTGCGTAATTGATATTTCAGCAAACAAATGATTGATCCCTCCTCCCTAGGCTGCTTTGTCAGCATCATTTATGAATTTTTCTTTGAAAATTCCGTAATTATGGTAACCATGCCTCTCATTCTTCTACTTAAATATCATCAAACTGCCTCACCAGATAATACAAGATATAGTTCGTTCTGGCTTGTAATAAGACAATTCTTAGAAAGCCTCTTTGTAAGTATGTAGAAAAGTGTGCAATTTTGATGTTGAAGAAAACAGTGTATACCAAATATTCAACCACTCATTATTGAATTCTCTCCAATCATTTTTCCCTATAAGCAGGGTTAAGTAATAAAAAAATCTTTAGTTTTTAAAAAACACTTTTCCACAACATGAATGAATACTGTAATACCTAGTGATTCATTTGGTAGATGCCAGGAAGACATTTAATAAAATTTACATACACTTCTGATCAAACTTCTTAGAGAAATAGGAATAATTTGCATAATAAAGAATGTACATTACAACTTAACATACAACTTCTTTCTAAAGGATATAACACTAAAGGCTTATCAATTGACTTCATAAATAATAGATAATAGTAGATGTATATTTCTCACATGAAATGCCTGAATGTGACTTTACTGAAAAGTATGAGACCTAATTAAATTAAAAAAAAATCTTCTCGGGTAGCAATTAACACTTACGTAAAAATGTGGCTTGGCGCGGTGGCTCACGCCTGTTATCCTAGCACTCTGGGAGGCGGAGGCGGGCGGATCACGAGATAAGGAGATCGAGACCATCCTGGCTAACACAGTGAAACCCTGTCTCTACTAAAAATACAAAAAATAATTAGCTGGGCGTGGTGGCGGGCGCCTGTAGTCCCAGCTACTTGGGAGGCTGAGGCAGGAGAATGGCGTGAACCCGGGAGGCAGAGCTTGCAGTGAGCCGAGATCGCGCCACTTCACTCCAGCCTGGGTGACAGAGCGAGACTCCGTCTCAAAATAAATAAATAAATAAATAAATAAATAAATAAATAAATAAGCAAATAAATAAAAATTAAAACATAAAATAAAAGGCACCAATGACTGGATTTAGAGTCCATTCTGAATTCAGGGTGATTTCATCTTGATCCTTAACTAATTACATCAGCAAAGACCCTGTTTCCATATATGATCACATTCTGAGGTTCTAGGTGGACAGGAGTGGAGGGAAGAGGCACTTTTCAAGTCACATATCATATTTTAAATATAGATTGATTTTGTTTAGGTGATTATTTTGGCAAGGAACATATACTCAAGTTACATTAAATATGGGAAAGTCATCATATGAATATTAAGCATAAAATCAGGAAAGAACAAGAATCTATGTCATGAATAGAATGAATAAATAAAACCTACAAAGGTGAGAGTAGGAGTGTTAAAATCCTAGATGACCATGTTTTTTCATACTACGTGGGTGAGAGTATAAAATGTGCTTTTTTCTTTCTCCTGAATTTTTACTCCAAGGATACGTAATGAATTATATAGATGAGCATTTTTTTGTAGTAAATGCTTTGCTGTTATTGCAATATAAAAAACAGGAAAAAAACTTACAAAGTACTATTTAAATTATTTTATATCCAAGTAATGGATGGAAAGTTAAATGATGTTTCAAAAATTGCATTAGCTGTCAGAAATCTATATATGATATACTTAAACTACAAAGTATATTAATAAAAAGAAATACAACATAATTAATTTATGTGTTAGAACAATAAAAGTAACAAGATTTTTCTTTCCTATGAAATAGAAGTCTGAATCCAGAGTCTTATATTTGTAGTGAGAAATAGTTCTGTAACAACTGTTTTATCTTCCCTCAGTGTTATTGATTTAGTCAGGCTTCCTGTAAACATGGGTAGTTCTATCAGTCTATATATTATCAATATTTTCTAAGTTTTAGCATAGGCTATAATATATTACTATTTAATTTTTCTAATCTCTTGAGTACTTAAGTCAATACACTTGTTATATTTTATTTTTCATCTATATATTTGTATCTTCTTTCTTTTTATTTGATTAGCCTTACTAGACTATAACTATTACATTGATTTTGTAAAAAATAGGTTTCATAGAATAATTTTATGTCATTGTTTATAAAATAAGCTGTCTGGGACTTAGAAATGTATATGTGCATATTTCAGAAATTACATCATGTAAATCAATGTGAGCAGACACAAGAACTCTGTGCAATGGCTCTACACTGAGAAAATCTAGCAGCATTAGCCAGCCTCAGAAATTAACTTTAGAGTTATATATGAGTGGTATGTCCAGGTACACTTTGGTAGTTTGTTCTAATGCCTATTGCAGAAAAATAGCACCATTAGTAGAATTTGTCCAAGCTAGGTTGAGAAAACCTGGAAGTTAAATTTATTTAAACAAACAAAGAACAACAATAAAACACTACTGAGACCCAAATAATTCTGCTATGCCATCCTTTTAAAAGTGTTAAAATTAAAGAAAGAAAAAAAACACATTTATCTATTTTATAATGGAGAAATAAGCATCATTTATTAGCAGAATGGAGTTGATGTCTTAAGAAATGTGACATGAGTAGAAAATAAGAGCTTGCCCTGGAGCAGGGCACCTGTGAAGTCAGGGCCCCAAGTGGAATGGAGGATAAATGACAGTTCCCAAGCAGGACAGCATCTGCTGAGTGTGTGACAGCCAAACACTAAAAGATGTGTTCTGGCAATCAACAAAGATTTTTCTCAGTTATGGGATGAGGCAGGCTTTCTTTTGTAGAGTGTCATGCTCAATTGTATTTTCAAGCTATTCTACGATGAAGTTAAATTTTATATATATACTTGTTATAATAAAAATTTTACTTTCAAAATAATTTTACATGAAAAAGCATGCATTAAGAATTCTAAAAGATTCACAACTACACAAATACATCTACATTGTTTAAAACACACAAGGATTTTTTAAAATTTTGGAATACTGAAACATGAATTCAACTGTAGCTATTCAATTTCTTAAAATTAAAAAAAAAAACTTTTAGTTTTGGAAGTGCATGTGCAAGTTTGTTATACAGGTAAATTGCATGTCATGGGGGTTTGATTTACAGAATATTTCATCACCCAGGTAATAAGTATAGTACTGGATAGGTAAGTTTTTTAATCCTCACCCTCCTCCCACTCTCCACCCTTAAGTAGGCCACAGTGTCTATTGTTCTCTTCTTTGTGTCCACATGTACTCAATGTTTAGTTCCCATTCATAAGTGAGAAAATGTGGTATTTGGTTTTCTGTTTCTGAATTAGTTTGCTTAAGATATTGACCTACACCTCCATCCATATTGCTGCAAAGGACATAATCTCATCATTTTATATATCTGCATAGTATTCTGTGATGTATATGTACCACATCTTCTTTATCCAGTCTACAGTTGATAGGCATTTAGGTTGATTCCATGTCTTTGCTATTGCAAGTAGTGCTGAGATGAACATAGGCATGTATGTGTCTTTATGGTAAAATAATTTATATTCCTTTCAGCACATACCCAGTAATGGGATTGCTGTGTCGAATGGTAGCTGTGTTCTAAGTTCTCTGAGAAATCATGAAACTGCTTTCCGCAGTGGCTATACTAATTTATGTTCCAACCAGCAGTGTACAAGCATTCCCTTTTCTCTGCTACCTCACCAACATCTGTTATTTTTTTGACTTTTTAATAATAACCATTCTGACTGGTATGAGATGTTATCTCATTGTGGTCTTGATTTGCATTTCCCTAATGATTAGTGATGTTGCGCATTTTTTCATATGTTTTTTGGCCATGTGTATGTCTTCTTTTGAAAAGTGTCTGTTCATCTCCTTTGCCTACTTTTTAATGGGGTTATTTTTTGCTTGTAAAGTTCCTTATAGATCCTGAATATTAGACCTTCGTCAGATGCATAGTTTGCAAATATTTTCCCCCATTGGGTATGTCGTCTGTTTACTGTGTTGATAGTTTATTTTGCTTTGCAGAAGCTCTTTAGTTTAACTAGGTCCCATTTGTCAATTTTTGAATTTCTGTTGCAGTTGATTTTGGTGTCTTTGTCATGAAATCTTTGCCAGGGCCTATGTCCAGAATGGCATTTCCTAGGTTATCTTCCAGGGCTTTTATAGTTTTAGGTTTTACATTTCTCTTTAATCACTTGAATTGATTTTTGTGTATGGTAGAAGGAAGTGGTCCAGTTTCAATCCTCTGTATATGGCTGGCCAGTTATCTATAGCTGTTCAATTTCAGAGTGCAACGCAATGTTTATAAGCCCCCACAAGTTCAAAATATTATAGAATCAAGATGATAAGCAAATTACAATTTCTGCATCCGAATTCTACCTAAAAGGCAAGATGACTCCAAAATAATGTGTCTCAGAGCACAGGAAAAAAACGCAATGTGTGAAAAGAATCACAAAGGAGTTGTAGTTTGGTTATTCTTTTGTTCAAAATATTAGCTTAGGAGTCAGATACACCATAAATAAATGTGTAAGTCTACTAGTTATGAGCTGTTTGTATGTCTTTTCTAAATTACTTTATGCCTCAGCTTCCATTTCCTTGTTTATAAAATAGCACTAGTAATAGCTATCTTATTAGATTTTTAAAATAAATATTATATGAGAAAAGATATAACATAATTAGCCCAGTGACCCATAGAATATTCTCAAACTAGGAACTGTGATTGATATATAGAGTTAAATATTAGTTCATAACAGTATTGATGACTTTAATTACACTACTACCTTGATAAAATAAAATGTATTTGAATGGTCTTTCTGATTTCCTGAAGGCCTCCTCACTTCATTTCTCATGCCACTAGAAGTTATAAAATCTGGTGTATGTTTAATTAAGAATTCCCATATCCCTGTTATAATTATAGAATGCACAGCCTCTGTTAACACACAGTATGCAGAACACGTTTCCTAAAGCAAGTTCTAAATGGGGGTAGACTCAGAGGTCCCTGAAGGCAGTTACCAATCAGCTGACTGCTAAATGGAATAACCTCAGAATTGCATTAGAGGCTTTGATCAAACATACAAAGCTCTTGTTGAACAGACATAATGAAAGAACTCATTAACTATGGGGTAGCTGTGTGTGTGTGTGTGTGTGTGTGTGTGCACAATGTGTGTATCAGTGTGTATGACTGAATGAGATCATACCATTTTTTCAATTAGAGAATAGTTAACTAATTGTCTGGTATTTGTATTATATGTGGAGACAGCCCCTCTCTTGGTCTTGATTTGGGTTAGATTGCTAAAATTCATTTGTTATTCAACTTTGAGGTTTCAGATCTATTATTAAAAGTTTTTTACATTTTATTGATTCAGAATTAAAAGATTATTTTGGCTTGTGAGTCTACAAAAATACAGAGCTCCCAACTCAGTTAAACACTTTTTCTATGCTTTGTGGAAGGAGCAAGTCCTGAGAACTTATTATTGTTTGGATTATTTTTGGTACCTGTGTTTCTTGGTTGTCTTCCAGTTTTGATATTTAAAATTTCTATCATGTAGAAGCCCTTCCACTGCCCATTCTCTTCTTTTTAAACACAAATAAAAAAGCAGCAACATAGTCCATAATCACAAAAGCTATATTTAAAACCAAATATGATGAAGACAAAATTAAACTATTGACTGACATACAAAACAACTATGTGGTAGCTTTAGTTTACCTTTTAGTTGGTAGTCAGATGTTTAATGTTACAAATTTGAAGTTCTGTTATCCTATGTTTAACTGTCCAAAAAAGTTCACTATACAAAAATCGAATCCACCAGTGTAGGAGAGCCGTAAATTATAAACACAATACATTATAACTTGCAATTGCAAGAGTTGCATAAATACCACACATGTAGACTACTATTAGAGGCCTTTTGTTGCAAAATATTTATCTGTCTGTCTATCTGTCTATCTATCTATCTATCTATCTATCTATCTATCTATCTATCTATCTCAATAATCTGTCTTTTCTTACTCACACTGTCTTTTGCCCAGTTGCTCTATTCTTTGTAACAGGCCCTCTGAGACTTCTCTGAGTTTTTAGGATTTGGCTTGCATCTCAAGCAAGACATGGCATGATACCCTCCTCATTGTACTTCTGTAACATTTTTTTCGAAAGCACCCACAAAGTTTATAATTATTTCCTTATTTGAATTAAGTTTCTGGCTGCCCCATGAGATATGTTATAATTTAATATGACACGTATTAAACTATAACAATATATGTGTGATTTATGAAATCAAGAAGACAGAAGTTAGAGCAATGTAAAGTGCCTTAGTTCAGGAGACAAATAAGAATTAAGTTTTGTGTATGCATTTTTGTGTTTATGGACTTTTTTTTTTGAGATGGAGTCTCTTTCTGTCACCCAGGCTAGAGTGCAGTGGTGCAGTCTCAGCTCTGCAACCTCTGCCTCCCGGGTTCAAGCGATTCTCCTGCTGCAGCCTCCCAAGTAGCTGGGATTATAGGCGTCCGCCATCACATCCAGGAAATTTTTGTATTTTTAGTAGCGACGGGGTTTCACCGTGTTTGCCAGGCTGTTGTCAAACTCCTGACCTCATGTGACCCGCCCGCCTTGACCTCCCAAAGTGCTAGGATTACAGGCATGAGCCACGGTGCCCAGCCTGTTTATGGACATTTTAAGTTGTGCATATGCCAAAAATTGTGAAGAAAATTTAATAATTTAGTAGTAAAACAAAATATACATGAAGGAGAGTTTTCTGGACTAGAGATGTGTTGAAATCCATGGAAGCTAATGAGATCACAGAGTTAAGCAATTATGTACTTAACTAAGAAAGCTAGAAGTCATCTTCAAAACAACATAACTTCCAAGTTGTTAGTATATTATGTTAAAAGTAATAAATTATGTTAAAAATTACATTTAAAGCATAGAAAGCAGGAAGGAGTGTTGCTTTCATCCTACAACAAGAAAAGATCTGAAGTAACTTCATATTCATTTTTTTAACCCATTGGGAGCTGAGATAACAGAAACAACTAGCCCCAAATCAAATAGAGAGAAAGACCTGCAGGGAGAGATGAAATTAAAGTACTTGCTCACCTGGAGTATATTAACATGACTGATCACAAGTAAGAAGAGTTTAGCCAGAACTGCTGATGACTTGTTGAGGATGGAAAGCAAGCTGGTAGGCCAATTTGAACCCCCAGGGGGCCACAGAATTGATGGAAGTTCAAGATCTTTTGCTGACTCTTTTCTCTTTTCTCAGCAGTCCCACTGATTGTTCAGTGTGGTGTAGATCTTAGTTGGGAAGTGAGAAGAGGGCAAAGGTATTGGTAACTGTACGCAAAAAGCAAGAAACTCTACCCAGATCCTTCTTCCCTGCAGGAGGAGGGGTGAATTCAGAACTTGAAGGGAAAAGGGAAAGAAGCAATGCTTTCCTTTGGCATCAATAAAACTCATGGCAGCTGGGGGAAAAAAACAACGGGAAAAATTCTACTCTTGCAGCAGAAGCAACATTATATATTGGACAGTGGTTTACATAGCTATAAATAAGGAAAGGATGGGAGAACTAAGAAAGTCACATCTGTGAGTTTCCAGGACACATTCAAAATCTTAGAATGATTAGAATAACAGACTCCTAGCACGAAGCTAATAAGCCTTAAATAACAACAGCTTAACAGTACTGGGAGAGAGAAAGGAGAGGAACAAAGTCCTGAAGAATGGTCCTCTCTGATAACATTTCAAGGGGAAGGTGTAAGCTCTGAATCAAACAAACATGCTCCAGTAAATCTACACCCACCCTGTAAACAAAGCATTGCTATAAGCTTTGAAGCCTGGGATGCACCATGTACTATGTACATAGCATAACAAACCTCAAACACAGCCAAGCCCCTAACTAGGTTAACTCGAACACTCATGACAAAGCCCTGGCACAAGGAATGCTTTGCTCTTTTCAAGGCATAAAAATAATATACCTCAGTGTGTAATGTCTTATACAAAATATCTGGGTTTTTAAAGAAATGTAAAAGCATACAAAAAGGAAATATAAGACTCACTTTGAAGAGATAAAATAAGCAGCAGAATACTCAAATATGGTACAGATAGTGAAACTATCTGACATGGGTTTTTAAATAATTATAATTAGCATGTTAAAGGCAGAAAAATTGCTGAGTAACATCTAAAAGCACATGATTAATATGATCAGAGAGATGGAAATCATAAGAAATAACCAAATGGAGCTGCAAGAAATGGAAAAGATGGTAACAGAGATGAACAATGCCTCCAGCAAGCTCATGGATAAACTTGATACAAATGATAAAAGAACCAAAGAACTTGAAGACAGGTCAAGAACACACACACACACACACACACACACACACACACACACACACACACAGAGAATGAAAGAAAAAAGCACAAAACATCCCAATAATATTGGACAATATCAAATGATCTAACATGCTGATAATTGGAATTCAAGAAGAGAGGAAAGAGGCAGAAGGAACATTTGAAAAAATGACAGTTGAGAATTTTTCTAAATTAATGATATATTGATAAAATCACATATTCAAAAAGCCCAGAGAAGACCAAGCAGGATGAACACCACCACCCCTTAAAGTTGAAGGAGAAATAAATATTTCTCAGGCAAAGAAAAATGAGAAAATATATTGCTTACAGAACTAGTCTGCAAGAAATGTTAAAAGAAGTTCCTCAGAAAGAAATTATATGCAATTAGAGCATAATCTGGATCTATACAAATAAAATAAGAAACATTGGAAATGGAATATGTAAAAGTGCAATAAAATTCCTCTTTTGTGTGTGTTTAATTACTGTAAGAGATAACTGGCTGTTGAAAGCAGAAATGGGACTATTTCATTATGTACTTATTACATATGTAAAAGTAAGCAGCATGACAGCATAGCCTAAATGACTGCAGGAGGGTTTTGAAAAAACACTATTGAAAAGTTTTAAAACTTCATGCTAAATGGTATTATTTTAATGTAGTGTAATGCAGACTTTCTTTATTTGGTAGTTTTAATTTTTAAATGTATAAATGATATGCCGGTAGAGGACAGAAAATTGAACACTAGAAGTTTTGAATTAACACAAGATAATATAGTGAAAAAATGGAGAAAAGCAAAGGAGCAGAGAGTACAAATTGAATATGAGCAGCAAAGATGGTTGAATTTAATCAATCATACCAATAATGACATTATATATGAATTGTCTAAACACAACATTTAAAAGACAGAGATTATTAGATTGGATTTTAAAAAGTATAAATGATGGCAGAGTTACATTTTTATCAAATAAGTACATTTCTACGTAGAAAAAGAGCCTCTCCAAAGATGCCCTCATTCTAATCCCTCAAACCTGTGAATATGTTACCGTACATGGCAAAAGGGATTCTGTAGATGTGATTAAGTTAGGAATATTAAGATAGGGAGATTATCCTGACTTATCCAGGAAGGCCAAATGCAGTCACAAGGGGCCTTAAAAGATAAAAGCAGGATTCGGGACATGAAAGGAGGAAATTTGATGGTGGAAGCAGAGGTCACAGAGAAAGAGAAAGATTTGCAAAATAGGTAGTATCACCCTACATTAAAAAGATAATTGAGAAATACGATGAAAAAAACTCTATGTCACTATGTCCACAAAACTGACAGCTTTGATAAAATGAACAAATTCCTTAAAATCCGCAATCTATCAAAATTCAGTCAAGAAGAAAGAATAATTTTATATCCATCTTAATTATTCAATAGTTGAAATTTTTAGTAAAATAACTCTTAACAAGAAAAACTCCTGGTGACTTCTACCAAACATTAAAAGAAAGAAAACCAGGCAAAAACAATAATAATATAAAAAGTAAAATAAACAAATTCATGCATAAATAAATTTTGAATCTACCTTCTTTTGGCCGTCTCTACCGTCATTAGCTCTGCTCAGGGACCATCAGTCTATCATTTGTATCATTGCAATGTCTTCTTAACCAGTGTTCCTCGGTGCAGCTTTGATTCTTCAAGCATAAAATTAATGCACACATCCGCACATGTGCATGCTTGCTTACATCTCAATTTATGTCACTTAAAGCCACTCAAATACGTTCCATTGTTTCTAAAACAAATCCAAATTCCTTGCTAGACTAACAAGATTTACAGGTCCAGATCTTTGCTTTCTGTTGGATCTGATCTTGTCCACTCCTTTCCTGGCTCACTAAGTCTCTGGCACCCTTGTGTAACTAATATTTATTGAAATTTTTTAAGTTCATCTCTGTCCTAGAAATGATACCTCTACCTAGAATGTTCTTGACCATTCTCTAAATGATTTGCTTCTTTAATTTCATAGGTTAGGATTTAAATTTCACTTCTTTTTGGGGGTCTCCCTGACTAAAGTAGGCTTCTATATTAAGATTCTTATTTACGTACTTAATAAAACGTATTGCAAATTGCAAGTATAGAATATATAGGTCATATATAGAAATAGGATAATTTTAGTTCTCTCTCTCTGATACAGGTAAATATGAAATCAGAATTAGCAATCTTTAAAAAGGAACAGCTGGGTGCCATGGCTCACGCATGTAATCCCACACTTTGGGAGGCAGGGGCAGGTGGATCACCTGAGGTCAGGAGTTCGAGACCAGCCTGACCAACATGGTGAAACCCTGTTTCCACTAAAGAAATACAAAATTAGCTGGGCATGGTGGCGCATGCCTGTAATCCCAGCTATTTGGAAGGCTGAGGCAGGAGAATCGCTTGAACCCGGGTGGCGGAGGTTGTATTGAGCCCAAATCGTGCCATTGCACCTCAGCCTGGGCAACAAGAGTGAAACTCTGTCTCAAAAAATAAAGAAATGAATAAATAAATAAGATAATAAATAATAAAGAATGCATGTTAATTAGAGAAAAAAATCAGAAGCAAATCACTGACTTCTAAAAGTGCTTTGTTATTTCCAGTGATTCTTAAACTTGTATGTGCATCAGAATTACTTGGAACACTTATAAAAATGCAAATTATTGAGCCACACCCACATAATTTTTGACTAAACATATCTTGGTTGGGTTCCAAGAATTTGTATGTCTAACTTGTTCTTCCTTGAAGGTGATGATGCTGGCGCAGACATCTCTCTTTGAGAAATACTGATGTATTTATATTTTCATGGCACAATGCGGTGCTGAATTTTTAAACTGAAAAATGATATGTTTCTGAAACATATCACTTTTTTATAATACAGATAGCTAAACAATTTGACCGACTAACTAGTTTGACTTGAAACTTTCAATTGAGGTTAAATTTGTATCTACTCTGTGCTTTATTAGTGTGACAGATTATGCTGTTTTATTTTCCTGTCATTCAATGCACAAAGATAAGGTCCCCATTATTTTCAAACTATTTTATTATGAAGCCAGACTTGACCCATCTGAAATGTAAACCTCTATGTTTGTAACAAAGATTTGTGATGCAGTTAATATAATTTTTGAAAATGGTATAGCATGTTGTAGTAGGCAGAAAGATAGCCCCTCGTAGATCTAAACCTCTGGAAATATTGCCTTACATAGTAAAAGTGTTTTTGTGAATATTTTTTAAATTAAAGATATTGAGATGAGGGAATTATCCTAGAATATCTGATAAGTCCGATGTAATTACAAATTTCTTTATAAATGAAAGAGGAAGGTCATAGAAATAATCAGAGGGGTTGTACCAACTTAAGCAGAGGTCTAAGTGATGCTATTCCTGGCTTTTAAGAGGGAATGAAGAGAAGCTGGTTGATGGGTACACATACTTGAGTTGGGTTGGTGCAAATGTAATTGCTGTTTTTGCCTTTAGTTTTAATGACAAAAACAGCAATTACTTTTGCACTAACCTAATAGCTAGAAGAAATAAATTGCACTGTCTGAGAGCAGAATAGGGTGACTATAGTTAACGACAATGCATTATATATTTTAAAATAACAGAAAGACCTTGAAATGTTTGTAAAATGTAGAAATGATAAATACTTGAGGTCATAATACTTAAATAACCTGACGATCACTGCACATTCTATGCATGTAACAATATCAGACATATCCCATCAAAATGTACAAATAATATGTATCAATGGAAATTTTCAAAAGAAAGATTTATTTAAAAAAAAGATGGACCAGGGGCCAAGGCTCTTAGGTTTAGAAATTGTAAAAAGAAACGGAAGAGATTCTGGCCAAGGCTTTCAGAAGACACATAGTGCTGCCAACACCTTGATTTTAACCCAGTGGGTCCCATTTTAGTCCTCTGACCTCCAGAACTATAAGATAACCAACAAGAGGCCAATACTTATGTTAATACTGGCAAGATGTGTAGCCAGTAAATTATACTTTTGCTAATCACTTTAAATAAAGCTTAATTTACAATAAGCACAGGGATTCTTTTTTCTTATTTGTAATTAAAATTATTGTCTTTAACACTGAAATCTTCAATGTAACTTTGGTTTTGAAACAGATCTTTTAATAAAAGTGCTTGAGTAAGTCAAAATATAAGTTAAATATACCAATGTTTATCCTCTGTTTATTTGCTTTTGTGCATGTATTCTTTAGTATAATGTAATTTTAAAAATTGGTTATCTTGTTTATAACTGTATTCCTACAACCAGTCACACAGCCTGACATATGATGAACACTCAATAACCATTTGGTATAACTACCTTGATTAAAAAGTATAGATAAATGATACCATACTGGATATAAACTATAGAAGCTTGCAATTTCATTAAACTACACACTGTGAACAACTGTTTATATTAACTTAAAGAATTCTTTGTGTTTTTTGAAACGCCTTCCTAAAATTCCTTTCCATGAATATACCACAGTTAACCGATTCTCAGTGATATTATGCTTTATAAATAGTAATTTTAGGTGTGAGTATAATTGTTCAGCTGCAGTGATTCATCCATCTAATAATTCACCTGAGATAAATTCACAGAATAGGAATTGAAGGATCAGAGGTGGTGGGATTTCTTCTGGGGAGATTGTAATGTGAAAGTCATGCTACCCAGGGCATAATCCCTCCTTTTAGCTATTGCTAGTATAAATGATCATATGTATTCTACTGATGGTTGAATTTTCACTTCCTTCATGATTAGGGAGAGTTTCTAACACAATGCCTGGAGGAAGTTCACCAACACAAGTGAACAGCTCGACGTGAGTGTTATTGGTACTAAATTTATCTTTTGTTCAACTGTAACTCCAACAGGTAACTTAGTGAAGACAGAACACATCTTTTATAATAGTATGTGATAGTACAAGCATGGAATGGTTTTTACTCTCTCCCTACATTAAAGTAAGTATCATGAACACAGAAGAAAGCAAAAGAGATATTGTCAACACAATAATATATCAAAATTACATGATGCAAGACAACACTTTCTGGTAATTAGTATTAAAAAGTAATCAGAACGAATCTACACTCTCACCAACAGCGTATAAGCATTCCTTTTTGTCCACAACCTCACTACCATGTGTTATTTATTGACTTTTTAATAATAATCATTCTGACTGCTGTGAAGTGGTATCTCAAAGTTTTGATTTGCATTTCTCTAGTGATGAGTGATGAACTCTTTTTTATATGTTTGTTGGCTACATGTATGTCTTCTTCTGAGTAGTGTCTTTTTATGTCCTTTGTGCATCTTAATGGGTTTGTTAGCTTGTTTTATTGTGTTTAGGTTCCTTATAGATGTTGGATATTAGACCTTTGTCAGATGGCTAGATTGCAAAAATTTTCTCTCATTATGTAGGTTGTCTGTTTACTCTGTTGATAGTTTCTTTTGCTGTGCAGAATCTCTTTAGTTAGATCACAGTTGTCAATTTTTGCTTTTGTTGTAATTATTTTTGGTGTATTCATCATGAAATCTTTGCCTGTGCCTATGTCCTGAATGGTATCACCTAGGTTTTTCTCAAGGGTTTTTATAGTTTGGGGTTTTACATTTACGTCTTTAATCCATCTTAAGTTGATTTTTGTATATGGTGTAAGAAAGACATGGAATTTACCTAAATGCTCATCAGTGATATACTGGATAGAGAAAGTGGTACATATACAACATGGAATACTATGCATCCATAAAAAGAAACTAAATCATGTCCTTTGCAGGGACATGGATGGAGCTGGAGACCATTATCCTTAGCAAACTAATACAGGAACAGAAAACCAAATACTGCATGTTCTCACTTATAGGTGGGAGATTAATGATGAGAACACATGGATATATTGGGGGGGGGGAACAACACACACTAGAGTCTGTCAGAGGGTAGTGGGTGGGAGAAGGGAGAGGATCAGGAAGAATAGCTAACGGATGTTAGAGTTAATACCTGGGTGATGGGATGATCTGTGCAGCAAACCACCATGGCACACATTTACCTATGTAACAAAGCTGCACATCCTGCACATGTACCCCTGAACTTAAAATAAAAATTGGAAATTAAAAAAAGAGTAATCAGAAAATGTAAGCCATCAAATAAAGGGCAAATGAGGAATCTACAATAGTCTGCCCAGTAAGAGTGAAGAAAAAAAATATGGAAAAATCTGACAGAAGAGGGCAAGGCTAATAGGCAGAAGGAAAAGAGGGACGAATAATTGAGACAGAAAAAAGCCGGACTCCCACTGGTTTTGCACTATCATGTGTACTTTCTGTATGTTTGTGACTAAATAATACTAGTCATGATCATATTTAACATTTTCAGACATTTGGAGTTTATGAAAGATTCTATTAGTAAAGAGGTAAAATAGGAAGTTAGGGGATATTTGACTCATTCCAGAACTTGTTCTGATCATTGATGTTCCACCTAATCTTCTGTAGCCAAATGCTTTTGTGACTATTCTAGACATCCATAATCAGAAAGCATGTGGATTTTTATATACCAAGTACATGAAATGTACACTCTATATATCTACTTCCTCAAAGATAATGTCTTCATTTATTTCCAGGAAATAATGCCTTCATAATCTTTACATTGAGGCAAATACTCTCTATTACAAATCTTATGAGAGAGGAAATTCATTTTGAAATCCAGGTCGTTTAGCATTAGAAGGGACTGGTTGAAATATAGAGAAAACATTAGTGGGAGGTTGATGTTAGAAAGAGTAAGCAACCTTCTGTCATTCAGCTCAACTTATTCTGTTTCTCTTTGTACAGTATTTTTTTGTATAATTAGTATTAAGCTCCCAATATTAAAAGATTTATGAATGCATGACTTTGAATAGTCCTGACAGTCCGAATAAGTGATGCAAACACCTAATTTGAAATGCAGAGAGAACACGAGTCTCAAAGTGTGAAATCCTAAATTCTAGTCTAATCTCTGGCATTTAGTATGTATGTTAACTTTGTAAACCATTTAAGTCTTTTGGGAATCAATCTCACCATTTCTAATATGTTTTTATAACAAAATTATTAAGGCTTAAAGGAGAATGTGAAGGCAACTTGTTAAATATTATATTTGATAGAAATGTATTGTTTTAAAAAATAATTAATTTTTCCCAGCTGCCCTCCTTTTTGGAAGAACTCTATGTTGTCTGACTATATGCCATGTGGCTCTTGTGGGGACTGTCAATTACTTCACTCAACTTCCATGGCACCAACCAAAGGTGGAAATGTTATCTTCCCCACCTCCACATCAGTGAAATTCCATTCCTGGGAATTTTTAATTGGAACCAATGAAAGCAAGTCCTTCTATCTGATGGTGAGGATGTGATGATGTGGGATAAATGAAAAGAATAAAATCAGCATGCAGACATAGGCAGATATTTAGATAGAATGGAGGCTGGCATATCCCCCTGAAGCCCTGCCTCTAGGGTTCAACTTCATTCAAACTCTTCATGTGGTTTTATTCTCTGAGCCAAATAATTTTTGCCCAAGTAGATCAGATTGAGTTTTTGTAACCTGCAAGCAAAAATGATCTCATACAATTATAAGAAAAGGCTCAACATTCTTTAGCTTCCCAGTGGTCCTACAGCCCAAAAACATCAAGGATACTGTTTCCTGGAGAAGATAAACTTATTTTTCACTACAGATAAATTTAATAGGTATTCGATAATAAGATATAGATGTTTTTGTTCATACTACCATCATCTCCATAATGAAAGCAGAAGATAATGGAGATAAGACATAGCTATAATTTTGAAGGCAACTTCCTGAAGATAAATTTGGTTCTGCCAAAATCTTATTTCCTTTAATTTCTAATCAAACATTTTACACAGTTCTGAGGTCATTGTTTCCAACCCGGGGTAGTACTGAAGTTTCATTGGTTTTTGACTATTTAAAAAGTGCTGTGATGTTTTGGATGATGAGTAGATATATCACATTTATGTATTTTTTTCCCAAATACTATCTATCCAGTTCATGATAAATATTATTTGTACTGTAATTAAATCTTATTTTATAATATGTATTGACATATTTCAATTTATTCATAATTTCTGATTGTTTTTAATATAATTCAATTCAAAGTTTAAATGTTTAGCTTGCTTTTATTTTTTTTGCATTTTCTTCTTTTTAAAAAAATAATTTCTATTACTGGGAAAAATGCAGGATAGAAGCAAGCTATCCCGCCTGCCCCAAGACAACTCCAAATAAATACACAGTGCCAAGATTTTTACCGGCAACAAACCACAACTCAAATCTGAGAGTAAGATAGATCCTAAGGACACAAAGAAGTTAAAAACAAAAACAAACAAAAAAGCCTTCTGGGCAGATGGTAGGAGAATCAAACTTCTACACCAGTAGTGTGCCTCAACTCTGATTCTGCTCCTGTAAGAAGCACACAAAATATCATCCCCCACCTCATGGTACTATGCTGAAAAAAGTTAGATTGAGGTGGTTAACCAGCTTTCCCACCATCTTGGGTTACCTGGCAGGAGACCTGTCCTTGCCTTAACCCATGGGAAGCATGTGATTGTCTGAAGAAGAAATATTCCTAAGGACAGTCAGAGACAAAAAGGGGAAGTGGGACTATAATTTCTACCTCTGGAAACTTCTCTAACTCAGACCAAGGAAATGCTAAATCAGAATAGTTGTTCAGCAGTACCACACTATAGAAGATATGTCCCATGGGTTCCTTGGCCACAAAACGCTAGCCAGTGTTTCCACACTACCAGGATGATTCCTTGCATCTCTACCATTTGAGATAGGCAGCACTGGGCTTAAGACATCAAGTAGAGCTTAAAAAAAGGCCAAGACCTAACAGTCAAGATTTGTGAAGCAAATATATACAGTAAAAACCAATTCAAGACAGACAGATAAAACTGAAATAAATAACTAATCTTTCAATGAAAAGACATAGACATACACCCACAAGAAACAGTAGCAAATGACGAAGCATGACTTCCCCAAAAGGACAAAGTAAAAATCCGGTGACTGACCCTAAGAAGTTGGCAGATAGTGAGCTTTGTGACCATGAATTCAAAGTAGCAAGTTTAAGGAAACCCAATGATCTTTGAGATAACACAGGAAAGGAATTCAAAAATTTATCAGAGGAATTTAGCAAACAGATTGAAATAATTTAAAAAATCAAAAATCTTGGAACTAAGAAATACATTTGCTGCACTGAAAATCTCAATAAAGGCTCTAAAGAGCAGAATGTACCAAGTAGAGGAGTGAGCTCAAAGACTGGCTATTTGAAAATACAAAGAAGAGAAAAAAGAAAAAAACAAAAAGTAACAGAGACTGCCTACAGGATATGGAAAATTATTTCAAAAAACAAAATCTAAGAAATATTGGTGTTCAAGAGCAATGGGTAGAAAGAGTATTCAAATAAATAATAACAGGAAACTTTTCAAATATTGAGAAAGATATAAATATGCAGGCACAAGAAGCTCTAAGACTGCTACAGATATTGAACCCCTTTAAGACTATCTCAAGTCATATAATAATCAAATTCTCAAAGATCAAAATAGAGAGAAGTTCCTAAAATCAGCAAGAAAGAAGAAGTAAATAGCATATCCCGGAGATTCAATTCATCTGGCGACAGACTCCTCAATGGAAACAATACAGGCCAGGAGGGAATGGAAAATCTTTTTAAAGTGCTCATAGAAAAATACTGTTATTCAAAATTATTGCCTGCAACAACATTATCTTTTAAATATAAAGGAGAAATAAAGTCTTTCCCAGACAAATAAAAACTGAGAGAATTCAACACCACCAGACTCGTCCTACAAAATACTAAAGGGATTTCTTCAGTCTGAAATAAAATAAAACACTCACATGCAAAAAGACAACTTTATTTGGTATAAAACCCTGATAAAAACTGGTAAAATTAAGAACATGGATAAACCCATAATACTCTAATACTGTAATTGTGATGTGCAGTCTACTTATAAATCTCTTCTGAAACCACAGAGACAAATCTATCCAAAACACTAATGGCAACAGCAGCCCGTTAAAAGATAGGTAATTTAAAAATATGTAAATTAAGCAACTAAGTCAAAATAATAGAAAAGAAAATGTAAAGTGTACAATTTTTGTGTGTTTGCCTATGTTTCTAGTCTTTTATTTGTGATCTAAGATAAGGTGTCATTTCTTTAAAATAACTTGCTATATCTACAAGGTGTTTTTTGTAAGCCTTATGGTAACCACAACACAAAAACCTGTAATAGAGTCTCTGAAAATATAAAGCAACCAATTAAAACATATTACCAGAGAAAATTACATAACCACAAGGTAGACAGTAAGAAAAAAAAAATAAAAAAGAAGCCTCAAAACAACCAAAAAACACAACAAATTAGCTGTAGTAAGTTCTTACTTATCATTAATAACACAGAATGTAAATGATCACTGTTCTCCAGTTATAAGGCATGGCTGAATGGATAAAGAAACAAGGACCAACTAGATGCAACCTTCAAGAAACCCACTTCATCTATAAAGGCACACATAGACTGAAACTGAAGGTATAGAAAAAGATATTCCATGCAGCTAGAAACCAATAAGGAGCAGCAATAGCTTTCTTATATCGGAAAAAATAGACTGCAAATCTAAGATTATATACAGAGACAAAGAAGGTCACTACATAATGGTAAAGAGTTCAATTCAGCCACAAAATATGACAATAATAAGTACTTATGCACTCAACACCAGAGCACCCATTATATAAAACAATCATTAATAGAGCTAAAGAAAGCGATAGACTACAATACAATAATAGTGGGAGAGTTTAACACCTCACTCTCAGTAGCAGATCATCCAAACAGAATAGCAACAAAGAAACAGCTGAGTTATGCTGCGTACTGAATCTAAGAAGCCTAAGTGATATTACAGAGCATTTTACTCAACAGCTTCAAAATACACATTCTTTTCATCAGCACGTAGTGCATTCTACACAATAGACCATATCATAGGGTGCCAAAAGTTGTAAACCAATTTTTTAGAAATACAATTTTATCAACTATTTTCTGACAATCATAAAATAAAACTACAAGTCAGTAATGAGAGGCACCTCAGAAAGTACACAAACACACAAAAATTGAACAACATGCTAATGAATGACAAATAGTGAAGAAATTAAGGTGGGAATTAAAACATTTTTTGAAACAAAGAAAAATGAAAATACCACATACCAAAACCTATAGGATATCGCAAAAACAGTACTAAGAGGGAAGTTTATAGCAATACACATTTATATCAAAAAAGTAGATTTAAAATAAACAACTTAATGATGCACCTCAAGGAATTCAAAAAGCAAGAAAAAAAAAAACCCCAAAATTAGTAAAGGGAAAGAAACAATAAATATCAAAGCAGAAACAAATAAAATTGGGATTAAAAAATGCAAAAGATCAACGAAACAAATAGTCATTTATTTGAAAAGTTAACCAAAATTGACAAATCTTTAGCTAGACCAAAAAAAGAAGACCTAAAATTAGAAATTAAAAAGGAGACATAAATGAGACCTCTGAAATTCAGAGAATTATTGCAGACTATTATGAACAACTATATGCCAACAAAATAGAAAGTCTAGAAGAAATGGATACATTCCTGAACACATACAACCTACCAAGACTGAGTTATGGAGAAATGGGAAAGCTTAACAAACCAATAATGAGTAATAAGATCAAAGCCATAAAAAGTCTCCCATTGAAGAAAAGTTCGGGACCTGATGGCTTCACTGATGAATTCTTCCAAACGTTTAAAGAAGAATACCAGTCCTACTCAAATTCTTCAAAAAACTGAAGAGGGAGGAATAATTCCATTACTTATTCTATGATTCCAGCATTATCCTGATACCGAAACCAGACAAGGACATAACGAAAAAAGAAAACTACAGATCAATATTGCTGATGTTCATAGATGCAAAAATCCTTAACACACACACACAAGGACATACTGGAGGCTGAACCACAATAGTTACTGGATTTTTCTCTGCTTTTAGGATCATCTAATGTTTGCGCTCCAGATCCATTGTCTTTGACCCACAAATGAAAAGAGTTTTTGTGTCAGTCATGTTACTTGACTGTTAATAACTCTAGCTACCGTAAGTTCAAAAAGAAATTACTGGAACAATATTAGGGAATCACAGACTCACTTAGAAGCCTGGAGAAACAGGCTTGGAAATGAGCAAGAAGCAAAAATAGAAAAGCTTCTATAACCATGACCATTGTCAGGCCACTGGAAAGCCTAAAAGATTTTATAAATATATGATGTTTTATTTATTTGTTATTATACTTTAAGTTCTGGGATACATGTGCAGAATGTGCAAATTTGTTACATAGGTATACATGTGCCATAGTGGTTTGCTGCACCCATCAACCCATCATCTACATTAGGTATTTCTCCTAATGCTATCCCTCCCCTAGCCCCCACCCGCCAACAGGCCTCGATGTGTGATGTTCCCCTCCCTGTGTCCACATGTTCTCATTGTTCAACTCCCACTTATGAGTGAAAACATGCAGTGTTTGGTTTTCTGTTCCTGTGTTAGTTTGTTGAGAATGATGTTTTCCAGCTTCATCTATGTCCCTGCAAAGGACATGAACTCATCCTTTTTTATGGCTGCATAGTATTTCACGGTGTATATGTGTCACATTTTCTTTATGAAGTCTATCAATGATGGACATTTGAGTTGGTTCCAAGTCTTTGCTATTGTGAATACTGCTTCAATAAACATATGTGTGCGTATGTCTTTATAGTAGAATGATTTATAATCCTTTGGGTATATACCCAGTAATGGGATTGCTGAGTCAAATGGTATTTCTGGTTGTAAATCCTTGAGGAATCTCCACACTGTCTTCCACAATGGTTGAACTAATTTACACTCCCACAAACAGTGTAAAAGCATTCATATTTCTCCACATCCTCTCCAGCATCTGTTGTTTCTTGACTTTTTAATGATTGCCATTCTAACTGGCATGAAATGGTATCTCATTGTGATTTTGATTTACATTTATCTAATGACCAGTGATGGTGAGCTTTTTTTCATATGTTTGTTGGCCACATAAATGTCTTCTTTTGAGAAGTGTCTGTTTATATCCTTTGCCCACTTTTTGACGGGGTTGTTTGTTTTTTTCTTGTAAATTTGCTTAAGTTCCTTGTAGATTCTGGATATTAGCCCTTTGTCAGGCAGATAGACTGCAAAAATTTTCTCCCATTCTGAAGGTTACCTGTTCACTCTGATGATAGTTTCTTTAGCTGTGCAGAAGCTCTTTAGTTTAATTAGATCCCATTTGTCAATTTTGGCTTTGTTGCCATTTCCTTTGGTGCTTTACTCATGAAGTCTTTGCCCATTCCTATGTCCTGAATGGTATTGCCTAGGTTTTCTTCTAGGGTTTTTATGATTTTGGGTCTTACATGTAAGTCTTTAATCCATCTTGAGTTAATTTTTGTATAAGGGGTAAGGAAGGGGTCCAGTTTCAGTATTCTGCATATGGCTAGCCAATTTTCCCAGCACCATTTATTAAATAGGGAATCCATTCTGCATTGCTTGTTTTTGTCAGGTTTGTCAGAGCTCAGATGGTTGCAGATGTGTGGTGTTATTTCTGAGGCCTCTGTTCTGTTCCATTGGTCTATGTGTCTGTTTTGGTACCAGTACCATGCTGTTTTGATTATTGTAGCCTTGTAGTATAGTTTGAAATCAGGTAGCATGATGCCTCCAGCTTTGTTTTTTGCTTATGATTGTTTTGGCTATACGAGCTCTTTTTTTGGTTCCATATGAAATTTAAAGTAGTTTTTTCTAATTCTGTAAAGAAAGTTAATGGTAGCTTGATGAGGATAGCACTGAACCTATAAATTACTTTGGGCAGCATGGCCATTTTCACGATATTGAGTCTTCCTATCCATGAGCATGGAATGTTTTTCCATTTGTGTCCTCTCTTATTTCCTTTTGCAGTGGTTTGTAATTCTTCTCGAAGAGTTCCTTCACGTCCCTTTTAAGTTGTATTCCTAAGTATTTTCTTCTCTTTGTAGTAATGGCGAATGGGAATTCACTCATGATTTGGCTCTCTATTATTAGTGTGTAGAAATGCTTGTGATTTTTATACATTGATTTTGTATCCTGAGACTTTGCTGAAGTTGCTTATCAGCTTAATGAGATTTTGGACTGAGATGATGGGGCTTTATAAATATAGAAATCATGTCATCTGCAAACAGAGACAATCATATTGAATGGGCAAAAGCTGGAAGCATTCCCTTTGAAAACCAGTACTAGACAAGGATGTCCTCTCTCACCACTCCTATTCAACATAGTATTAAAAGTTCTGGCCAGGGCAATCAGGCAAGAGACAGAAATAAAGAGTTTATTTGTTTTTTTTTTAGAATGAGATTATACCTTCTATAATATTCTGAATACTTTGCTTCCTGCACTTCTTCCATTTCCATAATTAAGCAGTCCTCTCAGTTGCCACTCAAGTCACCGGCTCACAAGAGTAACAAATGCTCTTCTCCCTTATAAATCCTTTTAAACCAAAACCCCTGGTGTGTTTAATGAATGCAGACAAAAGGTCACTCTGTAGCATGCCGGTACACATTTGATTCAACTAGTTCCCTAGCGATTACCATGGTATTAGCAACTGTTATGGGGTGACATGTGTCCTCCCCAAATTCACATATTGGATCACAAAACCCAAATGTGACTGTACTTGGAGACAGGACTTTTGGAGGTAATTAACATTAAATGTAGTTGTAAAGATAGGGCCCTAATCCTATAGGTTGATGGTTTTATAAGAAGAGTGAAAGAGAGCTCTCACTCTCTCTCTCTCTGTCCATATGGAAGAGAGATCATGTGAAGGCACAGCAAAAAGGTAGGTATCTGCACCAGAAACTGAATCAGTCAGCACTTTCATCTTTGACCTTCAGTCCCTAAAACCACGAGAAAATAAATTTTCATTATTTAAGTCACTCAGTCTATGGTATTTTGTTGCAGTAGCCTGAGCTGCCTAATAGAGCAAGCATTATTTAGACTACTGCTTACTATATCATGTGATAAGCATGTAAGTCTATAAAATTTGAGTTTGACAAGGAAATTGTATGAAAGCTAAGGTAATTGAGAAATATGCTGTACGTTTGCTTAAAAACTGCAATCATTTTAGACAGGTGAAATAGGCTAAAACTCTAGAAAATATATACTCTAAAAAGTTTCTGTACTCTGTTTTCTTTATAGCTCTCTTAAAATTGTTTCCTTTTAAATAAACTCAAAATAGGAATTTTTAAATTTTTATTATGTTGTGGTTTATGCAAGAGATTTAGTATGGAACTACAATCAGCAGACTAGTCCTCAATAATGATGTCTTAGCCTTTCCTGAAAAAATTCATGAATAAATGAAAATAAAATGTTCCAAGTGACACAGTCATCATTTAAGACTACTTACATAATGCATACATATATTTGGTAAATATTCAGATTAGTATTACTTAAATATTGGCAAATAAAATAAAATAAATAAATAATGGTAACTATTAACATTAAAGTGTATATGTATATAATCTTAATCTATAAGAGATGTCTAAACTATGTCCTATTTTGTTCTTTCTTCTGTATTAGTTTGCTGGAGATGCCATAAACGCATAGCACAAACTGGGTCCTTTAGACAACAGAAATTTATTCTCTCACCGTTTTGAAAGCTAGAAGTCCATGATCAAAGTGTTGGTAGATTTGGTCTTTTGAAACCTCTCTCCTTGGCTTGCAGATCGATGCCTTCTTATTCTGTCTTTATATGGTGTCTGTCTTTGACCTAATCTCTTTTTATAAGGACCCCAGTTACATTATATTAGGGGCCACCTGTATGACCCCATTTTACCTTAATTACCCCTTTAAAAGCCTTAATTCCAAATCAGAAACATTCTCATTTTGAGGTACTGGGGTTAGGACTTCAGCTTATTAATTTTAGGGGAACCCTTATCATTCCCCCAAAACAATTCTATGATTGTAGACAGAATCCTACTATTATTTATAAAATATAAGATGATATACCATGTTCAACTCAGACAAGTGGACTTACTGGGAATTTTTCCAACTTTTCACAGTTGAATGAATTTTTGTATGATTTTCCTTAAAATAGTTCACTGATCTTTACTAAGGTTGACCAAGACTTCTAGTTATTTAATTTGTTGTTGTTGTTAAATTAATATTTTAAAATGTTTGTCTGGTTTTCAATTTATATTGTCTTGTTGTAATTTGAAAGAATCCTTTACATCGTATCTCAGTTTGGGCTGCTATAACTAAGTACCATAGACTCGGTGACTGATAAACAATGAATTAATTACCCACAGTTCTGGAGACTAAAAGTCCAAGATGAGAGTGCCAGCATGGCTAAGCCCTGGTGGGGGCCCTTCTCAGGATTGCAGACTTCTGAATTCTTCCCATGTATGTCCTCACAAGGCAAAAAGAGGGCAAAAAAGCTCTCTGGAGTCCTTTTTATAAGATTAATAATGCTATACATGAGGGTTCTACCTTCATGGCTTTACTACATCCCAACCTAACTACCTGCTAAATGCCCCACCTCCTTATACCATCACATTGGGGGTTAGGATTTCAACAAATGAATTTTGGGAAATCACAAACATTTAGACTATAACACAGGGTCAGTGCATTCATTCTTTTTTTCTTTCCGTAAAAGTTGCAGTTTTTCTATTTTCTCATGTTTTATCTTGTTTATACTTTTCACTTAAAAATATCTATGAATATTTAAGTTATGTCTTTTATTTTTGACATTTTGAAGACATTAAATAATGTCTTCTCATAGTTCTAAAGGTCTTCTTACTCAGTACAATACAGCAAAAATAGAAATATAAATATTAAAAAGAAGAAATAAAAATAACTATGCATATTTGTTATTATTGTATAAATTATGTACATATCAAGTATCTACTAACAATTTTAACTAATTGGGAAATATAATAAGATCACTGGATAAAAGGTCAATTGTACTTTTACTTATAAGAGAAATAAAAAATAAAATTAAAAACATTATCTACAATAACATTCAAAAATATGAAATTCTGAGGAATAAATCTAAAATACTTCTACATGAAAATGTGACATATTACACATTCAAAGATCTGTAGAATATTTGGTTAACAAATAGCAAGCCTCCATTAATATACACAAAAGGATTGCCCTGTAGTCCAAGGATATATACATATTTGTGTTTTCTAAATTTCACATGAAAATTTATGTAGTGAGAAAAAACTAAAATTACAATGATTTCCATAAGCAGAGATTGTACAGGCCACATCAGCTTATCATATCCAGTGAAACTGAAATTTTAAAGGAATATAAATATTCAGAAGGAATTATTGTGATATTATTTGAAATCCGGAAAAAAATCTCCTTTAAGTTGCTACCACTGGGTGGAGGCTGGGAAGAAGGTGAGGATAGAAAAAACTACCTATTAGGTACTGTGCCTATTACCTGGGTGAAAAAACAACCTATGCACCAAAGCCCCATGATACCCAATTTACTGATATAACACACCTGTGCATGTACCCCTAAACCTAAAATAAAATAAAATAAAGCTACAAGTTTTTTTAATTGAAAGAATTTACTTTAAAAGGTTTAGCTATGAATATATTTCATGAAGTTCTCCTTGTATATGTCTTTATTTTTATGAATGAATGTTCAATGGCTATATATTTTACACTTTGCTTTTTTAAAGTAAAGACATTGACTTTAAATTTTACTTTGTTATTCTACTTTTCTTTGTGTTTGCCTTGTACATTACTACTCAACATTTTATGTTTACATTTTTCTATTCATGAATTTTGCTTTAGGTCAATTCTAAAGTTAGTGTCTTTTTAAAGAGTAATTTTGTCACTTGCCACTTATTTTGATAATAGATGCACTTATATTTTTATATTATTTTCCTCTTAATTTGTGTGGTTTTGTTTCATTTTCTTCTCATTTTCTCAAGACTTTTCTCGTTATTTCTGAAATTCAGGAAATGCACTGTTAATCTTAAATATGTATGTTTTTTTCATTAATTTTTCCTGATAATGAGTGTTTTAAACTGAAAACTTAAGTAATATTGAGATTTTGATTTTTAAATTATTTCTGTAATTATTAATTCACCATTTCTTAATGTTCTCGTCTGAAATTACTAACTTTTAGGTTTTAGGGATTCTACCCTCCCCATTTTTTATCACATTAATTATTTAAAAATCACTTTTTCTCCCTCTCTTGTTTCTTGTCATTTTATATCTCTTCTTTGATGTTCTCAGTGAATTTTCTGTCTTCAGTTTATTTATTCATTTTTAAATAAACATGTTATGTTATTCCAGTGAGAAAGAATTATTGGTGTTGCATTCTAAGTATCCTTGATTATGCTCTATGCATTGTATTAAAATTGTCTCCTTCTACAAATTAACCATAATAAATCCAAGAGTTCATTCTGTTTTTCTGTTTTTTTTTTTTAGTCTGTTCAGTCTTGATTGTTCAAATTACTAATTCATTGTAAATGAATTACAATTTTTATTTGACTGTTCATGTTGATATGTGACCTCAGTACCCAGGTAAGCAAGCTATTAGGTTGGCTTAGGCAGAAAAAAAACAGATGGGCAGTAGAATCTTGGAAAGATTTGTCCTTTATTACCTGGCATCTAATGAGCTGGACAACTGTCACCCTCTGCTGAGATACCAAGATGAAGTCTCTTTGCTCCCACATTGCTGCCATTGCAAGTATTATGTTATTCCAATCACTCAGATTTGGGCTATCTATTGCACCTGTGGAGGCACATGCCAGGTTAGCAGATCTGGGCAATCCTTCCAAGGACTACAGGCAGTAAGCCAGCAGACCACATTCCTTCTCTGTAATTCCTTAGCCTAACCTCCACGGGAAGGGAAAAATGATGAGGATTTAGTTCAGGCTTTAATAGCTGGCAAGCATTCTTTAATGTCTGTGTTGTCTGAGGTTTCATCCAGAATATTGCCTAATGAATCACTGAACTGTCTTAGTCAAAGATATTGGCATAATAATTTATTTCATTTACTAACACCAAGTGAAACTTTAACTACATTGGCAATAATTTTATTCCAAGCAGAGAGCTGAGAGAAAAAGATGGGTAAAGAATTTCTGTTTTGGTCACTGATATACCACTTTTGGTTATTTTTATAGTTGTTCGTATTACAATAAAAATACTAATTCATCTAGAAGCATGTGTGTGTTTATATTTAAGTCCAAATTTATCTAAAATTTGAGCCAGATTTTATGATTCCACTTGCTGAGACACACTTTCAAACTACCACATGTTGGAATTTTAAAAACATATTTGTTTTTATTTATCTGCCTAGTTGTAAAGACAAGCACACAACACTAATGCAACACCTGTAGACTGTTATAATATTTTTTCTATCTCTGGTACATAAACAGTTTCATTCACTTGTTTCCAAATATGTAGTTAGATACTTGCCTTAAGTGTTCTTCGCATTGTTTGCACCTTTTTCTCTTTTGAACTGGTCGATCACCCTACCAGATAGTTATCTAGATTACTAGATATTGGTTACTTTGTCACACTAATCAAGATAAAGCATAAAGTTATTGGTTACTTTGTCACACTTATCAAGATAAACATGATGAGATATTTAAATTGGTATTGAGAGTAAATGAATTGCTCAATGGTAAGCCCAAACTTCTTGTGTAAAATTCTTAGTGTGTCAAGACTAATGAAGAGCCCACTGTGGTTCAGAATGATAATGTTGTCATTCTGTCTACCACAAGAACAATCTCCATCATGTGAAAATAGTAATAATAATAAAAGCGGGCATATTACCAATAATATTTTAACTTTTAGATACTTTTATTATGTATTATATTATATATGAGACACTATTTTAATTTCAAGGATTTTCATTCATTATGTTATCTAGTCCTCACAATAGCACTAATAAAAATGTTATTCTTACTTAGAAACGAGGAAATCAAGGAACAGAGACAATAAATATCTTATTCAATTTTCCACAGCTAGTGCATAAAGAATATTGGGACCATATTCTTTGTTTAATGGGTATGTGTCTGTTCCATTTTATCTTATTTTACGTAAATTTACGTTAATCAAAACATCATGACAGATTTTAAAAAATGAAAGAGGCTAGACTTAAATTCTTTTAGTTAATGTAGTAGATTCTTCATCAAGAATGGCTCTCTATACAGAGATAGCATTTAAATCTCATCCATGTACTTGGCTACTTGGTTCATAGCTGATTACTATCAAAGTGAGCCCCTATCCTAATTTAGGATAGAATAGGTGTTTTGTCTTCCCCAAGAGACACAAATATTAGATGATTGCATTAAATCTTTTCAATTCTATCTCATATACTTTAAACCTGCTATTTAGATACATAGAATGATTTTGTTGCCTGTCCTTAAAAAGGCTTAGTTCAATTATTCCTTAATTTCTATGACAGCCTGCATTATTAATCAGGGGTGTGTGTGTGTGTGTGAATTCTCTGAATCAAGTCCTTTGTTGAAAATAATAATGCCTTCTCAGCTTATTCAAAAACCTTTAGCCTATTTTGCTAAATATAAATAAGTGGGGATTAATAATATGTATAACAATTACGAAGGATTTGTAAATAACATTTAATTGTGTAACAATTAACTTATTAGTGCATCAAAATTATATGGTGCCAGATATGAATTATACTTTATTCCTCCCTTACAATGAACTTCTACTGCAGTGTGAATAAATAAGAAAATAATATGCTGAAGATGCACATGTGCCAAAAAATAGTTAAGATAAACAAAAAGAGAATGTGAAATAATTACTAAAATCATAATTTATTAATAAATGCCTAGTAAAAATATATTCTGATTTGATTTGTTTCATATATACCTTATACACATAATCTGTATGTAATTCATACAATATCTTTAATAATTTTATGTGTGAAACAAAGTGTGTGTACATGGAAGCATCGGAAAGCAAGAATGTCACTCTCTCAGCCACCTATGTGGGCAATCTCTGGTTGTTTGGCATCATCCTTGGCTCAAAATGTATATGCTACTGATAAGCAATCATTTCTTACACTTATTCAAACATAAGTACTTAACATTTTCAAAATATCATTAATGCAGCAAGAAATAATGTGTTCAGTGTAACTAAGCAGAACATTAAGATCATGAGAATACCTGGATCAGCTGTGAAACAACAGCAGAAAAAAAAAAACTGCAGGTTTTCAGTCTCCGATTAAGATGCTGTGTTTTGATAAAAGTTAATGTACACTGACGCTCTGGAAGGCTGATGCGGGCAGATCATTTGAGGTCAGGAGTTCAAGACCAGACTGACCAACAGGGTGAAGCCCCATCTCTCCTAAAAAGACAAAAACATTAGCCGAGTGTGGTGACATACGCCTGTAGTTCCAGCTACTCGGGAGGCTGAGGCAGGAGAATCGCTGGAACTTGGGAGGCGAAGGTTGCAGTGAGCTGAGATCACGCCACTGCACTTCAGCCTGGGAGACAGAGTGAGACTCTTATCTCAAAAAAAAAATTAATATATACTGGTTTTTAATTTTTTTATTGAAAAACATTAGAAGCACTTAAGGGACCAGGAAGCAGTTGCTCTAGTGATGAGGAGGCTTTCTGTTGAAAGGCTTTTAAAAATATTTCCTCCAGAGTCATCTGTCTCATTAATAGTCCTTCTTGTCTTAGAAACCTTTCTTTGACTTCATAAACTAATATGAAAACTTGTTGTTCTCAATTTACACAGCTCTAATCCTTCAAAAACCCATCATACATTTTCATCATATTGTGTCTAGGCATTTTTTCTCACTGTTAGCAACATCATCTTCATCATCGCTGATATCATAATCACCTTGCTTCATCAACACCAGTGGCCAATGAATAAACAACCAGAGCCACATCATTGATGTTAAAACATCTTCAATATCTACTTCTTCCAGCTTACTGACAAACTCTGAAGACATATTTATTTTTTTGTATATGTAACATCAGACACCATTTTTTTCCCACTCAACATAAAGAATCCTTCAAAGCTAGCAGTTTCTTCATCATCATCACAGAACATAGTTACAAGCCAGAGGTTGTGCCAGGCATACACAACTGTGTCTTTAATCACTGAGTTCCAAGCATTCACAACAGCATATACAGTAGCCTTCATGCTAAATTCCTTTTTGAAAACCTTCCACTCCTATGCCTCCATTTACTGCTGCTAAAGTGCTGTTTAAGCATTTAAGAAATGCTGTTTATATTTACTCTTCATTGATCTAAAGATACCCTTGTCACATGGCTCAATCAGTAAAGTCAAATTTGGAGGAAAGTACATAGCATAAAGTTTTTTGGTGAAAAATTGAGCTTGAAGATGAGAAGAACAGTTGTCAAAAAAAAAAAAAAAAAATCTTTCAGTTGTTATCCCATCCAGCTTTCTTGCAGTGAGCATAAACCACTAGTACCAACTCTTTGTGGAACCAATCAGAAAACAAGTTCCTGGTTTCCATGTTTTTTTGTTAGCATAATGTACTGGTAAAAAATCTACTGCTTGAAAATGGTGAGGATGCAAGCTTTTGCCTATCACAGCAAATTTACACTTATGCCTGCCTGCTGCATTAGCACATCCCGGCATAGTTATTCTGTCCTTGTCATTCTCAATTTTTGTAGAAACTGCCTCATCAGTTCCTTTCTCATTAGTGTCTTTCTGTGGCAATAATGTCAAAACTCTAATGTTTTATCAACATTAGAGACTTGTTCTACATCATATTTTCATTGGTGATGACTTTGGCAACCTCGTCAATGAATTTCTCCATGGCTTCATGATTATCAGATGCTTTATCACCATAGATCTTTAAAATTTTAATGCCATATATTTTCTTGAATTTCATCAGCCCATGGAATATTCACAGTTTTCTACAATTTTCTGTTTGTTGTGTTAGATGTTTGCTTGTTTCTCGATCAGCATACCATTAGGTGGCATGTGTTCACTACAATATTGAGATCTTCATTTTTAGCTTCATACAGTGTTTTCTATTTTTCATTACCTTCCATTTATCACTTTCAGCATATAACTTTAGCAGTTTATCTTTTTGTTTCCTCAGGTCATATATGGTAGACATTCCAATATCTTACTCTTCTGTATATTTCAAACTTTCACCATTGTTCAGAGTCTCTAGTAGCTTGAGTTCTGTGCTATGCATAAACAAAAATGTTTCCTCCTTTTATCAGTTACTCATGTTGGTATCTGCAGGTCTTTTTGACATTTTCAACAATACAATATCGTTACGTTACAGATCAAAGCTTAGTGGACATAGGTCTTGGCCCCATGTAGAGCATTGTAAGGAACCTGCCACTGATGTGTATGGCCTTCATAAGTGTGATTTTGTTAACATTTATGGCATGCTTATATAGGGAAATCTGGGCATACATGGGAAAGATACTGGTATGGTTGGCTGTGTTTCCACCCAAATCTCATTTTGAAGTGTTGTTCCCACAATCTCCACATGTCATGAGAGGGACCTGGTGAGGGGGTAATTAAAACATGGGGGCAGTTACCTCCATGCTGTTCTCATGATAGTGCATGAGTTCTCACAAGATCTGATGGATTTATAAGGGGCTCCCCCTGCCACTTTAGCTCTGCACTTCTCCTTGCTGCTGCCATGTGAAGAGGGGCGTACTTGATTCGTCTTCTGCCATGATTGTAAGTTTCTTGAGGCCTCTCAAGCCCTGCAGAACTGAGTCAATTAAGCCTCTTTCCTTTATAGATTTTCCAGTCTCAGGTATGTCTTTATTAGCAGTGTGAGAATGGACTAATACAGATACATTCCAGCTGAAGAAGGCTGAGAGGATCTTTTTACCTTGGAGTCACTGAATGAACTGTTGTGCGCCTGTGTTTAGACTGGACCCATCGAATGAAACCAGGTGTGGATTTTCCACTTGTGGTGTCATGTCAGTCCTTAAAAGGTTTTAGACTTGGGAGCATTTCAGATTTCAAGTTTTTGGATTGTGAATGTTTAACCTATACTTACATATTTAACATTTCAGATTTTATCATAGTCTTATTATGTTCAAAAAGATAAAATACAATATTACATATATCAGCAAAAACAGTGCACTGTGGAAAAGCAGATTATTAAAGTATAGTATAGAAAGAAGGAAGGAAAAGAGAGAATAAAGGCTTTCAAAAGACAATTTTAGCTAGATATATTGGTGTGCATCTGTGGTCCTAGATACTCAAGAGGCTGAAGCAGAGGGATCTCTTGAGCCCATGCGTTCAAGCCTGGCCTGGGCAACATAGCAAGACCTGACTCTAAAACACAATAAATTTTATAAAAATTTAAAAAGACAATTTATCTGAGAGCCTATCCTCTTAAAATAATTAATGAATTATGGAGAAAAATACGTATTTTGTGTATTGAAAGGGGATAAAATACTGTAACTATGGAAATATCCTTCAGGAATTAAGGTTGAATAAAAATATTTTTGGTAAATAAAAAAATGGGATAATTTGTCACCAGCAGACCCACACTAAAGGAAATACTAATGAGCATTCTGAGAGAAAATAAAAAACTACCCAAGAGGAAAAGAATTATAATAAATAATCAACACTATACACAACAATAACATGTCTTAAAAAAATATATTTATAAAACATCATATATAATATATATGTTATATATATAACTTAGTGAAAGATAAGTAAAATTAAATTTTTAAGATGCTTGCCTTATTCAGGCAGAAAATAAAAATGTCACGTAACATTAAATTTTGTGATTTAAGGCTACATATTGTTATCTTTAAATAACTACTAAAATATAAACATTACAGATTTAAAAAATACAACTATATAAGATATGAACACACAAAAATCAGTAGTGTTTCTGTATACCAGCATTAAACAATTTGAAGGAAAATTAAGAAAATAGTTGGTTTTACAAAAGCATTTAAAGAATAAAACACCTATGAATAAATTTAATTAAGGAGGTGAAATATTTTTACACAGAAAACTATAAAACATTGCAGAAAAAATAAAGTCCTAAAAAAATGGAAAGGCATCAAATGTTAATGGGTTGTAAGAATTAATTTTGTTAAGATGTCTTTACTATCCGAAGTGATCTCCGGATTCATTGTAATCTCTTACAAAAATTCTACCAATGTTTATTTCAGTCCTCAAATTCATATGGAATTGTAAGGGGCCTTTCCAAATTTACTACAAAACTACAGCAATCAAAACGACACAGTACTGGCATAGTGATAGAACTATAAACCAATGGAATAGAATTGAGAATCCAGAAATAGAAACAAACATGTAATATTAATTGATTTTCAACATAAGGTCCAAGACTATTTATAGGAAAAGAATAGTCTCTTCAACAAATGGTGCTGGAATACCTTAATTTTCCCATGCAAACCACTGAAATGAAAGATTTTAATATACCTCTCTCAGAAATGTATCAAGTAAACAGAAAAATGTTACAAAAACTCAGGAAAAATATGTAAGAATCAAACAGCATTATTAACTAAATTTACCTATTGTATACACATAGAATGCTTTACTGAACAACCTCATAATACCCATTGTTTTCAGAAACATAAGGAAATTGGTAAAAACTGTTGTATTATTTGATTTCTAAGAATAAAATGATATATTCACGGATAAACAGATGAGGCAAAAATACATAGAATATACCTCCTATCTTCCTTCTGTCCTCTTCCCACATGTCTGAATTCAATTATTTTTCCCTATTATTGAGGCATTCTATTTTTCATTCTAAAACAGGTATTTTGTTTAGTCTAAATTTTAAATTTCAGCTTATTGACAGCTTTTTTGCCATAGTTCCTCAAGTGAACTCTTAGAATGCTTAAAACAGTGTCAAGGAAAAAAAAATCTTGAAATTTTTACACTTTCAAAATTGTTTTCTATAACTTTTATAGTGAAGGACAGATTGGCTAGATACAGAATTCTTGGCTCAGTGTCTTCCTTTGAGTGTTTTCAGGCATTGCTGTATTCTTTTGTGACATTAAATTTTGCTGTGAATAAATCTGAAGGCAATCTTTATTTTTTCCTCTCATAAGTTACTTGATATTTTTATCCTGGCCATAGAAGGAATCTTTATATTTAAAAGATCGGAATTTTTGCTAGGTTGTATTGTGGTGTTGATGCTTTTGTGCCTGTTATCCTTTTCAGGGCCTCTCTCTCTCTCTCTCTCTCAATCTCTCTCTCTCTCTCTCTCTCTCTCTCTGTGTGTGTGTGTGTTTGTGTGTGTATTCACTTCTTGAATGCACTCTCAGATTTACATTTTATTATTTGGTTTTCTTATGTTTGTGCTCCAGTTAGGCATATCTACTATTCTATTTGGCTAAATATATTTACAAATCTATTAGATCTTCTTTGCTTACCTATTATGACTACGTTAATGTTCTTGGCATTGTAAAACTGTTTCATTGTTTTGTTTTGTTAATTTATATATGCTATGTTTTTCAACTGTTCATTCCGCAGTGACTAGTCTTTCCTTTCAACTTCAACTTTACTTCCGTGATACTTCCTTGACTTTTTAGCTTCTTTTAAAATATATTTGAAGTCACTGTTTCATTTTCATTCTTAAATTATAATTATATGTACCTATGTGGTAAAAAGAGATGTTTCATGTATATATGCATACATTATGAAATGATTAAATCAAGCTAATTTACCTGTCCATTACCTCATATACACTCACTGGGTGTGTGTGGGTGTGTGTGTGTGTGATGCAAACATTTAAAGTCTACTTTCTTAGTAATTTGGAAATACAGCTGACTTTTGGACAATCTAGGGGTTGGGTTGCTGGCCTCCTGCCTAGTTAAAAATCTATGTAAAACTTTTGATTCTCTAAGAAAATTAAATGCTGATATCTTAGTGTTGACTAGAAGCCTTACTGATAAAATAAACAGTTGATTAACACATATTTTGTATATTATATGTATTATATACTCTATTCTTAAAATAAATGAAGCTAAGTATTTATTACTTGTTAAGTGGAAGTGAATCATCAGAAAGGCCTTCATCTTCTTCTTGTTCACACTGAGTAGGCCAAAGAAGAGGAAGGGTTGGTCTTGTCTCAGGGATGGCAGAGAAGGACAATCGCCATTTAAGTGGACCCATGGAGTTCAAACCTGTGTTGTTCAAGAGTCAACTGTATGCATTATATTATTATTAACTATAGTCACCATGCTGTGCAATTCATCTCAAAAACTTCTTCATCCTATCAAACTGAAACTTTACACCCTTTGACCAATATTTTCCCATCCTCCTTTCCTTTAGCCACTTATAATCTTCATTCTACTCTCCATTTCTCTGAGTTCAACTTTTTAAAAATATGTATATTTTTAATTGACAAGTAGAAGTTTTATGTATTTATGGAGTACTACTGTTGCTTGGATATGGTGTGTTTGTCCCCACAAAAACTCATATTGCAACTTGATTCTCAATATGGTGGTCTTGGAAGGTGGGGCCAAATGGGAGGTATTTGTGCATGAGGGATCTGTTCTCATGATGGCTTGGTGCCACACTTGAGGTAGCGAATGAGTTGTCATTCTGGCGAAACTGGAATCATTCTCATAGGAAAGAATTGGTTTCCCAGATTCTGGGAAACAAATCTACTGTTATTGGTTGGATTGTTAAAGAGTCTGACTTCTTCAATTTCATTCTCCCTGCATCTTATCTTGCACACACCCTGATCCCCTTTTGCACACACCCTGTCCCCTTTTGCTTTCCTCCAAGAGTGAAAACTGTCAGAGGCCATCACCAGTTACCCGACTCTGGACTTCCCTGACACCAGAATCATGAGCCAAATAATCCTCTTTTCCTTATAAATTATCCAGTCTCAGATATTCTGTTACAATAACCACAAAACGGACAAGACAGGTACATGGAGATGTTTTAATGTATGTATACATTATGACAGTTGAGAAATATTATCTAAAAACTACAGATTGTTAAAAATAACTGCTCATTTTCTTTGTTGGTTCCAATATTTCATTTTAGTGGTATTTTTTGGATTTATAAGTAATCAACTATATCATCACAGATTACTAAACGTATAAAGTTTCAGGAAAAAGACGTGTAGTTTACCTGGTTAATGGAGATTTATTATAATCATGCATAGAAACACAAAACACAAGTAACACTGATTTCTTGTTAGTAAGAATTTCAGAGAAAATATGTTTTGGCTGACTGGCAGGTGGTATTGCACTTTGGAATAGTAACTACTTTTTAATTGAAGAGGGAAAACACATTAAATATATTTTTGAACTAGAAAATTTTCGTATTATGCTCTTTAAATTTCTTAATCATAGGCTACAAACAGGGCAAAGTCATTTTATCCTACCTCTAATTTAAGAAGTGGAATGTGACTATGAACTTGTGGGATGCTGACACAAATTTTATCTTTAGAACTATTGATTCAAAGCTTTTATTATTCAGTAAGTGAATGTACATGAACTGTAATAGTCTTGAGCTGGACTCACTGGTGGGGTCACCTAAGTAAACTGTTAAAGTGAGGGTTATGGCTCGGCTCCTGAACTAAATAAGATTTTTCTATCATAGATAGACCTAAGAATTTTAATTTCTTTTCTAGTTTTAGAGTAAAACAAATGAGAAAATAGACATAAAACATGAAAATCACCTTTTAACTTCTTATGCTTCTAAAACATGTCCAGATAAAATTTACACAATGTTACAAGAACAAAATTCCCTTTTATCTTAGAGCATTGAAGAATGTTTTCTAATATAATTATATGTTACACTTTATGTGATAAAAGTTGTAAGTCTTTAGAGTAACATTAACATTAGAATTTCCCTAAACTTAGATTTTAATCTTGTGTGTTGGAAAATGAAGGTGCATTACAAAGAAGTTGTGTCGATGTTGTCAACACAGCTATAACAATTCAAATACAGTCATGCATATAAAGCACTTTTATGTTTTACTAACATGCTTCACAACCACATTAAAAACAGTTTACTACACTTTACCCATGAGATGTTAAGAAGCAGTGGTGAGGAGAATAGCACAATGCTTCCTCCCAGCAAAATGGACTTGCTTTCTAACATCAAACTCTTACCCAAAGTCCCATGTTCATGATCACATTTCTTACTTCCTCTAGACCCAAATTGTCTCTCCTATTAAAAAAAAAATCCTTAAATACACATTTTCCGCTTTTTCACCAGACTCATGTGATGTGTCAGTAAGCTTAAAACATTAGTATGGTAGTTTTTCTTGTCATTTTTAGTCTTTCCTTTTCTTTACTCAACTGTTGAAACAAGTAGTTGCCCTCATTTAATACCTCCAAGAAGATAAAGAATAGTGTAGATACATACATTGACTTTGACTAGAAATACATATTAAAATTTCTTTTCCTTAAAAATTGAAGTTTATGACCACTTTGACAGGAAAAACAAAACCAAGAAGTCACTACTTCCTTGTCTCATGGACAAACTCTCCCCTTTTATGTCATCTGCTAGGGGAAAACAAGCTTGAAGTTTCTCCTGAGGAATCTGGAGGTTCTGGGTATCTTGATATGGCCTAAAGTTTAGTCTGACAGTCAATGAAATCATGGAGTAAAATGTGATTTTCAACATGATTGCATTTAAAAATATTGCAGAGTTCCAGAATCAGTTTTGAGGTAAATAGCATTTTTTTGGTGAAATTATATTTAATGGATTGTGCCTGACTTTTTCTTCAATTCTGGCTCCATGAATCTTTACAGAGCATCCTAGGGCTCACTAAGGCCCATTTCAACACTACTGATAGAGTTGAATTTATTTTTCAACTGAGAAACTGATATCTACAAGGATAAGTCAACCACTCTAAAATCATCCACTTAATCCAGAGACAGAACTAGCAGTAGAATATGTAATTTATCAATATGACTTTTTTGTTCCTCTAAAAATGAGATTGGTTTAGAGATGTAACAGCCTCTGAAAGCCACAGGTGCTGATATGGCCAGGAATTATTTTTTATTTGCCAATCAGTCTTTTTATCCTATTATTTTCTGATAACATATCTTGATTGGGTGAAAGGGAAAAGGAGAGAAGACACTAGTAGAAGGGGGGGATGAAGAAAAGAGATGTATGGATGGATGCAGGTGGCCGGTACTACACATTTCAAAATTTTGCCCATGGTTTGCCCTTGTATTCACTGAGGCTATAAAAACACTTTCTGTCAGTTGCTGCCAGGCTATGCTGGCTGACTTTACTTACAGGTTACTCTAAGAAGGTGAGATCAATCCTGTGATGTGATTCCAAATCGATTACTAAGTTAGACCAACACAAAATATAAGGAATTTTCAGAGAGCTGAAAAAGGTAGACTAGATAATAGCATCAATTGTGCTTATTTACTGAATTGAGGCAGTAGCCTCTGGGAGCACCCCTGTAGAATCTGATGCCCACTCAATACCTGTACCAAGCCCATTAGGGAGAACTTCAGGGGAATGCATTTTATCACTGACATAAAATATCAACATCTCCATTACAAATGTTCCTATAACAAAATTCCTGAGACATAAACAATTTTTTAACCATAGACATATTTTAGCTATTTGTATACATGTCTGCAAATATGCATGGGTTTATGTTTTTTGAAACATTGCAGAATGATGGAAAAAAAGATTCCAGGTTTGAACACTTATTATTTCAACTATTTTTTCCTATTGTTATCCTGTAAGTCTAATAAAAATTCTCATTTTTGGGACTATAAGTAAGCAGAGCCAATAGATTTCCCATTAAAACTAATCTTTATTAGCTCAATTGAATATAAACCAATAACAACTCAAATTTGCTTCCTAATTTAGTTACTAAATAGTTTGAACTTTTGACTCCAACAAAACAATACTTAGGTTTATACAAATATTTACTATTAGTTTTTGAACATTTTATCCATTTAGTGTCATTCAGTGTTCACCAGAAATATTAGGGATGTAGATGACCTGGTGTCAACATACAAGTTCATGTTTTACTGATTTCCAGGTGTATGCTTTAATCACTCAAACTCTTTACCAGAGCATATTTACTTGAGTTAGCATCAAATTGCCTAGCCTGAGAATTGCTCTTGCCTGAATACTGTTAGCAAAAAAGTTCCTATAATAAGAAGTTTACATGAAATTTATATAGATATAAATGTAGATGTCTCTATAGGTAGATCAATAGATGTGGTAGTTACAAAAAAGTTCCTATAATAAGAAGTTTACATGAAATTTATATAGATATAAATGTAGATGTCTGTATAGGTAGATCAATAGATGTGATAGTTACAAAAAAGTTCCTATAATAAGAAGTTTACATGAAATTTATATAGATATAAATGTAGATGTCTGTATAGGTAGATCAATAGATGTGGTAGTTACGTAGAGCAGCTAATGATAATGAAAAATAACTTTACTGTGAATTAGAAAACCATGTAAGATTAGAATTTAAAAAGTACATGTTTACAAAATTGCATTTGACATAATAAAGATTTATCTGAAGTCAAGACCACTCTACCTATAGCAAAGATACCACTAACAAGGAGGTATTGCCTCTATCTTTTGAGGAGTATGTATGGTTTATATGTATTTTTATCTCTTTGTTTATTCAAAATGGCTCTCTCTCTTTTTCAGTATATTTTATATTTTTCATTACAAGATAACCTAGTAAACATTTTTTAAATACATGTATGTATAAAAAAACTCATAATACTTAGATAAAATTTAATTATAATGAGTAGAATTAATTCAAGCCAGTTCTTTATTGCTTAGCATGTGTGTGTGTCTGTTGAAAAAATATCTTTTTTTATCTTGTATGGAAATTTATTTTGATAAAGCAGCATAAGATAAGAACAATATTTTTAAAAACATCATAGATAAAATACAGTTTTAGTATCCCTCATCTGAAATGCTTATAACCAGAAGTTTTTGGGATTTATTTTTTTCAGATTTTGGAATATTTGCATATGCATAAATGAGCTATTTGAAACCAAAGTCTAAACACAAAATTTATGTTTTTTATATTTTTATACAAATAGACTGAAAATAATGTTATGGAATATTTTAAATAATTTCGTGCATGAAACAAACTGTGATATTGAGTCATCAGAAAGCAAAAGTGTCAGGTGTAGAATTTTGCACATGTGGTCATGTCATGTCGACACTCAAATAGGTTTGAATTTTAGAGCATTTCAGATTTTGGATTTTTGAATTAGTGATGCTTAATATGTAATATTTTTTCTTAGAAATGATTGTTTTAATCATTTAACCATATTTGTTATTCTTAAATCTAAACCTGTATAAAGAGATCCTTATATTGGATAATTTTTAGCAATATATATCAATTTTTGGTGGTAATTTTCTAATTCTATGCAACAATTCTGCAATTATCTGTCATATACACACAAAAATGCATATACATGTATGTATAAACAGGCATAAATCTTTAGGCTTCAGTAGCAATTAAACTCAGTTGTGTATTTTAGAAACCCTAAATAAAAATGGTTTAATCAGAACAGTACAAATGTGACTCCTTCAAAAAGAGAATTGAAAAATAAGGAGTTGCGTGTTGGTGTCATGGCTCAACAGATACTGGGAACCTAATCTCTTTCTCTATGTCTACTCTTCTTAGCACATTGCTTCTATTTTTGCTGATACATAATACTTATATATACTTATTGGATACATGTAACATTTTAATACATGCATATAATAAACATTGATCAAACCAGAGTAATCAGGTTATCCATCACCTAAAACATTATTTATGTTGGGAACATTCCAAATCTTCTTTATATGGCTATTTTGAAATATGAAATGTATTATTAACTATAGTGATCCTAATAATGATCCTATTGTTCTATTGGACACTAGAACTTATTTCTTCTAGCTAACTGTATTTAGGTATCTATTAAACAACCTCTCTTCATCTCCCTCTCCCTCCTACCTGTCTCAACCACTGGTAACCATCATTCTATTCTCTACATCCATGAGATCAACTTTTTCACTTTTACAGAATAGGAACATGCTGTCACTGTCTTTTTATGCCTGGCTAATTTCATTTAATATAATCTCTTCCAGGATCATCCATGTTTCTGCAAATAACAGGATTTCATTTTTTAATGACTAAATAGTATTTCATTGTGTAAACATACCACTTTTTCTTCATTCATTCATTTATTCATTCATTGATGAATGCTTAGGTGGATTCCGTATCTTGGCTATTATGAATGGTGCTGCAATAAACATGGGAGTGCAGATATTTTTCAACATACTGGTTTTATTTTATTTTTTGATATATACCCAGCAGTGGGATTTGTGGATCATATGATATTTGTATTTTTAGTTCTTTGAGTAACTTACATACTGTTTTCCATAATGGTTGTACTACAATGAAAACTACAGAACACTGATGAAAGAAATAAAAGAATGCAGAAGAAAGTAGAAGGTCATCTCATGTTTATGGATTGGAAGAATTAATATTGCTAATATATTTATACTATCCAAAGCAATACCCAGATTCAGTATAGTTGCTATTAAAATGCCAATGACATTTTTCACCGAAAGAGATCCTAAAATTTGTATGTAAACACAAAAGAACCCAATTAGCCAAAGTATCACACTACCTGACTCCAAAATATACTACAAAAGTATAATAATCAAAACAATGTGGTACTGGCATAAAAGCAGACACATGTATCATTGAAACAGAATAGAGAACTCAGAAGTAAATCCACATATTTACAGCCAGCTGATTTTCAAAAATGATGCCAAGAACATACATTGAGGAAAGACAATTTCTTCATTAGACGATGCTAGGAAAATGAGATATTTATATGCAGAAGAATAAAACTAGACCGCTTTCACCACATACAAAAATCAAGACCATGGGAACCCACCTCTTGCATCAGCATGACGTGGGTGTGAGACATGGAGTCAAAAGACATAATTTTGGAGCTTTAAGATTTGACTGCCCTGCTGGATTTTGGACTTGCATGGGGCCTATAGCCCCTTCCTTTTGGCCAGTTTCTCCCATTTGGAATGGGTGTAATTACTTAATGCCTGTACCCACATTGTATCTACGAAGTAACTAATTGGTTTTTGATTTTACAGGCTCATAGGCAGATGGGGCTTGCCTTGTCTCGGATGTGACTTTGGACTGTGGACTATTGAGTTAATGTTGAAATGAATTAAGACTGTAGGACTGTTGGGAAGGCATGATTGGTTTTGAAATGTGAGGACATGATATTTGGGAGGGGTCAGGGGTGGAATGATATGGTTTGGCTGTGTCCCTACCCAAATCTCATCTTGAATTATAGCTCCCATAATCCCCATGTGTCATGGAAGGTACTCAGTGGCAGGTAATTGAATCATTGGAGCAGATTTTCCTGTGATGTTCTCATGATAGTGAACAAGTCTCATGAGATCTGATGGCTGTAAAAAGTGCGGTTCCCCTACACATGTTCTCTTGCCTGTAAGACAATGCCTTTGCTCCTTCTTTGCTTTCTGTCATGATTGTGAGGCCTCCCCAGCCATGTGGACTTGTGAATCCATTAAATCTCTTTTTTTTTTAAATAAATTACCCAGTCTTGGGTATGTCTTTATTAGCAGCATGAGAATGGACTAATACACTCATATACTTTTTCCTAGCTCAAAAACTAATAAAGTCTAAGCTAAAAATAAATGTGACACTGTTATATACTTCAGTAATTCACAAATGGGGGCTTACTTGCCTTTCAGAAATATTTATATTTTATCTGTATAATGCATTTACTTCAGTCATTTGTTACAAAAATTGCTTATTTTTACATTTAGAATAATACATAAGTAGCCAGCCGTAATGTTTGCTTTCTGTCAATTAACTTTTAGCATTGGTTTGTAATCTTCCACATTCTTGTCTTTGCATTTTGAAATTGACACAAACATGCATACTTATATTTTACAAAGATTTGCTCAAATAATATAAATTGGTTATTTAATATTTTTCTTAATACAAAATGCATAATGGGCATCTTTCCAATTAAAAATTACACTTTTACATTATTCTTCTAGGTTGGAATGGTATTTTATATTAATTTAGATTTTTTTACATAATCTGTCTTCTTTGACAAGACTATCAGGTATTTTTCAGTAGTACCGCTCTCAACCTTATAGAAAAATGGCTGAATATATACATTTGAAATGGAGAATATTTTCACAAAAAATATATCTTTAATACCAAGAGAATTAACCTGTCTTGATGGCATTTTATATTAGGGAAAACTTCTTAATGGCATTTTGTATTAGGGTAAACGTATTTGCTCATCCCCTTCCTAAATCATACCAAGGACATCAAAATAAGACAATTTCTTATAAGACAAACATAAAATTAATATGATGCACTGCCTTTGTTTAGCAATTAAAAGCCATGATTAGTTTCTGTACATTTTCCGAGTATAGTATAAGAATCCCTAGAAGATGCAATATGAATGCAAAAATTAAAGGTCTCAAGAAATATACTTATCATTAGAAGTCTAACTTTAAAACAATTTTGTCAGTTGGCTGTATGATCAGCTATCCACAGGTAAACTAAATATTTATTGAATTTTGACAGAGACACAGTAACAATCCCAAGGCAGTTAAATCCCAAGAATGTTTTTTAAACAATGCATTTATAGACCTGGTGTCAATTATTATTCAGGGTAGAATAGTGAGTGAAAATATTGATATGCTAAGAATTAGAATAATTTCTAAAAATAGAGCTTTAATTTGTGTACACAAATTAATTGACTTCAAGTCTACATAGTAGACTACAAATTGACTTCAAGTCTACATAGTTGTTAGAGAGATACTTGGTTTTCCAGCTTACTTTGCAGATAAGAGTAGTTGTATGAGTCAATTTTAACCAGTGGTATATATGCAGACGTCATCTGGGGGGCTTGTTGGAAAAGTCTTGCTTTCTTTTAAAGTATCAAGCATGAAAGAAAGTTGCTTAACTTGCTCCTTGTATCCCTTCTCCCTGACTCAATAATGGACATGACATCTACAGCACTACCTTCTTCCAATGATCATGAGGCATTTAGCACAAACACAAACCACCTGCACTATAGGGATTATGACACAGATCCTGGGTTGAATTCATAACTGAGTCATTACACAAAACCTAAAATTGCCTATACCTTGTTGTCTTGTTATGTAATTTAAAATGGCTTTATATTTGCAATAAGTTTTAGTTTGTTACTTTCTCCTGAATGCAATCCTAACTAGTATATTTTTATAGCTGTATAATTTTTGTAGCTGTATAATTTTTGCTCTATATATTCCAGTTTAAGAAATGTTACATTACTTAATTTTTCTAATCCCATTTAATTGTTCTTTAATAGCTTGTCTTTTTGGGGTAAGAAATATTTATCTCACTCAATCATGGTCAAGGTTGGGGAGCTGTTTCCTCCTCACTGCAATTTTATAATTGCTCCATGGAGATTTACACTGACCAGAAAATTGGGGTAAAGCACTTCCCCATGCCCACATTTACTCCCCCTTATGATCTGTTCAATACATGGAACCAAGACCTGTGCTCATTAAAAGCTTCCAGCTTAGTTGGCTACTAATCTTGTTTCTACTATCATTCACGTAGACAGACCTAGTTGTCTGGTTTCAGACCAAAATCCTATGTGTCATTTTTCACATTCAATCGTAGGCAATTGCAAAGGCTTTGCTCTGACAAGACTCACAAGGGGATACCACACTGCCCACCCCAGACTTGGTACACAGCCAGTGAATTGCACTCTCTGGAAAAAGTTGCAGTCAAGGACTCAGGATCCCTTAGTTGTCCATGTTCTTACATATATCTGAATTCTTAGTCCAAGTGCCTCCAATTTGAGGCTTCTTTATCAGAGCCTGTTGCAACGGCCTGTCTCAGGCTCCTCTGTCCAGATCACTTATCAGGGCTTTTTAAAAATATATTTCTCTACTCTGTTCTTAGCACTTCCCATCTCTCTTCCCTCATCCCTTGGGACTATAAAATGGCAGAAACTTTTTGTTCCCAGATTTCTCTACAGTGAGACAAACCCCATATCTTCAGGGATCACCCTGACCATCAACTAGGGCAATTTCAGGGGTTAAAATGGAACATTGTCGGAACCAGCACTTTCTCCTGTGTAGCCTCTTATTCATACTACTGCAGTAAATGATTAAAGGTTTGACCATTACATTCATTTGACTTGTCATAATTCGCTTACTGGACCTCTGGCAGCTGATATCTCCCCAGCTCAGCTCGGCTCTTGACAAGACCCATAGGAGGCACATAGCCACACAAGGTGTTGAAAGTAGGACTGGCCATAGGGATATTTTTTTTTTGGAAAATACTCTAGTAAAACTGTCTTTGAGGGTATATAGCTTTTTTCAGTTATGTCTTTTTTGTGTTTCCATATATTGAAACATTGCTCTTCTAAAATTTGAATATTTTTCAAAATATTGTTGGGATTTTACTGTTGTCCCTTCAAATCCAGAGATTCCACAATTCCTAGGACATGAAATTTATCTGACTTTGAGGGGGAAGATAACAGATGCCTCTCATTCTTTTTTTTGCAATGGAGTCTTGCCCTGTCACCCAGGCTGGAGTGCAGTGGTGTGATCTCGGCTCACTGCAACATTGCCCCCTGGGTTCAAGCGATTCTCCTGCCTCAGCCTCCCAAGTAGCTGGGATTAAAGGCATGTACCACTACACCTGGCTGATTTTTGTATTTTTAGTAGACATGGGTTTCATCACGTTGGCCAGGCTGGTCTCCAACTCCTGACCTCAGGTGATCCACTCACCTCGGCCTTCCAAAGTGCTGGGATTACAGGCGTGAGGCACTGCACCCGGCCCCGCCTCTCACTCTTTAGTGTTTAGGGTACAGTTGCAAGAATAAAAGAGAAATTAGCTTCCATTAAACAATCCTGTCAAATTTGTAATAGTACAACCTACTTTCTGCGTTTCAGTACTGCTCTTGGTTCTTTTATTTCTCCTGTATCTTAAGTCAGCTACTCCCTTTCTTGAGTCTCACCCTGCTACCTTGCCTCTGCTTCCTATGTGCTTAATATTTATGATAGCAGGTTTTTGGCAACATTCTTTCAATTCTCTCTTATGATCTTTTCCTTTACAGTCCTTTCTTTTTTTTATTTCTGAGAAAGAAAACTCAGACTCTTGGCCAAACTACTCTGTTACATAGCACAAGAAAACAAAAATGACAATATGACAGGGAAATGACACACACACATATGCACACACACATGCACAGTCAGAATAGTGGATACTGCTCTGTTGCTAATGTTGTCATGCTTTATTCTTCTTGAAACTGTCTTTTTGTATTCTATGAATTTGCCATGCATCTGATGAATGTCTGTATCTGAAAGAGGGAGAAAGAGAGAGAGGATATTCATGTCCTATTCTCTTCTCACATGGTTGTTTTTCTCTGCTGAGAAGTTATACATCCTTTTGGAAAATGTAAACTTTTTCTCCTTAGAAGAAAAACTGGGTTTTGGAAGGAATAACATCATAAAATTTTATGTCCTGTGGACAAACATAATTGGCTACTGTAGGTCTAAAGCAAGAAAGGTAGAAGGGAGAATAATACAACATATATTACGGGAATCTATATTTCTCTCTAAGATTCTAAGAATATTATGATTTATTCTATTTCTTTGTACTTCCTAAGTTTGAAATGGAGAATAAAACCAGTCCCTTAAATATTAATTCTCAAACACATTTTAATATTTTAAAGAAGGAAAACATGTTTGCATTGCTCCTTCAATAAACTTACAAAAATTAAATAATTTTGTTATCTTAAAATAGCTTCTAGATGCATCAGAGTTATGAGGATCTGAGCAATACTATAATACCACTCAAAAATAAACTATATCTTCAGTCCTACTTGCCTTTCTTTAAGAATATGTAAATCAGGTATTGTCAAATCACTCTTTTCAATTATTTTAGGCAAATCAGAATTCTGCTGTCAGTTGCTCAAACTTTTGACATTTTCAGGCTGTGATTTTTTACTTGTAAGCTCACAATTCCAGCTGATCTCAAAAAAGCAACTTCCTGTTAAAAAGTCCCTAAATTTTTATTCACTAAAATAACGATGATGATGATTATCATTATTATTATTATTTTGATAGAGGAAAGTCCTTGGAGGGCTTCCTGACTCTTCAGAGACTTAGCAACTATGCTGATAAAAATAGCATGTTTGCTGATTCGAAAAAAGTCTATGGAAATCAGATTTGTAAGATAATAACAAAACACATTGTACCACTATTATTCAGTAATCTTTTGATTACATGTGATACCAGTTCAAACTAAATTAAGCCACAAGAAGAACTCATTGGTCCACATACTGGGAAGGCTAACTAGCAGTGCTAATTTAAGGTAAAGATGAATCCCAGGGTTCAAATATGCTACTTGCAGTCTGTCATTTTCTGCTTCTCTTGTTTCTGATTCCTTTTCTAGACATACTCTTTTCATCATCATAAATGTGGCTCCCCAAGCTTCAGTGTAATTAAGCACCTGTTTTTTATGATCTTACATGCAGGGAAAACCTTTTTCTCAGCTTCCATATCAATATCTTCACCTATCTCTCTTTCAATCACTCTGACAAAAGAATAAGTCACATCACAACAAATCAAAACAATCAATCAAATAATCAATCATAATTCTGACTGGCTCAGCTTGAACAAGGGTGGTCATTCTTAAACCAGTTACATGTCTAAGTGGAAGGAGTATTCTAATTAAAAAGTTGGTCAATGTGTGTTGCAGCGATTATTATTTCTAAACAAATTACTCAAAAGCCTAGTCTTAAAAAACAATCAATAAAAAAATTATTCATTTTGCTGGTGGATTTTGTATATCGGGAATTCACATCAGGCTCAGTAGGGGAGCCTTGTTTGCTTCACTTAGTGCTTACCAGAGGGGCCTCAGAGGCTGTAGCCTGGAATTGTCTAAAGTCTTGCCCACTTACATATCTGGAGTTTGATGCTAGATGGTTTTGAGGAGCATAGGAATAGGATAGAGAAGAATCCTCAGGAATCTGTTTCTTGCTCTAGGGTAGCCATAATTTTACATGTCAGCTCAGAGCTGTAGGGAGAGAGTCAGATAGAAGTTGTTTTGTCTTCTTCTGACTTACCATTGGAAGTCAAAACTCTGGCACTTCTGATACTTTCTATGCATTAGAATTGAGTCAGCAAGCTAGTCCATGTTTCAAGGACTGTTCGAGAGGAGGCTTAAAGTATTCCAGTATGTATTTAAAACAGTTTCAATGTGACTAACTTTGGGAAGGATAGATGATACACCTTGATAGAGATTCTCACCAGGGAGGAGGATAGGTAACAAAAACTGATGTGTGGGAGACTGTGTTTGTTACCAGAAGATGAGAAAAGAATATATAGCTAGAAACTATAATTTATTTTAGCTTCAGAGGTATAATATACCATAGACATTACCTTATTAATTATAATTTGATTTCACAGTTCTAACAAAATTTCTAATTATTTATATTAACTCTGTATTATCCCTAAGGCTTTCTAATTGTTATACATTTTACCAGGCTTGGCGTTTAGGAGTATTAATTTTTATTTTTCTCTCAATTTATAAGATTATGTCTGTATAAAATATTTTAAAGGAAAGCAAACAGATTTATATCTTTTGAACCCTATTTACTTTGAGTATTTTTTATATTGAAAGTATGACTGCACAGAAAATTATCTTGTCACAAGCTTTTATTTTTTAACATTAAATTACTTATGCTGTTTTACTTTTTATATTTTTCTTCCATCATTTTTAGTTTTAACAGAAAAGGTGAGGGTGATTAGTTTGTTTATTTTTTACTATCTGTATAAAGCTGATCTTCATTTTTTACTTTGCTTTTGACATTTTATGAGATGAAATTTCTCCTACAACCCCATTTGTTTACATGTAGGTGTTTTTAGAATGATGTTGTATGAACTATTTTATTATACATACAGTGAAATATATAATTATGGCTACCACTTCTACCCTATTTGTTGTGTTCTATAAGTAATCACCAATAATCTGCATTTTAAATTACCAGTTTGCAGTTTCCATAACTACACTACACTACATCTTTTCTCTTTTAATTTTCATCTGTGTCCTATGTATTCTGGGAAAGTATTTCAAATTTTTCCGTATATTATCTAGTCAATAACTTATTTTATTCTTCTGAGAATCCAATACTATTTCCAAAACATTTTTTAGATCAATGCCATAGATCATTTTCAGAATTAATATTATTCTTTGAGTTTTTGTACATCATTCAATATATTTGATTCTGCATTATATTTCCATAAGTTACAAGTTGTCAGTATGTTTATTTTTTCTTTTAATATCATTTGAATTGCAATCTTTCCAAGATTGTTTATCAACAGATGGAGTAAGTTAACTGTATCTCTATCCTTATGACAGTGCCACCCTGTCTTGAATAATGTAATTTGTAGTGAACTTTGAAATTAAGAAACATACATCTTCCAACATTTTGTTTTCAAGATTATTATGGTTATTCTGAGTGTCTTAAATTTCCATATGAGTGTTAAAGCAAGCTTGTAAATATCTGCAAAAAAAAAGTAGAATTTGATAGAGAATGCATTGAATTTGCAAGTCAATCTGAGGTGGTCTATTGACATTTAGCAATGTTAAGTCATCCGATTCACATATATGAGATGCTTTTTATTTATTTAGATCCTCCTCAATTATTTTCAAAGGTGTTTTACAGTTTTCAATGTACAAGTTTTGCATTTGCTTTGATAAATTTATTTTTAAACATTTTATTCTTTATGATGCTCTGGCAAACAGAATTGTTTTCTTAATTTTCTTTTTTGATTGTTCATAGCTACAATTAGAAATACAATTGATATTTTACATTTATTTTGTATCCCGAAACCTTGCTAAACTTCAGAATTTGGTAAGTTTTTAGACGTTATTTCCAGGTGAGGTATCAGAGCCCCAGCATCAAAGTGTTCCGCTCACGGGTCGTATGGTAGTGAGAAGAATTTGCTGTCAACAGTATAGCTTTGAAAAGGAAATTTTTATTAGATAGAAATATTGCTGCCAAATTTTACAGCACAGTGCCTCAACAAGAGACAGCTGAGCCCACAGTGGATTTTTCCTTAGGGATATTTATAGACCTTAAAGGGGGATTTTAAGGGTAATTTGAACCACATTAGCCACATTGGTCATTTTGGTGCCTTAATGTCAGCAACGATTGCACAATAAGTTTTGATATACATGCATGCCAGAGATGTATAGAAATTCTAATTACTTATAAATTTGGGGAAAAGACCCTGGAACCAGATGCCTACTTTAGATAATAGGAAAGGCTAATTACTTCTGAATTCCTTAGATGAGGAGTTTTGCCTCTAGATGGTTTGCTTGATGTCCACCAAGTGATCTTTGCTGTCAATTATTATTTTTCGCTCCTTGTTTCTTTCCTCTTCTGGGATTTCCATTATGCAAAAATTAGTATTCTTGATGTCGTACCATTGTTCTTGAGACTAGGTTAATTTTTTTTTTATTCTTTTTTTATTTCTCTTTCTCTACCTGAATGATCATATCTGACCTATCCTTTAGTTTTCTTATTTTTTTGTCTTTAAGGACAATTCAGCTGTTTTTGTCCTGCTAATGAATATCTCATTCCAATTACGGTAATTTTTGACTCTATAGTTTTTAATTTTGTTTATAATTTCTCTCTCTTTACTAACATTCTCTATTTGACAAAACACAATTCTTGTTTTTTTTTTTTTTTTTTAGTTCATGAGAAATAGTTTATTACTTGGAACATATTTATAAAAGCTGAAATAAAGTCTTTTAAAAGCAAATGCAAAACATGAGTTTTCACAGGGACGGTTTCTTTACTCTTTTTTTCTTTGTATGTACCACACTTTTCTGATTCTCTGAATACCTCAATTTTTTTTTCCAAAAATTTAACATTTAATATAATATGAGACTATTATAGAAGTTAAGATTTTTCTTCCTTCCTCTACAGATTTTGTTACATTATTTTTTATTTTTCTGTTTTTAATGTTTGTGAGTACATAATAGGTGTATATATTTATGGGGTGTATGGGATATTTTGATACAGGCATATGATGTGTAATAATCACATCAGGGTAAATCAGGTATTCATCACCTCAAGCATTTATCCTTTGTGTTACAAACAATCCAATTATACACTTTTAGTTATTTTAAAATGTACAATTACATTTCCATTGACTATAGTCACCCTGTTATATTCTCAAATACTGAATATTATGCATTCTTTCTAACTATTTTTTTTGGTACCCATTGACTACTTTCACTTCCCCTCCAGTGCCCCACTACCCTTCCCAGCCTCTGGTAACCATCATTTTACTCTCTATCTCTATTAGTTCAATTGTTTTAATTTTTAGCTTCCACAAATAAGTGAGAACATGAGAAGTTTGTTTTTCTGTGATGGGCTTATTTCACTTAACATAATGACCTCCAGTTCTATCCATTTTGTTGCAAATGATAGACTATCATTCTTTTTTATGACTAAATACTACTCATTGTGTATATGTACCACATTTTCTTTATCCATTCACCTGTTGATGAACACTTAGATTGCTTCCAAATCTTGGCTATTGTGAATGGTGCTGCAATAAATATGAGAGTGTATCTCTTCAATCTACTGATCTAGCAGTGGGATTACTGGATCATATAGTAGCTCTATTTTTAGTTTTTTGAGGAACTTCCAAATTATTCTCTATAGTGTTTGTACTAATTTACACTCCTACCATCAGTGTGTAAGGGTGCCCTTTTCTCCACATGCTTGCTAGCATTTGTTATTGTCTGATTGTTGGATAAAAGTCATTTTAACTGGGGTTAGATATCTCATTGTAGTTTTCATTTGCATTTCCCTGATGATCAGTGATGTTGGGCACCTCTTTATAGGCCTGTTTGCTATTTGTGTGTCTTTTTCGAGAAATGTCTATTTCGATCTTTTGCCCACTTATTAATCATATTATCATATTTTTTTCTTATAGAGTTGTTTGAGTTCCTTATGTATTCTGGTTATTAATTTCTTGTCAAATGGATAGTTTGCAAGCATTTTCTCCCATTCTGGGGTTTTTGTGTTCATTTTGTTGATGGTTTCCTTTGCAGTGCAGAAGCTTTTTAACATAATGTGATCCCATGTATCCATTTTTGCTTTGATTGTGTGTCCTTGATTGTGGGGTACAACTCAAGATTTTTTTGCCCAGACCATACCCTGGAGAGTTTCCCATAGTTTTCTTGTAGTAGTTTCATAGCTTGAGGTCTCAGATGAAGGTCTTTAGTCCATTTTGATTTGATTTGTGTATATGGCAAGAGATAGTGGTCAAGTTTCATTATTTTGCATATGGATATCCAGTTTTCCCACCACCATTCATCGAAGAGACTATCCTTTCCCCAATGTATGTTCCTGGCACCTTTGTCAAAAATGAGTTTACTGTGTAATTGTATGAATTTGTTTCTGGGTTCTCTTTTTGTTTCATTGGTCTATGTGTCTGTTTTTATGTCAGTACCATACAATTTTAGTTACTATAGCTCTCTAGTATAATTTGAAGTCAAGTAACATGATTGCTCTACTTTTCTTCTTTTTGCTGAGGGTAACTTTAGCAATTTTAAATCTTTTACGGCTTCATATAAATTTCAGGTTAGTTTTTTTATTGCTGTGAAGAATATCATTGGTATTTTGATAGGGATTGCATTGAATCTGTAGATTGCTTTTGGTAGTATAGACATATAAACAATATTGATTCTTTCAACCCACGAACACGGATTATCTTTCCATTTTTTTGTATCCTCTTCAATTTCTTTTCTATTTGTATAGTTTCATTGAAGATGTAAAATTCCATTGTAGAGGTATTTAATTTTATTTGTAGCTATTGTAAATGGAATTATATTCTTGATTTCCTTTTCATATTGCTTGCCGTTGGTATGTACAGATGCTACTGATTTCTGTATGTTAATTTTTTTATCCTGCAACTTTACTGAATTTGTTCCTCAGTTCTAGTCTTTATTTGGTGATGTCTTTAGGTTTTTCCAAATATAAGATTACATCATCTGCAAATGAATAATTTGGCTTCTTCCTTTCCAATTTATATATCTTTTATTTCTTTCTTTTGTCTAATTGCTCTAGCTAGGACTTCTGGTACTATGTTGAATAACAGTGGTTTAAGTGAGCATTCTTGTCATGTTACCAATCTTAGAAGAAAGACTTTCAATTTTGCCCATTCATTATGATACTAGCGGGGGTCTGACATATATGGTTTTATCATTTTGAGGTATGTTTCTTCTATAAGTTTTTCAAGGGTTTTCAAGGGTTTTCATCATGAAAGGATGTTGAATTTTGTCAAATGCTTTTTCAGTGTCCTTTGAAATAATCAGATGGATTTTGTCCCTTATTTTATTGATATGATATATTACATTGATTAATTTGCAGATGTTGAACAATCTTTGCATGTCTGGAATAAATCACAGATGGTCATGGTGAATGATCCTTATAATGTATTGTTGAGTTCGGTTTGCTTATATTTTGTTGAGGATTTTTGCATCAATATCCATCAAAGATATAAGTCTGCAGTTTTCTTTTATTGATGTGCCTGTCTGTTTTTTTTAGGGTAATACTGTTCTTGTAAAATGAGTTTGGAAATATTTTTCTCCTCCTTTATCTTTTGGAATCATTTAAATAGGATTAGTATTGATTCTGTTAAAATCTTTGGTAAAATTCAGCAATGAAGCCATGGGGTCCTGGGCTTTTCTTTACTGGGAGATTTTTATTATGGCTTCAATTTCATTACTTGTTATTGGTCTGCTCAGGTTTTTTATTTTTTCATAGTTCAATCTTTGTAGGTTGTAAGTGTCTAGGAGTTTATTCTAAATTTTTAAATTTACTAGCATATTGTTGCTCATGGTAGCATCGAATTATCCTCTTTGAATTTCTACAGATCTGTTGTGTCTTCTTTCTGATTTTATTTATTTGGGTTGTCGCTCTTCTTTTCTTAGTCTGGCCACAGGTTTGTCAATTTTCTTTACATTTTCAAAAACCCAGTTTTCATTTTGTTGATCTGTATTTTTTTCTTCATTTTGATTTTATTAATTTTTGCTCTGATGTTTATTATTTCTTTCCAACTAACTTTAGGTTTCATTTGCTCTTGCTGTTCAAGTTCTTAATATGTATTATTAGGTTGTTTATTCGAAGCTTTTCCTCTTTGTTCACATAGGCCCATATTGCTGTAAAATTATCTCTTAATATTGTTTTTGTTATATCTCTTAAGTTTTGGTATGTTATGTTTCCATTATGATTTCTTTTAAAATTGTTATCAATTTCTGTCTTAATCGCTTCATTAACCCACTGGTCATTTGAAAGCACATTGTTTAATTTTTTCTATAGTTTCCAAAATTCCTGTTGTTATTGATCTCTTGTTGTGTTCCACTGTGGTCAGAGAAGATACTTATTATGGTTTTAATTTTTTTTTAATTTTCAGGCTTGCTTTCTGGCCTACCATATGGCCTTTCTTTGATACCATATGTGCTAAGAAGAAAAATATACATTCCTTGGCCATTGAATAAAATGTTCTTCAACTATCTATTAGGTCCATTTGGTCTATAGTAAAGATTAAGTTTAATGTTTCTTTGTTGATTTTCCGTGTGGATGATCTGTTTAGTGCTGAAAGAGGGATGTTGAATTATCCAAGTCTTATTCTATTGCGGTCTATCTCTCTCTTTAGCTCTAATAAAATTACTTCATATATCTGGGTGATCCAGTTTTGGTTGCATATATATTTATAATTTTTATATTCTCTCACTGAATTGACCCCTTTATCGTTATATAATAACATTTGTCATCGTTTTTTGCAGTTTTATTTCTGTTGAAATCTATGACATCTGATGTAATTATAGCTACTCCTGTTCTTTTTTTTTTGGTTTTCATTTGCATTGTATATCTTTTTTAATCTCTTTATTTTCAGTCTATGTGTGTCTGTATAAGTGATGTGTGTTTCTTGTAGGCAGGAGATCATATAGTCTTGTTTTTTCATCCTTTCAGCCACTTTGTCTTTTGATTGAAGCATTTAGTCCACTTACATTCAATGTTATTATCAATAAGTAAGAACTTACTCCTGCAATGTTGTCATTTGTTATCTGCTTTTTAGTGGTCTTCTCTTTCTTCTTTCCTTCCTTTCTGTTGTCCCTATAATGAAGGTGATTTTCTCTGGTGGGGTGTTTTAATTTCCTACTTCTTATTTTTTGTGTATACTGTGTATATTTTTAGATTTGAGATGACCATGAGTCTTGCAAAGAATGTCTTAAACCCATTATTTTAAACTGATACAAATTTAACACTGATTGTATAAACAAACTAACAAGCCAAAAGAAAACTATTAAAAACTCTGTACTTTAACTTTGTCTCCCCACTTTTTAATGTTTTATTGTTTATATTTATACCTAATTGTATGGTTTATCTCTTAAAAATTACTGTAGTTATTATTTTTATCAGTTTATATTTTCATGTTTATACTTAGGATATGTGTAGTTTACCCACCACAATTACAGTGTGTTTTTTCTAACTCTAATCGTGACCCTAACCCTAACCCTAACCTGAAGCTCACAAGCTTACAAGTGAGCTTGTACTTTCAGACAACTTCTTCTTGCTCATTTATATCCTTTTTTTTTCCCCTCAGATTCAACAACTCCTTTGGTCATTTCCTGTAGGACAGGTATAGTGTTGATGAAATTCCTCAGATTTTGTTTGTCTGGGAAAGTCTTTATTTCTCCTTCATGTTTGAAGAATATTTTCACCAGATATATTCTTCTTGGGTGAAAAATTCTTTTCCTTAAGCACTTTAAATATGTTATGACATTCTGTCCTGGCCTGTAAGGATTCCACTAGAATGTCTGCTGCCAGACATATTGGAGCTCCATTGTATATTGTTATTTTTCTTTTATCATGTTGCTGTTAGGAACCTTTCTTTACCCTTGACTTTTGGGAGTTTTATTATTAAATGCCTTGAGATAAACTTCTTTGGGTTAAATCTGCTAGGTGTTCTGTAACCTTCTTACACTTGAATGTTAATATTTTTCTCTAGCTTTGGGAAGTTCTCTGTTATTATCATTTTGAATAAACTTTCTGCCCTGTCTCTCTCTCTACCTTCTCGTTAAACCCTATAATACTTAGATTCATCCTTTAGAGGCTATTTTCTAAATCTCGTTGGCATGCTTCATTCTTTTTTATTATTTTTTCTTTTATTTTCTCTGACTGTGTATTTCCAGACAGCCTGTCTTGAAGCTCATCAGTTTCTTCTGCTTGATCAATTCTGCTATGAAGAGACTCTGATGCATTCTTCAGTATGTCAATTGCATTTTTGAACTCCAAAATTTATGCTTGATTCTTTTACATTATTTTAATTTCTTTGTCAAATTAATCTGATAGGATTCTGAATTCCTTCTTTGTGTTATCTTGAATTTCTTTGACTTTTCTCAAAATAGCTGTTTTGTATTATCTATCTGAAAGGTCACACATTTCTGTCCCTCCAGGATTGGTACCTAATGACCTAATGCCTTATTTTGTTCATTTGATGAGATCACATTTTCCTACGTGGCCTTGATTCCTGTGGATGTTCATCCGTGTCTGGGAATTGAAGATTAGGTATTTATTGTAGTCTTCACAGTGTGAGCTTTTTATACGCATTCTTCCTAAGACATCTTTCCAAGTCTTCAAAAGGACTCAGATGTTCTAAGTTTTTGGTCATTGCTGCCCTATCTGCATTAGGGACCCCTCCAAGCCCAGTAGTGCTGTGATTCTTGCAGACTTGTACAGGTACCACCTTGGTGGTCTTGGAAAATATTCAGAAGAATTATCTGGTTTACCAGGCAGAGACTATTGCTTTTTTCTCCTTATTTTCTCCCAAGCAAATGGAGCTTCTCTCTTTCTTTGTTCTAAACTGCCTGGTGCTGGGAGAGAAGTGACACAAGCACCCCTGTGGCCACCACCACTGGGATTTTGCTGGGTCATCCATGAAGTGAGCATAGCATTGAATCTTGCCCAAGGCCCACTGTAATCACTATCTTGCTACAGCCTATGTTTACTGAAGACCCTAGGGCTCTACAGTCAGCAAGTTGCAAAGCCAGACAGGCTTGTGAATTGCCTGTAGAGCAGCAATTTCCTGTGGGCTTCAGGTAAGTCCAGAGTTACTGTGTAGGAGCCAGATCTGGAGGTGAAAACTTAGAAATGTACTAGTGCCCTATTTTACTGTGGCTGTGCTAACACAGAAACCACAAAACAAAGTCTTTGCCACTCTTCCCTCTCCATTTTCCATCATGTCCACCACAACCAAGGTCCATGCTGACTAGTGCCAGGATATGACCGATTTCACTTAATGCCCAAGGACTCTTTAGTCAGCTCATGTTGAATGCTTCCAGGCCTGAGACTCAGCCTTCATAGCCATAAATTCCCTTCTGGCCCACAGTAGGTCCAGAAATGCCTTCTAAGAGCCAAGGCCTGGAATCAGAAACTCCAAGAGCCCACTTGGATCTCTTCCCCACTGTAGCTGAGCTGGTACCTAAGCTGTAAGATAAAGTCTCTTTCACTCTTCCCTCTGCTTTTCTGAATCAGAACACATCTCTCTCCTTTGTCACCACAGCTGTGAATGTGCTAGGTCATAACTGAAGCCTGCACATCTTAGAATCTCAACCAAGGCCTCTGGCATGCACCACCTGGTTACTGCTGCTGATTTTTCAGGGCCCAAAGACTCCTTAGTCAGCAGGTGATGAATCTTGCCAGGACTGGGTCCTTCCCTTCAAGACAGGGGATTTTCTTCCTGCCCAGGGTGTATCTAGAAATGTCATCTAGGAGCTAGGGCCTAAAACTGTGGCCTCACAACTCTGCCTCATGCCTATCCTACTGTGGCTGAGCTGGTATACAACTTGTAAGTCAAAGTCCTCTTTCCTTTTCTCTCTCCTCTCCTCAAGTTGAAGAAAAACCCCTTTTATGCAGCTCTTTCACCTCCTTGGTTACATTTATTCCTAACTTCGTATAACTTTCGTAATTATTCTGAATAGCATTGTTGTCTTAGTTGTTTTATTTCAGATGTTAATTGCTAAGTTTATAGAAATGCTATTAATTTTGTTTATTGATTTTTTATTCTGCATCTTTACTGAATTCCCCTATTAGTTTGAACAGTTTTGTAGGCAAACATGAGGCTTTCTAAATATAAGTTTATATTATTTGTAAACAGGGACAATTTTACTTCTTTTCTAATTTCAATGCCTTTTATTCCTTTATTTTCCCTAATTACTCTGGCTCAGATTTGAATACTAAATTGAATAGAAGTGATGCAAATAGGCATCTTTGTCTTTCTCCTGGTTTTGGAGAAAAACTTTCAACTTCAGAGCGTTAAGTATGGTGTCAGCTATGAGCTTGTCATATATTGTGTTGAGCTACATTCTTTCTATATGTAATTTGTTGAGAGTTTTCATCATGAAAGAATGTTGGATTTTGTAAAAATACTCTTTCTGCATATATAACATGATTATATGGTATCATAGTAATAGTTATACCAATTTCTAAGATTTTGAGATGAGTTTGAGAAGGTTTGATACTATGATTTGGGTATAGTTTGTTCTCATCAAATCTCATGTTAAAATTTGATTCCTAGTTTGATGGTATTGGGAGGTGGGACTTAGTGGAGATTGTTTGGGTCATGGAGGCAAATTCCTCTTCAATGGCCTGGTGCTGTTTTCACAGTAGTGTGTGACTTCTTGCTCTCGTGAGACTTGATAGGTTCTTGGGAGAATAAATTGATTCCTCTGAGAGAGTGAATTGTTATAAAGGCAGGATGTCCCATGGATTTTCCCCCTCTTCACAAATTCTTGCTTCCCCATTTACCTTCTCCACTGCATTTGGATGCAGCACAAGAGCCCTTGCCAGAAGCAAGAAGATCCCAGTGCCATGCTTTTTTACAACCTCGAGAACAAAGAGCTAAATAAACCTCTATTCATTATAAATTCCCCAGCCTTGGGTGTTTTGATATAACAATACAAAATGGACTAACAAAATTGGTACTAATTCTTCTTTAAATATTTGTAGAATTCAGCCCTGAAGGTACCTGATCCTGGCCTTTTCTTTGATGAGAGACTTTGTATTACTGATTCAATTTCCTTCCTCATTATTGGTAGATTTTCTATTTTTTAAAAATTTTAAATCTAGGGGGTACATGTGCTTGTTTGTTACATGGGCACTAGATGAATAATGGTGGGGGTTTGGCTTCTAGTGTGCTCATCACCCAAATATTGAATATTGTACCTAGTAGTTAATTTTTCGACCCTCACCCCCTTCCAACTCTTCTCCCTTTGGGGTATCCAGAGTCTATTTTTTTCATCTTTATGTTCATATGTATCCCTTGCTCTCACTTATAAGTGAGAGCATGTGATATTTGATTTTCTTCTTCTGTCTTAGTTCACTTAGGATAATGGCCTCCACCTTCAACAATGTTGCTGCAAAAAATATGATTTTATTCTTTTTGATGGCTGTGTAGCATTTCATGGTGTACCATATTTTCTTTATCCAATAAACTGTTGGTTAACACTTAGATTGTTTCCATGGCTTTGCTATTGTATATAGTGCTACAATAAACAAACCAGTTCAGGGGTCTTCTTAATAGAATGATTTTTTCCTCTCTAGGTGGACACACAGTAGTGGGATTGATGGGTCAAAAGATAGCTCTGGTGCAGCAAACTGCCATGGCCCATGGTATATACCTATGTAACAAACCTGCATGTTCTACACATGTATCCCCCTCCTTTTTTTTTTAAAGAAGAAATAAATAAATAAAAGAAAAAGAGAAAGAAAATTCTATTTTTAATTCTCTAAGATATTTACATAATGTTTTCCATCGAGGTTGAACTAATTTATATTCACACCAACAGCGTATGAACATTCCTGTTTTTCTACATGCATGTCCATTGTTTTTTGACTTTTGAATAAAAGTCATTCTGTCGGGTATATCATGATATCTGTGTGGTTTTAACTTGAATTTATCTGATAATTAGTAATGGTGAAAGATTTTTATGTGCTTCTTATATTTCTTCTTTGGAGAAATATCTGTTCCTTTCCTTTGTCCACTTTTTAATGAGACTGTTTGTTCATTTCTTGTTGAGTTGTTTGAGTTCTTTGCAGATTCTGGAAATGATTTTTTCTCAGAGGCATAATATGTAAATTTTTTTAATCTGTAGATTGTCTGTTTATTCTGTTCATTGTTTCTTTTAATGCACAGAAGCTTTTTACTTTTATTAAATCCCATTTGTCTTTTTTTTTTTTTGGCATTTGCTTTTGGAGTCTTCATCATTAATTTTTTGCCTAGACTAAAGTCCAGAAGAGTTTTTCCTAGGTTTTCCTCTAGGATTTTTCATAGCTTCTTGTCTTACACTTCGGCCTTTAATTCATCTCGAGTTAATTTTTGTATATCATGAGAGACAGAGTTCCAGTTTCAGTTTTCTGCATTATGGCTAGCCAGTTTTCTCAGTACCATTTATTGAATTGGATATCCATTCCACATTGTTTATTTTTATTGACTTTATTGAATATCAGTTGGGTATAGTATAGGGCTTTATTTCTGTGATCTCTATTCAGTTCTATTGCTCTATGTGTCTTTTTTTGTATCAGTATCATTCATGAATTTTTTTTTACTATAGCCGTGTAGTATAATTTGATGTCAGGCAATATGATGCCTCAGGATTTGTTCTTTTTGCATAAGAATGCTTTGTCTACTTGGAATCTTTATGTTGCACATGAACTTTAGAATTTTTTTTAATTCTGTAAAAATAATGTTTGTAGTTTAATAGGAATAACATTAAATGTGTAGACTGCTTTGGACACAGTGGGCATTTTAACAATATTGATTCTTCCAATTAATGATCATGAAATGTATTTCCATTTATTTCTGTCATCTACAATTTCTTTCATCTGTATTTTGTAATTCTTGTAGTTATCCTTCACCTCATTGGTAAAATGCATTCCTAGGTGTTTTATTTTTTTGTGGCTATTGTAAATAAAATTGAATCCTTAATTTTATTCTAGCTTGAATGTTATCAGTGTTTAGAAATGCCGCTAATTTTTCTACACTGATTCAGAATCAGAGACTTTAGTAAAGTCGATAATCAGGTCTAAGAATCTTCTAGAGGAGTCTTTAAGGTTTTCTTGGTATGTCATCAGCAAACAGAGATAATTTGACTTTCATATTTTTCAGTTCGAATGTCTTTTATATATTTTTCTTGCCTGAGAGCTCTGGCTAGAACTTCTAGTACTATGTTGATTTGTAGTGGTGAGAGTGGACATCCTTATCTTTTCTTCCAGTTCTTAGAGAAAATGGTGTCCACTTTTCCCCATTCAGTATGATGTTGGCTGTGGGTTTGTCATATATGTTTCCTATTATTTTAAGATACGTTTTAACTATGACTATTTGTTGAGGGTTCTTATCACAAAAGGGATGTTGGATATTATGTAATGCTTTTTCTGCATCTATTGAGATGACCATAGGTTTTTGTTCTTAATTCTGTTCGGGTGATGGATTATACTCATTGATTTGTATATGCTGAACCATCCTTGCATCCCTGGAATAAAGCCTACTTGATTATGGTCAATTATCTTTTGGATGTGCTGTTTAATTTGGTTTGCTTGTATTTTGTTGAATTTTTTTGCATCTATGTTCATAATGGATATTGATCTGTAGTTTCCTTTTTTGTTGTGTTCTTGGCTAATTTTGTATCAGAGTGATACTGGATTCATAGAATGAGTTTAGAAGGGATTCCTTCTCAATATTTTGGAATAGTTTCAGTAGGATAGGTAACAGCTTTTCTATGCACATCTGTGCAAATTCCACTGTGAATTCATCTTATACTGGGATTTTTTGTTGGAAGATTTTTAAATTAATGATTTGATTTTATTATTCATTATTGATATATTTAAGGTTTCATTTCCTCTAGGTTTTCTAGTTGGTCCTCATAGAGATATTAATAGTATTCTCTGACAATCTTTTCTATTTCTCTGATATAACCTGTGATGTCATTTTTATCATTTCTGACTGTACTTATTACAATCGTCTCTCATTTTTTCTTAGTCTAACTGTCAGTCTGGAAATTTTGTTTATCTTTTCAAAACATCAACCTTTTATTACACTGACATTTTGTGTCATTTTTTGGTCTCAATCTCATTTGGTTTTGCTCTGATCTATATTTCCATCTGCTAGATTTGGGTTCAGTTTGCTTTTATTTTTCTAGTTCCTTGAGCCATGATGTTAGCTTGTAATTTGAGACCTATCTTTTTGATGTAGGCATTTAATGCTGTACATTTTCTGCCTAGCACTGCTTTTGTTGTATCCTAGAGGTTTTGGTATCTTAGTCTCTATTTTCATTCATTTCAAATAATCTTTTTAATTTTTGTCTTGATTTTGTTATTTACCCAAAAGTCATTCAGGAGTTAGTTGTTTCCATGCATGTATATAGTTTTAGGAGTTCCTCTTTGTATTGATTTCTAATTTTATTCCATTGTGGTCCAAGAAGATACATGATATAATATTTTTTTGAATTTATTGAGACTTGCCATATGAACAGGCATATGGTTGATTTTGGAGGATATCCCCTGTGCAAATGAGAAAAATTTATATTCTATAGTTGTTAGGTAAAATATCCTGTAGAAGTTTATTAAGTCTATTTGGTCTATAGTCCATTTTAATTCCAGAATTCCTTTACTGATTTTCTGCTTTGATGATCTGCCTAGTGATATCAGTGAAGTGTTGAAGTCCCCCACTATTATCATATGGCTATCAATCTGTTTTCTTAGGTTTAGTAACATTTCTCTTGTGAATCTGAGTGCCCCAGTATTGGGTTCATATATATTTAGAATAGTTAAATTTTCTTGTTGTATTGAATTCTTTGTCATTATATAAGGCCCCTGTTTGTCTTTATTTGTACGATTGTTAGTTTAAAGTCCATTTTATCTGATAGGAGAATGGCTATTCCTGCTCACTTTTGTTTTCCATTATTTTTTTTTCACACTTTTACTTTGTATCTGAATGTGACTTTAGCCAGTAGGAGAGTGTCTTGTAGAGAGCAAGTGGTTAGGTCTTTTTAATCCAATATGTCACAGTGTATCGTTTAAGTGGAGTATTTAAGCCATTTACATTGAAGGTTAAAATTTATCTGTGAGGTTTTATTCCTAACATAGTTTTGTTATCTATTTGTTTTGGAGTTTTGATTGTGTCATTCCTTATAGGATCTGTGAGCTTAGTACTTACGCGTCCTTTTCTGATGGTAAGTATAACCCTTTTGTTTCCATGTTTGGAACTCTTTCATTTCTTGTAGAACCAGTGTAGTACTGACAAATTTTCTCAGTCACTGCTTGTCTGGGGAAGGCTTTATTTCCTTTAATTTATGAAGCTTAAATTGTCAGGATATAAAATTCTTGGCTGGCTTTTTTTTTCCTTTAAGGAGGCTAAAAGTGCGTCCCCAATATCTTCTGACTTATAAAATTTTTGTTTAGAAGTCTGCTTTTAGTCTGATTTGTTTTCCTTTGTAGGTAATTTGACCCTTTTCTTTAGCTGCCTTAAGATTTTTTTCTTTAGCATTGACCTTGGGTAGTCTGGTGAGTATATGCCTTGGTGACGTTCATCTTATAGTATCTCACAAGTATTCCCTGGATTTTTTATATCTGGATGTCAACCTCTTTAACAAGATTAGGAAAATGTTCTTAAATTATTCCCTCAAATAAGTTTTCCAGGTTTTTTTTTCATCTTTCTCAGGAATGCCAATAATTCATAGGTTTGGTTAATCCTTTGTTCCTTGAAGGTTTTGTTCATTAAACAATTTTTTTCTTTATTTTTATCTGACTGGATTAGTTTGAAAAAACAACCTTCAAGTTCTAAAATTCTTTCTTCTGTTTGGTTTAGTCTATTGATAAAGCTTTCAATTTTATTTTGAAATTCCTTAAGTGAATGTTTTATTTCCCAAAGTTCTGATTGATTTTTCTATGGGTATTTATTTCTTCCTTTATTTCTTAAATTGCTTTAGTGGTTTTTTAATATTGATTTTCAATCTTGTCTTTGATCTCACTGAGCTTCCTTTTAATCCATATTTTGAATTATTTGTCTGTCATTTCTGAGTTTCCATTTTTGTTGGGGTACAACACTAGAGAGCTGACATGATCCTTTGGTGTTGTCACAACATTCAGATTGTTCATGGTGCCAGAATTCTTATGCTAGCTCCTTCTCATCTTAAGAGGCTGCCACTTCTAATTTTTCAAAGGATGTTCATGTGGGTAGGATTTTTTTTCTTTTTTTCTTTATTTTTTTCTTTCCCTTTCCTCCATTTCCAGAGAGTGTGACTGTAGAGTATGTTAGTTTGGATCTTTTGGCTCTGCCTCGATATTCCTATGCAATTCTGTTGGCAGGTTTTATTTTGGGCTATGGGGTTCAACCTATAGGCCAGCAGTTGATGCTTATGGGTAAGAGCCAGCTGTGACACAAGCAGATGTTTATATACTTGGCACTATGAGCTACTCATAGTGCCAAGTTTACCATGAGGTCTTTGTTTTCTACTATTTACTATGAGTTGCTCTCTGTTTACTATGTTTACTATGAGGTACTCTCTGTTGTTTTAGGTGATGGACTGGACAATGGAGTGTCTAGTGCCCTGAGCTACCTGTTTCATGGATGTGGGGGTACACTTCTGAGTGGAGCTGGGTCCCCTTGCTTGCCCATGAAAACCCAAATGGTGACTGTAGGTGCCAACCCTGACAAGGGTGGCTGTGCGGAGCTCCTGGTGAAATTTACTGAGGTGTGTGTAAGGTTCGAGGGGGCTGCACTGGCTTCACGTCTTAGGCAGAAATGTGATGTCTTCCCTCTCAAACTCCTGTCCTAGCACTCATAACTGCCTGCTTAGATGCACACTGTAGTTTATTTCCAGACATCAATGTGGCTGAGAGCCATGGGAAATGCCTATCTTGTGACTCTTTGTGGGAGTGGTTTTGAAGAAGAACCTCCTCATTCGGCCCAGTAAAGATAGCCTTATGGCTTCCCTATTCTCCGATATGGTAAGGCTGCTGCTTTGTGTGTGTGTATGGGCTTTACCTTTGGGCCTGTGGGTCTCACCACTTCCCTTGTAAGTCCCAGAATTATCTCTATCTATTCCAATATTCCATTAGATCCAAGTAACTAAACAAAGCTACTTTCTTCAGTGCCCTAGTAAAATGTTCCAAATGCCTCATGACCTAAATTAGGTCTCATGATCAGCTCTGAACTGATTTCTGTGGGTAGGAAAATGGGAGTTCTTAATGGAGTATATGGTGAGTCAACACCGCAGAAACCTTCAAGTAAAAAGGGGGGTTGGAGATGTTATTTCACAAGTTAAAATCCGGGTGCCTCAGTAAAAATTCTGAAGCATGCATCTTGGATCAGGGAACAACAAATACCAACTTTAGGGTGAATACCCTTAATAGTATAATGCATTCCCTATAGAGTCGTTTTTCTCCGCATAACAGGCTTACTCAGCATGTGTGACTCTACTTCATCTCTGTGTTCTTCATTAGTTTAAAGGTTTTCTTAATGCCTTTTTGTCCTTGGCTTCTCCTGTGTCAACATTTTCAGTTCTAACAAGTTTTTTGTTTTCACACTTTGATATTGTTCATAGGATGTTTAGATTCTGTTCTGTAACAGAAAGGCATAAATGAAGAAGCAGTACATAAATTTTGCCTGCCAATATCTGTCTTACAAAGACAGTCAGTATTGTAGTATTTGTTATTCTCTTGCTCTATTGACAAATGAAAGTAAGTGAATATAGTTTGAAGAAATCCGTTCAACTGTGCAATTATCAGGGTCAAGCTAAAGGATGTAGGCTGGTTGCTTCATCTGATTACATATTCATTTATCCTCATGGGAAAAGACAAAGAATCAATGATGTCGACAATTTCTGGAGTGCCCAGCCAACCTGATATGAAAGATCTCTCTGATGAAGGAATCAGACCAATTTCAGAGTCCCAGAGAAAGTCTATACTTTTCTCTGGAAATACGACACAACTTTGGGAATATATTTAAAGTAGGAATGTATCCACATTATAAAACATATATGAAGCTCTGGATTTTAATCTCCTAGCTGTAGGTGTCAGTTTGAACAAGAGCAAAGAGACAGTCCCTATCTTCAAATATAAGAAGTTGTTAAGAGAAAAAATGCATAACTACAAAAATAACCATAATAAATCTATCTAAGACTGCTGAATAGCAATTTTTAGAATTTTATTTAGGAAACTTCGAGTTTTTTTTTTATGATTAACCTGAAGTCTTAAACTTCAATTGATTATTTTACTTGGTTATGCAATGTACAATGTTAAAGGCATTAAAATGGAGTTTTTCTTTTTCTTTTCTTTTTTTCTTTTTTTTTTTTTTTTTTGCTCCTCTCACAAAGTAGGCATTTAATAAACATTAGGGAAAAGAAGGTACAAAAAATAAAAGCGTATGTCTTGATACTGCACATTTTGTTGTATTGAGAATAAAAATTAAAATGTTATGAAGATACAGATTTTAATCCTCAGGTTACAGTTTATAAAATTCAGATGGTAGATATAAACCTTCTACATTTTAAAAACAATATTGCCAGTGTGGTCAGGCAATCAGGAAACTTTCCAGAGAAGAAAGCATAAAAGACCAATACATACAGTCAGATGTTCTGAGTTCAAATAAAAGAAAGTCCCAAAACAATTTCCATTAAATAGTATATATATTAATCATTGCATAGAAGATATTTAGAGACAGAAACAACAAATTTAGAAAGTTCAGCCACCCAATGATGTCAACAGAAACCTACTTTTCATCTTTCTTCTCTGTCATCGTGAGTGCCTTTAATTTGTCTTACCCTTAGATGAGGTTCATGCCTGGTGGACAGTAGGGACATGTTAATGCAGTCATAGCAGAAAAATTCACTCTCCATTAAAAGCAACTTTTCCCAAATGACAAAGCCGATAAAGTTAGTTAGCATAAAGCCACAAGTGAAATTAACAGCACAGTTGCCCATATTATCAAAAACCCTTGAGAAAGCTCCCATTGTGCCCTACACAGTCATGTAAGCAAACGTAAGACTAAAGTATTTCAATGAGATTCTATCCTGAATACACTGATTCCTTGTGCACTTGTAGGGATTTCTACAAGATTGAGATTTTTCCTCACTAGATGTGAATAGTTTGCCTTTTCATCTAGTGTGATGTGAGTGGCCACTGCTATAGTCATTCTGAGAGTCTTATGTGCTCAGTTCTATTTATACATTTTGTATTTCTTAATTATTCAAGCTAATTTTGTCTGTATTTTATTTAGGAGTAATTTTTAATGTTAAATTTGTGAGCAAAATTGTCTATATTGCTGAAAAATATTTTTAGTCATTTTATATTTTTTTATTTTATTGAAAACTTGAAAGACTAAGCCAGTAGGTGGGAAAAAAACACATTCCAGTATTTTTATTCTTTACTTTACAAATGGCAATGTCAGGCCATATATTTTCATGCATATACACAACATAGTACTAAAAAAAATTTTGCATCAATATGAATATTTTGATCTGCTGTATTTTCTTAAATTATCTTATAGAAAAAATGAACTGATCACAGCACTGTAGGATATATAATTATTGCTATTAATACAATTAATTAAGATTAAAAATAACAAATTACTTTTAATGAGTTTCCTAGACATAAATTTATTTCAGTCTACAAACTCATTAATATGTTTGTAGTATATCCAAATTAAATTAGCACTCTGATGTTGACAGAAGTGCTCTTTCTTTGCAAAGTAACAAACATAGCACATAAAACCATTTTCTAAGCAGCAAGTTTGATATCACTTTCAAATAAATTAATAATAGTCTGACAAATTTTCTACTTCCTTTTATTTTTATTTTCATCTTTTCAAATGGGTAAACTCAGGCATCTCTATATGCAGATGTAGAGTAGAACCATTAAAAAACACTTTGAAATAACCAGTTACATAGAAAAAATTTCATGAATTTCTTATACAAACAAATTGCAAATATTGCTGTATTATTGTAGATATAAAAATATAAATTGTAAACTCTAGGGTCAAGGTGCTTAGATTGAAATTCTGGATCAAGCACTTTCTGATATAGACAAGTAACTTAAAACCTTTATACCTTATTTTTTTTATATTTAAAGTAAGCACAATTTTACCATCTTCCAAATGAGTTATTATGGCAAATGAATGTTTTAATGTAGGTTAAAAACTCATTAGGTTCATATCATTCAAATTACTAAATAAGGGAATAATTTCTGTACCTTCAACCTACTTGTTTTACATATATAAATATTATGCAATATATGCATATCTGTACATATTATTATATTTGTTAATTATATAATATACATTAATAACAGATATGCTATCCATCCATCTATCTATCCATTCACACACACATATACAATGTATGCACAAAGTAGAAAGTAGGACCTTCCACAAGATAATAATTATTACTACATTTTGCTGGTAATTTTTATTAGTGTTTTAAAGTGTTTTTTTCTTTAAAATTTATATTAATTGTTGCACTTACTCATGCCTACCTTTCTCAGCCTCTTTATGCCTTTAGGTACATCTTATCATTCTCAGACTCTTCTGCTATTGGCTTTACACTGCAGCGTATTAGGTCTTAATGCCAACTTTTTAACACTTTTTAAATTTAAAAAGGCATACCTTCTGAGAAGCACCATGCAAATGCAGCAAATGCAGAGCACAGAAATGGTCTACTTTTGGTTAAAACTTGAAGAGACAATTCTACAACAACTAATCAAAGTAACTCTGTTGAAATGCTGAGAACTTGGAGGTAAGCATTGATAACCTAATCAGATGGTTTTGTGATCTGTAATAGTGTTCAATTTTAATGACATACCTAACCAGAAATTAAAATGTTATGTATAATCACCACTGGACATTTTATTTTGAGATGCATGAGGTTACTGTTGATTTCATGATATTTGTTTTATTTTCCTTTTTTAGCTTGTAAAGGGTCCCAGAACTTTATTCCTTCTAATTATCATCTGCTTTTAGTAGCTACTTAGTGTTGAGAACTATGTTAGCTTATCATATTTTTTATTAGTCAAGCAAAAGACATGAGACTCCTCGGTCAAGGACAAAATCCTTTATTACTCATGGCACAGAAGCCAGCATGAGCTGCACACACACATGTGTTCTCCTTGTCCCCAATTATTATCAAAGTGATGTGCAAGAGGGCATATTGAATGCTGTACACTCAGTGGTTTGTGTCACAGCTGAAGAAACTTAACATTTAAAGGAGGATGCTAGCAAACATCCTCCATTTTGCCCTGGAGGAGGGAGATATTTTCATTAATGTTCTAGACAGCAATGGTAACCACAACCACAACAATGCTGACCTGTTCCCCAGAGGAACACACTATGTGTATTTTCTAAGGTAGTTTGCCATTAAAATTCCTGAAAAGATAGAAAAAAAGTTGTCAGTACCTCTGCCGAGATGATTTAAAGAAATATAATAAACCCATGGAGAATTATGTCCTAATTTTTAGGTTTCTTATATTCATTATTATATCAAGGAATGTTAATGGTCAGTGTAAATGGGATAAAATCTTGTATAGACTTTGGGAACATATGCTCTGAATATAGAATATAATTAATAGAACATTTATCTCATATAATGTATTTACAGAAACCCCCTGTGGATTAAAGATTTAATATGAACTGTAAAGTCTAAATCTTTTACAAACATAAATAAGAATATCTTTTGATTCTAAGTTGTGATGTATTTACAAACAACACACTAAAATCAGTTAAAGGACTGATAAATGTAACTGAATTTATAAAATAGCATGTATATGTGTAAAAATCTTTCGAAAATCAGTTATAAACTTTTCACAATATTGATTCTACCCATTCATGAGCATGGGATGTGTTTCCATTTGTTCTTGTTGTCTGTTATTCCTTTCAGCAGTGTTTTGTAGTTTTCCTTGTAGAGGTCTTTCAAATCCTTGGTTAGATATATTCCTAAGTTTTTTTTTTTTTTTTTTTTTTTTTTTTACAGCTATTGTAAAAGGAGTTGAGTTCTTGATTTGATTCTCTGCTTGGTCTGTGTTGATTGTGTAGAAGAGCTATTGATTTCTGTACATTAATCTTGTATCTGGAAGCTTTACTGAATCCTTTTATCAGTTCTAGGAGCTTTCTGGAGGAGTCCTTAGGGTTTTCAAGGTAAACAATCTTATCACCAGCAAATAGTAACAGTTTGACTTCCTCTTTACCGATTTGGATGCCCTTTATTTCTTTCTTTTGTCTGATTGCTCTGGCTAAGACTTCCAGCACTATGTGGAAGAGGAGTGGTGAGAGTGGGCATCCTTGTCTTGTTCCAGTTCTCAGAGGGAATACTTTAAACTTTTTTTCATTCAGTATTAGTTGGCTCTGGGTTTGTTATAGATGGCTTTTATTACATTAAGTTATGTCCCTTGTATGCCGATTTTCTTCCAGCTATTTTGAAACACACAATAAAACACTGTTAACCATAGTCACTCTGGTATGCAATAGAACACCAGAACTTATTCATTTTATCTAATTGTCACTTTTTACCTATTGGCCAATCTGTTCCTTCTAACCTTCCAGCTTCTGGTAGCCACTATTTTACTCTCGACTTCTATGAGGTCAATGTTTTTAGATTCCACATATGAGTGAGATCATGTGGTATTTATCTTTCTGTGCCTGGCTTATTTCATGTGATATAATGTCATCCAGGTTCATCTATGTTGCTGCAAATGAGAGGATTTCATTATTTTATGATTGGATAGCATTATGATCCCAGTAGTGGGACTGCTGGATCATAGGTAGTTTTAGTTTTAATTGTTGAGGAAGCATTATACTGTTTTCCATAATGGCTGTACTAATTTATATTACATTCCCACTGACACAGTGTATGAGTTATCTGTTTTTCATCATCACCACATTTGATATCTTTTGTCATTTCGATAGTAGCCATTCTAAGCAGGGTGTGGTAATATCTCATTTTGGTTTTGATTTGCATTTCCCTGACGATTATTGGTGTTGAGCATTTTTTCATATGCCTAATGGCCATTTGTATTTTTTTCTTTTTTGAGAAATGCCTATTCACATCTTTTGCCCAGTTAAAAAAAATCAGGTTTTTTTGTTTTTTTTTTTTTTTTTTTTGCTATTGAGTTGTTTGGGTTTATATATATATATATATAGTCTCATTATAATCCCTTGTCAGATGCATAGTTTACAAATATTTCCTCCAATTACGTAGGTTACCTCTTCACTCTGTTGATTGTTTCCTTCGCAGTACAAAATATTTTTACTTATACAATCTCACTTGTCTGTTTTTGTTTTGTTGCCTCTGCTTTGGGGGCCTTATCTGAAAAATTCTTGCCCAGACTAATGTCATGAAGTATTTCCCCTATGTTTTCTTCTAATAGTTTCATAATTCCAGGTTTTACCTTTAACTTTTTAATCTAGTTGAGTTGATTTTTATTTTGTATGTAACTATCCAGATTTCCAACCGTTTATTGAAAAGGCTGTCTTTCCTTCATTGTGTGTTTTTGGCAACTTTGTCAAAAATCAGTTTTAACTGCCTAAATTTATTTCTGTGTTCTCATTTCTGTGCCATTTGTCCATGTGTCTATTTTTATGGTAGTACAATTTTATTTTGGTTATTATAGCTTGTCGTTTATTCTGAAGTCAGGTAGTGTGATGTCTCCAGCTTTGTTATTTTGCTCAAGGTTGCTTTGGCTATTTGAGCTATTGTTGCTCTATACGAAATTTGTGACAGTTTTTCTGTTTCTATGAAGTATGTCATTTGTATTTTGATAGGGATTACACTGAATATGTAGGACACTTTGGTTAGGATGGACATTTTACCAATATTCATTCTTCCAATATATTATCACAAAATATCCTTCCATTTAATTGTCTCTTATTTATTTTCTTTCACCAGTGTTTTCTAGTTTTCAGAGTAGAAGTTTTTCACCTCCTTGGTGAAATTTTGTTCTAAGTATTTTATTTTTGGAAGGTATTGTAAGTGTGATAGTTTTCTTTATTTCTTTTTTTCACATAGTTTGCTATTACTGTATAGAAATGCTACTGACTTTTGTATGTTGATTTTGTATTTTGCAACTTTACTAAATTTTGTATTAGAGCTAACAAATTTTTAGTGGAGTTAGTTTTTTCTATATAAGAAAACATATTGTCTGCAAACATGAACAATTTAATTTCTTCCTTCTCCAACTTAGATGGCTTTATTTCTGTCTGTTGCCTAATTGCTCTGGTTATGACTTCCAATACTATATTGAACAGAAGTGATGAAAGTAAATATTCTTGTCTTGTTCCAGATCTTAGAAGAAAAACTTTTAACATTTTCTCATGCAGTATAATAATTAGCTGTGGACTTGTCATATATGGCCTTTAATGTGTTGAAGTATATTTCTTTTATATCTAATTGTTAAGAGTGTTTATCATGAAGGAATGTCATCAGATTCTTTTATGCATTTATTGAAATAATCATGTGATTTTTGTCCTTTGTTCTCTTGATATGATGCATGATGTTTATTTTGTATGTTGAACCAACCTTGCATCCCTGAGATGAATCTCGCTGCATTGTGATGAATGCTCTTTTTAATGTGCTGTGGAATTTTATTTGCTAGGATTTTTTTTTATAATTTTTGCATCTATATTTATCATGAATAATGCCAAGTTATTTTCTGTTTTTGTTTTGTTGTCTGGTTCTGGCATCATGGTAACGTTAATTTTGTAGAATGAGAGTAGAAGTATTTTCTTCCCTTCAAGCTTTAGGACAGTTTGAGTAAAACTGGTGTTCCTTAAATGTAGAATTCCTTGGTGAAGTCATCAGGTCCTCAGCTTTTCTTTGATGGGAGAATTTTTATTATTGATTCAATCTTATTACTCATTATTGATGTGTTCATATTTTTATTTTCTTCATGCTGTATTCTTCTTTGGTTCTATGTGTCCAGGAATTCATCCATTTTTTCCAGGTTATCCAATTTAGTGGCACATAATTGTTCCTAATAGTATCTTATGATCCTTGCATCTCTGTCATATCAGTTGTAATGGCTTTTCTTTTTCATCTATGATTTATTTATTGGAGTCTTTTTTTCTCATTTAGTGTGACCAAAGTTGTTAATTTTGTGTATCTTTTCAAAAAGCCAGCTCTTCATTTTGTTGAACTTTTGTATTACTTTTCAGTCTCTATTTCATTTATTTTTGTTTTGATCTTTATTATTTCCTTCAATTTTTGATTTTTGATATACTTTATTTTTCTTGTTTCTTGAGGTACAATATTAGGTTGTTTATTTCAGATCTCTGTTCTATTTTGATGCAGGCCTTATTGCAGTAAACTTCCCTCTCAGAATTGCTTTTGCTGTATCACATAGGTTTCGGTATGTTGTATTTTTATTTACATTTGTCTCAAAAAATTTTTTAATTTCCCTTTTAATTTCTTCTTTGGCTCATTAGCTGTTAAGGAAAATGTTGAATTTCCATGTATTTGTAAAATTTCTGAACTTTCTCCTGTCATTGATTTCTAGTTTTATACTATTGTGGTCAGAAAAGATATTTGATATAGTTCTTATTCTCTTAAATTTGTTAAGACTTGTTTTGTAGCCCAGCATGCAATCTACCCTGAAGAATCTTCCTGGTGCAATTGAAAAGAATGTATATTCTGCAGTTCTTGAATAGAATGTTCTGTAAATATCTGTTAGGTCTATTTAGTGTAGAGTGCAGTTTAAATATGTTACTTTGTTGATTTTTGGTTTTGATAATCTGTTCATTAATGTATGAGTAGTGTTGAAGCTCCCTAATGTTATTGTATTACACTTATTTTTTCCTTTTATATCTATTAATATTTGCTCTATATATTTAGGTCTTCCAATGTTAGTACTATATATTTAAGACCATTATATCCCCTTTCTAAATCATCCCGTTATCATTGTGTAATGACCCTTGTCTCTTTTTATCCTTTTATTATGCAAAGTTTATTTTAACTGATGAGAGTATAGCTACTCTTGCTCATTTTTTGTTTCCATTGGTATGGGGAGTCTTTTTCTATCCCTTTATGTTCAGTCTATGTGTGCCCTTAATATTGACGTAGGTGTTTTGTTGGCAGCACATAGTTGGTTCTTGTTTTTTTTTTTTAATCCATTCAACTATCCTATGTCTTTTAATTGGAGAATTTAATCCATTTACATTAAAGGTGTTTATTTATACATAAAAACTTTTTACTGCCATTTTGTTAATTGTTTTCTGTTGTTTTGTTAATCCTTTTTTTTTTTTTTTTTGAGATGGAGTCTCACTCTTTCACCAGGCTCGAGTGCAGTGGTGCAATCTCAGCTCACTGCAACCTCCACCTCCCAGGTTCAAGCAATTCTCCTGTCTCAGCCTCCTGAGTAGCTGGGACTACAGGCGTGTGCCACCACACCCAACTAATTTTTGTATTTTTAGTAGAGACAGGGTTTCACCATGTTGGCCAGGGTGGTCTTGATCGGTTGACCTCGTGATCTGTCCGCCTCGGTGTGAATGCTTTCTACCTTTTTTTCTCTCTTGCTGCCTTTATTTGTGGCTAAATAATTTTCTATAGTTATATGTTTTGATTCCTTGCTTTTTATATTTTGTGTACCTATTTTAAATTTTTGCTTTGTGCATACCATGAAACTTATGAAAAACATTTTATAGACATAACAAGTTTTTTTAAGCTATTAGAAGCAACTTATTACAATTAAAAAAGACTTTACATTTTAATTATACCATCCCCATTTTGGATTTTTGATGTCGCAATTTACATATTTTTGTATTGTATATATCTTTAGAATTATTGGTAATTATTATTATTTTAATAGTTTTGCTTTTTAACCTTCATACTACAAATGTAAGTAATTTACAAGACTTCATTATACAACTAGAGTATATTAAATTTGTATATTTTATCTATGAGTTTCACTTTCAAATGTTTTCATGATACTCACTAGTGTCCTTTCCTTTCAGCTTTAAGAACGCCTTTTAGCATTTTTTGTAAGATATATGGTGGTGAGGAACTCCCTCAGCTTTTGTGTGTGAGAAAAATCATTATCTCTCTTTCATTTTTGATGGACAGATCTGCCAGATGTAGTATTTTTGGTTGACAGGTTTTTTTATGTTTGGTTATTTTTTCTTTTTTTTTTGGCTTCTACCTTCAACACTTTATATATATTATCACACTCTCTCCTGGTTTGTGGGGTTTCTGCTAAGAAGTTCACTCATACTTTACACTCCTTTGCATGTGATGTGTTTCTTATCTCTTGCTATTTTCAGAATTTTTTTCTTCATTTATTATTTTTGATAGTTTGGTCATTATATGTCTTGGTGTAATACTCTTTGGGTTGAATTTTATTAGAAACCTCTGTGCTTCTTGTACTTGGATGTTGGCATCTATCCCTAGATCAGGGTAGTTTTCAACCATCATCTCTTTAAATATTCTTTCTTACCCTTTTTCTTTTTCTTCTCCTTCTACAACACCTGTTATGCAAAGGTTTGGTCTCTTGATATTATCCCATACATTTTTGTAGGTGTTCTTCATTTAAAAAAAATTATTTTGTCTTTTTTCTCCTCTATTATTTTTACTTTTTATTTTTTTTTAATTTTTAGATCCAGAGGTACAGATGACTAGATAATTTTAAATGCTCTGTCACCTAGCTTATTAATTCTTTTGATTCTGTTGTTAAAGGTTTCTATTTTTTTTCAGTTTAGTCATTGTATTTCTCATCTCTAAGACTTATTTCTAATTGTTATTTTTTCTATTTATTTGGTGATTTCATTTTTGTGTATTGTTTTCCAGATTTCATTAAATTTTTTACCTGTATATTTATCTAGTTCCTAGATATATATGAATTATTATTTTAATAGTTAAAATATATTTACATATTTTCTTTATATAAATATATATGGCATATGTGTGTATATATAAAATCTATATATATATTTATATATAATTATATATAGTTATATATTATACATATCATTTATATATATAATTATATATAAACATATATATAATTATATATACTTATATATAATTTATATATATAATTATATATAAATTATATATAATTATATATATAAATTGTATATATAATTATATATATAAATATATATAAGTATACATAATTATATATATAAATATATATATAATTATATATAAGTATATATAATTATATATATAAATATATATATGATCATATATAATCATATATGATTATATATATGATTATATATATGATCATATATATAATTTATATATAAAATATATATAGTTATATATAAAAATATATATATTTTATATATAAATTATATATTTTATATATATATATATATATATAAAAACTAACTTTTGGATTATCCAAAATAGTTCAATTTTTGTTTGCCATATACATATATATATATAGTAGTCCAATTTTTTTCAGGCATTTCATGATCTCCATTGATGGGGTCTGTTATTAGAGCCTTATAAATTTCTTTTTGTGATTTCTTGATTTCCTGATTCTTTGTAATCTTTGTGTCCTTGCATTACTGTCTGTGCATTTGAAGAGATAACCCCTCTTGTGGCCTTTACATGTGCTTGTTGGCTGGGATAAAATTTCACTATTTTGTTTAGCTTGTTACTACACCTGAGTCAGAGTCTGTTGTGATTTCTCTAGTTTGCTGGGCCACTGCCTTTGCTCTCATGTCAAATGGGTACACTAGCTGGGTCTCACTGGCCTGTGAGACTACTGGTTGCAGTCTACTACCAGGAATTGCTGTTTGCTGGGTATTGCAATGACTTCTGGTCACATGATGTATTTCCTGGGCAATTCTGCTATTTAAAATCTGCAGTTTGACAGGAGTGCAGATTGTGCTGTGAGGTTTGGTGGAATTGCTCAAGAAAGGCAGGAACCAAGGCAGTGCTCTTTTAAAATGCATGGTTGGGGACTGCCTCCCTTTCTGGGTGGCGTTCTGGGTAGAGCTGAATCTTTTGACAGAATTGGGCAGTTTGACCTTCTGAATTAAGCAGAACTAAACCCTGTTTTTTTTTTTTCAAAATGTAAACAGTTGGGTGTGTCCCCAACTAGGTTGGGTTGGTGAACAGGATTTTTGGCTGAGTAGAGTCTCTGCTTGCTTTGCTGGTTCAAGTTGGTGAAGCCTCTTTAATTCTCTGAGATCTGTGGAGGTGGAAATCTCCCTACCTGGGCTGGGACTTTGGGGCAGGTTTTATGTCTGTGTAGGGAGATTAGTAGTCTAGGAGCTGAAGTTAGATTGTGCTTCTTATTGTGCTTCTAAAGGAGACCAGCTCAGCTTTGCAGGTGTAATATGAAATTATCTCTGATCGAGTGCCAATCTACCAGGAACACCAAGATTCACACGCTGATCACTTTTTTTGTTCCTACCTGTACCCCAGATGATCAAGCCATTCCATGTCCCCTAGTGTTCCCTGGGAAGTTACATCACAGCAACCTTCCTAAGAAGCATCTCAGAATGCTAGGGAACCAGAATCACGGCCTGCGGTTCTCTTTTACCCATGAAAAAACTGTGAGCATAGAAAAAATCTCTCGGTCTGGAGCCATGCTAACTTGGAGGTGAAAGGTAGGGTTGCACAGTTGTAATAAGACTGTTCATCTTAACCTTCTAATGTACATTTCATTCAGTTCTGTGTATCATGTGGATGTCTCGGGCTCATTTCCAGATGTTAGGTTATTCAAAAGAATGTTCTAGTTTGCAGATAGTTGCTTGCTAAACTTCCTTTGTGGAAGAGTTTATTCCAACACCTCTTACCCTGCCATCTTGCTGACATAATTTTGCTATGCATTAGATTTGCCATATCCTTGCACCACTCAGTAGTTTAAACTTGAATAGCAGTTTATATTGTAGTTTAGTTCTTAAAATCTTTGCTATACATCTTGGCACCTGTTTGCACATATACAGATAGAGGATATTTTTTGGTTTACTTAGAATTAATGATCTCCTTTCTTCAGTCCTCTCCTGGAGGATTTTCTCCACTCTCTAACTCCCAAGAATATTTTTTCTTATTTATCTGATAAGAATGATGTGTTTGCCTCAGATTTTGAGTCCCTTGGTTTGTTGCATACATAGTTCAGCACAGTTTGGACCACCCTCTAGGCAAAGGGGAGGGAGAAGAGGGACAAGGAAAAAATTAAAAACAATTCTTACCACATTCTTTGAACCGCTGTGGGCAACTTTCTGGTTCCTCTGAGCAGTGGAATAGGAATTTCTTAGACTTTTGCATAATGTGATGCTGCTTCAGCTATATCACAGCTCCATTACTTCCTTTGGATGGGGGCTTCCTTTGGATGAAGTCCAGAAGAGGAGAGGAAGAATCAAAGAAAAAAAGTAAAACAAAACAAAATAAGGCTTTACTCCTTCCCACCAACCCTACTCTCCACTTCACAGAAGCCCACTTTTTTGTCCTCTTGCCAGAAAGAGATGCCATCTTTTGGGTTTTTGCTGTTGTTACTTATGTACTATGCAGTTCTGCAAATTGGGCCAGCTTCAGGCCAAAGCATGGAGATATAAGGGGAAACACCAAAACAAAATAAATAATTAAAGGGTTATTAATACTTTTTCAAGTTTTGATTTCTTTGCCTTATCTGTTTGATACAAGTTATTTGTCACAGCCCTCAAGTAGTTGCTTTTTGTATTTTGTTTAGAAAGTTAGTTGTAAGGTACGAAAGCTATAAACTTTAGGGGACCTACTCTATCTGGGAAGACACAAAAAGCAAATGAAGCTTTTCTAAAAATTAGAAACACTTTCTGCATAGGGGAGTTTTTAAGATGATATACTGTTATCTGCAAGGAAACAGTTGTAATACATTTATAAACACCTGATGAGCATGGATATAAATGGTCCCAGTGCAGGCCATGCAACACACAGTGTACACAGCCTGTATGAGGATGCTGCCTATTTGCTGATGTTAGAACCTCTATTTCTACACTCCATATATCTTATCTTCCCTATCCTTTCATATTTTCTATGCCATTGTCCTTCCTCCTTGGTTTCACAGATTTTTTTCCGTCTAGTCTGAACTTCTTTCTCTCTAATTTGTTCTTTATTTAACCTTTTCTGCTATTTATTCCTTTATTTTTGCTATTATTTTTAATCTTCATTCTTCCTTCTTCCATATGTTTCTTTTTATGACTTCCTCTTCTTGCTTCATATTACTAATGTCTTATATTACCTTATGGGAGATATTATTATAATAATTATGTTAACTTCTAGATTTTTCTATTCTAGTTATTCTGGTTCATGTTGTACATGTAACTTGATTGATGTCTTTCTTTTTTAGGAGTAGAAATTATGATGTGTCTAGTTATTTTAGCAAATAAGTTACATGGCTGACAGTATCACTTCTCCTGTCTGGTAATATGTAATGGAAAATATTTAGATCATATGAAACTTTGAAGCCCTTTGAATGGGTTGAGGCAGAAGACATAGAAGACTACTCATAGTCACTATTGGCTGTTAATAGTGACAGCCAACCACTCTGCTCGTTAAACACTTACAAGGAAGCTGAAGTTGGAAGAGATACTCTCTGAACTCCAGTTTAATATACCACTGGTTTTTTGTTGTTGTTGTTTTGTTTGTTTTTTTGAGATGGAATCTTGCTCTGTTGCCCAGGCTGGAGTGCAGTGGTGCAATCTCGGCTCACTGCAACCTTCGCCTCCTGGGTTCAAGTGATTCTCCTGTCTCAGCTTCCTAAGTAGCTGGGATTAGAGGTGCCCACCAACACGCCAGGTTAATTTTTAAATTTTGGGTAGAGATGGGGTTCCTGCATGTTGGCTCGGCTTGTCTGGAACTCCTGACCTCAGGTGATCCACCCTCCTCAGCCTCCCAAAGTGCTGGGATTACAGGTGTGCGCCACTGCACCCGGTCAATGTACCACTGTTTTTATTAAACGACATTCACATTGTGTTTTGATTCAAAACCTTTTATCTTTATATAGTATCTAAATAATTACACTCTTTACACTTACTATTTATTATTCAAATGATAACACACATTGTACATTTCATTTATTGTTTTCAGAAAAGAAAGTATTGTATACTCAAATGGATCTTAAACCCTTAAGTATTTAGTCAGCACCCTGCCTTATGCTTTATTTTTATCAGTTATTCTGTATACTTTTAGAGTAGGTGTTAAATGAATAGTTATTCATTGTCAAAGTATGTAATTAATTGGAAAACTGAATTTACTAACCATGTTGAATATTTAGGATTATCTTCTACATCATACTATCTTATCTTTCAGTTGGCTATAACCTTTACCTGCATTTAAAAGTATAGTATTATTATCATGACCATTTATAGCACTGTTGGAATAAAACATATTATTTAAATATGTGAAGAAAATGTAAGACGTGCTGGAGGCATGTCACCTCTAATTCAGCACTGTTTAATGAAAGGTTTTAACTAGGTAGCTATGCATTATCTGGTACTCTGAGCATTTCATCAGCAGAATATATTATTTGCATACTAATGAGGATACATGCTCTGGGACAGGCATTAAAGCACTTTTTCACATTTGCTTTCTTTTCTACAGACTTCTAGCCCAGGCTTCCTACATAAATATCTGCATTTCATAATGAAGGATAGGAACTATTTATGCATTGAATTCCTCTCAATAATACTTTACCATCTCAATTTTAAGAAATGGGTATTTTATCTTTTAAATAATCAGGTTATAATAGTTTCTAAAATATATATTGATTACGATATTACAGTTGAATTGTTGAACTGAATATTTCAATTGAAATATTGAATTGAAAATTACAATTTTCAAAGCCTCTGAAAACAAGGAAATGCAAAAGCAATCCTACAGATTGTCTACTGAGAAACATGGAAATAATACAAATAATATTAATGCATTCTAATTTATATAATTAAACAATTCTTAAATGTGTTCTTGGTGATTTGAGGATTAAAGGACTGAACTCCCAAACAATCATTTGAAGGAATCAAGTTCAGTGGGGGCTTTTAAAAATTAGGGAAAACTGCAAAAGATATTAAAGGTTCTTGACAAATTAGAATGGCTGCTATTTGTTTTCTCCAAAATCAGCTCTGGAGAAAATACAAAAGTCACAGCTGAGTTTGGATATAAGAAATGAAATAAAAATTATGAAAAACGCATAGGGGTTACAAAAACAGTTATAAACTGTGAACTCATTGAATGGGAGATGGTATTGCCTTTAGAAGATAATACATTGGGGAAATAATTAAGCTCTACTTTTGTCATACCCTTAAATTATTTGAGAAAACTTTCACAAACGTACCACAATAGAAATGACTAGCATCAGTCAGGCTCCTTAGTGTGAGTGAGATAATGCCATTGGGTTTTTATGAGCACAGGAATTTGTCTGGCTTCTTTGGAGAAATTTCAGAGCAATGTGTAAATAACTATCTGCTACCTTCTCTGCAGTGATATAACTGTACTTTGGCCTGTACTGAGTATAATCTATGGAAATGTAGTAAACATGGATTTGCAACCTCTGTTGAACATAGATTCAAATACTATTTTAGTTTTTACTAGTTCTGTAACCTGGGCAAGTTAGTTAAACTCTAATACTTGAGTTACAATGTCTATGATAGCATTAGCTTATATTGCACAATTGTTTGGCACTGTGTTTTAATTCAGTTCCATGACTCTCTTTAAAGAAAAGTAAAGGGGTGTGAAGAGTAGAGCTTAGATGCTCGGGTCCTGTTGATACCTTCTATGAATGCTCAGGTCCTGTTGTTACCTTCTATGAATGTCCTGGTTACAGCCTTTCTACTGACCTCTACCCAGTTCCTACAGACACTGAAGGCCCAAAGATGACTACATTGCTTAGTGGAGTTTTCCAAAATGAAGGACAACTCCCTTTGTGAGAATATTTTATTTGAAATGTACTTAAACAAAGCTACCTATGTTACAAAGTCTGAAAGGGATTTTAGTGAAAATCTTTTAGTGTTGTGACTTAGGTGTGTATCCAAAGGGGCCTCAGCTGAGAGACATGTTCAAAAAATGATCACTTTGTTATTCTCAGAGTTTCATCTCTCATCTAATGATTAGGGTCCTTCATGGGGCTGGAACATTTTATCTAGTTTTTCTTCTATAATGAATTATCTCCCTGATTAGTCCTCAGTCCCTAATGTGAAGACCATACCATTTAGTTGATATATAAACATGCTCCAAATGTTATGATGGTCAGTGAAATTTTTATATTATTTCTGACTTTTCTCTATAATACATACTGGGAAAATGAATATCTCCATTTTGAAGGCTTTTTGCTTACAATTGTTTATTGCTTTGGGATCACTTCCCAGAAATGGTATAACTTTTTCAAATAATATGAATATATTTATGATTTCAGATGAACTGTTTAGAAAAAAAAAACTGAATAAATTTATAGTTCCTCTAAAAGTGTAAGAATTGAGCCAATTCCACTGTACATGTACCATCACTGGGAATATTAAACAAAAGAAGAAAGAAAAATTATAGCAAAATGCAACTTAGCATTATGAAAATAACTTTGAAAAAAGATAATATGAATGATTTCTACAAAAACATAAAATATTATCTTAAAGCCAGAAAAATGTAACTATACCAATAAACTTAAAATACATTGGATTTTTGTCAAAAATTACAATACAAAAGGCAGTAATCCTAGAACATTATAAGTTGAATTATTTCAAATACATAATGATCATGCTAAAATCTGATGCATAGCATATAATTTTAAAAAAATAAAACAATAGCAATAAATTAAAACTACTTCTACTAGAAACAATTAGTATTCACAATTATCACCAATATCCAGAAAAAAATTAGCATAAAATTTTATTCATAAGAATAATGGGAAATATAAGCCATTATGACATTGATTTATATACAAAGGGCACTCAATTAATTCGAGCAAAATAGGCAATTAAGTTAGTATTACATATTTAGGGATATCCAATAAATATAGCAATTATTTTTATGGCAGTGGTGGAGATGGAGAAGCCCGTGACAATTCAGGTGAATAAGGAATATGTAAGATCAGTAATATAGAAGTAAAATAGAAGATCAATGTGAAATAACTTGTCTTTTCAGCTATTAAAACATATTAAACATCAACAAAATTGGTGCCTAAGTAGAAAGATTAATGTAAATATCAAATAAAATTTAAAAAAAATAATTAATGCATGACAACATGACATCCCAATTCTGTATTTAAAAAGATCAACAAAACAAAAAGAAACAATAAATAGTGTTGAAATAAGCTTATAGCCATCTGGACAACCACATTTAGAATTTTACTCACATCATATACTACCATAAGTTCAAAATGAATCAAGAATTTTAACTAAAACCATTAAAAAAATACAAGTTACAAAAAAACTTTGAATAATACTTTCAAATACAATATACCATAAATTAAATAAACCATTTACAAAAATGACTCAAAATTATATATTATAAAAATAACGTGCAAACACACATGCATACTTTAAAACTAAAGAATAAATTATACATAAAAGAAAACTAAGAATAGTACTTACAGTTTGTATCAGAGATAAGCTCCATAGCATTTAAATCTCCATAATATATAAAAACCTTTGATAATGAAAGATCTATAAGAAAAGAATATCAAACTTGTAGAAAAATGCATCAAGTCACATGATACAGATAAATAATTTAAAACGATCTTTAAACATAGGGAAACATAATCAACCATATATATTAAAAGAAACACAAAGTAAAATTACAGGGATACTGCTTTCATTAAAAATTGCCAGAATTTAAGTTTGACCACACTTTCTTGGCAAGGATGTAGGGAAACCAGCATACAAAATGTTATTTGTGGCAATAAAATCTGTTGTTATACCTACCGAAATTTTAGATATGTAAAGACATTGACCTAGCAATTCTATTTCCATAAACTTATTATATATTTAAGCAATTTCTTAGCATTATTTATTAGGCTTATTTGTCATTGAAAATTGCTCTGAACAAGTGATATATTCAGCAATAGAGAATAGTTAAACAAATCATGATATGACCATAGAGTGGAATAGCTAGACAAAGCTTCAAAAAGGGTGAGAACATATTTTAAGGTAAGTCTGAATCCAAAATTCCAAATCTAAATATTTACAATTATTAGAAATTACAAATGCATGCAAATAAATACAAATAAATCAGATAAGAAAATGAAGGTAGAATTTAATACTGTAAATATATGCATGATTCAAAAGTGAAGACATTTTTTGAAACTTTGTTTAACCAAGAAAGCCAGTGATTTCCATAGATAGATTTACATTAAGATTACAAAAATTAAAAAATAATGACACTTTCCCAAAATAAATTAGTTGAACATAGAAGAATGTCAAGAAAGTGTTTGAAAATAGATATTGGGAATATAATTAAGGTGGCTTTCCAAATTTGGTAATAACAGAATATTCAATAAATGTAGCCTGGGTGCAGTGGTGGCTCATGCCTTTAGTTTCAATACTTTGGGAGTCTGAGGTGATAAATCAGATATAGTGGTATGTGCTTGTGGTCCCCATTATTCAAGAGGCAGAGGTGAGAGGATCACTTAAGCCAAGAAGATCAAGGCTGCAGTGAGCTATGATTATGCCACTGAACTCCAGCCTTGGTGACAGAGCAAGACTCTGTCTCAAAATAAAAAACAATGTATAAAAAATTTAATAAATTGATAACTATACCTTCATCTTATACTCCTATTAAATAAATAATATTTTTTCATAGTGGTGGTAATAAAGTAAAGTTAATATTTGTTGGCCATTGCTACATGCTAAATATATTCCCTAAATTACCTTACTAATACCCAAATATCTATGGGTTTATAAAGCTCTTTTGCAAATCAAATTGATATTCAAACATTCAAATAGTTAAACTACGAAAGTTTAAAAGTGCCAGTGAAAAAGGGCACCATGTTGCTTGATTTAAAAAATTTTATTTATAGTATCACTAAGTCTCATTTGGCATATAAATGGAGTAAAAATGATCACTGTGTGTGTGTGTGTGTGTGTGTGTGTGTGTGCGTGTTTCTTTTGTTCTTTCTGTATGTGATGGATTCTTTTCATCACTGACTTCACGATAAAGAGATGTGGGCAATTTACCTGGCCACCATCTTTAAGACAGATAGTTAACAGCAGCACTTTCTCCAAAACATTAAACAAAATCCCAAGGTTAGGGCCTGATTGGTTCTTTTTATGGCACTTACTAATCAACAGCGTTATCATTATGGCCTCAGAATGGTTATACCGATGAAGTTAAGTCTCAGCTACATGCTACAACTTACATGTAGCTGGATGGTGATGGGAAAAAATAGGGGTACTGTAACCCAGAATAGAGGAAAGCTGACTCTATCAGAGGAAAAACAAATAATCATGCCAAATATGTGTGACAACTCAAGTATAAACATCACAATATTAAGAATATTCTTAAATCACTGAGATATTAACTAACACCCCTCCAAAAATATCAGTTAAGAAAATAATATGAATGTTTCTGCTAAAAAAAAATGTAAAATGCCAACGTAAGGGGTGGGGCGAGGCGTGGGCTCTTTAGTAGTGACTAATGGAACAGCTAAGTAAACTAAAAAGTGATAGAAATTTAGGCCTATAAATTGATCTGTAATACTTTGATCTTCTTAAAATATAATATTCTTGATGATAAGAGAATGCAAAATGGGTACTTTTTGTTGCTAATAGAGGTGTAAAATACTGCCTATCCATCTATACACATATCAATAATATTAATATCTATGCACAGGCACCAATATATGCATAAGTATATGGATATATGCATGTGTGGGAGTGAGTAGCTAGGAAAAATTTGATAATGTCTTTGAAGACCGAAAAATCTCATCTACCATGGTTTTTAAAAACTTTTTTTTAAACTTTAGATACAGGGAGTACATGTGCAGGTTTGTTACTTAGGTATATTGCTCTCAGGCAGTCAGCAGAGTATGCAATATGTAGTTTTTTGACCCATAATCCCCTATCTCCCTCCTCCCTCTAGTAGTCTGCAGTGTGTATTATTCCCATGTTTATGTTCATGGGTGCTCAGTGTTAGCTCCCACTTTTAAATGAGAACATGCAGTATTTGGTTTTCTGTTCCTGCGTTAATTTCTTAGGATTGTAGCCTCCAGGCCCATCCATGTTTCTACATAGGGCATGATTGCATCCTTTTTTTGGCTGTGTAGTATTTCATGATGTGTATATACCACAGTTTCTTTATTTAATCCCTCATTCCTGGGTAACTATGTTGATTTCATATATTTGTTATTGTGAATAGCATGGCAATGACTATCGAGTGTGTGTCTTTACGGTAAAATAATCTATTTTCCTTTGGGTTTATACCCAGTAATAATATTGCTGTGTCACATGGTAGCTCTGTTTTTAGTTCTTTGAGAAATCTCCAAACTTCTTTCCACAGTAGCTGGACTAGTTTACATTCCCACCAGCAGTGTATAAGTGTTCCCTTTTCTCCACAGCTTTGCCAGCATCTGCTATTTTTTGAGTTTTAATAGCAGCCATTCTGACTGATGTGAGATAGTATCTCATTATGGTTTTGACTTGCGTTTCTCTGATGATTAGTAATGAACATTTTTCCATATGTTTACAAGTCGCTTGTATGTCTTTTGAGAAGTGTCTGTTCATGCCCTTTGTTCATTTTTAAATGGGATTATTTGTTTCTTAATTGTTGATTTATTTAAATTCATTGTAGATTCTGGTTATTAGACCTTTGTCAGATGCATAGTTTGTGAGTATCAATTGAGAGAGAAAGAATGTTGATTTGAGAAATATATACATATATAATAATTATGGAATTTACTTCTATTTATAAAATATCTAGTAATTTCATTCTACAATTGAGAAAACAGTGGGAAAATCTCCAACTGGACTATAGGAAGATATTAGACAGTGAGGTCAGAGTTAACTCCAGAAGAGAAGTCCTGTTAAGAGTGTCCATAGTCAAGGGATTTTGATTGTTTGAAGTCCATCAGGATTCATTTTTACCATTACAGACATAAGGTCAAGTTAGCAGCCTTATTAAATCTAAGCACAAATATGATGGTGGATCTGACTTTTATTATGCTACCTGTAAATGTCATAAGTATCACACCCTCTGTTGCAAGATTGAAGCTGACTTTGGGGCCAATCAACTGACTCATATGCATAAAAAAGAAAGGTGTAAAGTCACACAAAAAGGAATGCGTAAAGTCACACAAAAAGGAATGCTAGGATTGATAACAGTGATGTAATCTATCAACCTCCAGTAATAAGACCAAAAACTTAGGATGAGTTCCATGTTCTGATACTAACACTCTGGTCACTTTAGCAACACACTTAACCCCTGAAGTATTCACGAAACTATTACATTTTTTAATTGTGTACTACTTTTATTTCAAAATCACCCTTTTTCTCTAGCTGTTTCTCAATGTCTTCCCATATATGTATATGTGTTTTGTGTGTTTGATTGGTTTGGGTGTGAATGTGTGCATGTGTGTGTATATATATATATAGCTGTGTGTATATATATGTGTGTGTGTGTGTATATATATATGTATGATCAAATGGAAATTGGAATTCATGTATATTAAATAAAATATAGTTTGAGATTTAACAACTGCCATCTATTCATTTTGTGTATTTTGTATCACACAGAAATGATTCATGACTAGTTTCCACTAATTTTGCAACTGTATTTTCACAAGCAGTTTTCATAATGTTTCTTGCTCACAATGTATAAATGAGTCAAACATTCTATAGTGATACTAGAAAAAACAAAGATCATTAGCCTGGCTTAAAAGGTGATTTAAACTATATCTATCTGGTTTAAAATATATCTATCACTGGCATGGGAAATACTCCAGCAACATATTATTTTATGTTACAATAGTAACAGTTTTAACTCAATCTTACAAATTAGTTCAGTTCATTAATTTTTTAAAGCTTTATAACATAAAATTTTTAATTAAATTAGGAAATTCCAGTAACTTCCTTTTGGTATTAAATAAAGAAAACAAGCTTTCATATTTAACTGAATTATAGTTGAATATAATTTATTTTTAGTTTTTTTGTGTGTGTCAACCTTGGGCAAGCCACCAAATTTATATTGATTACAGGGGTTTATAGGTTCTTGTTCATCAGCTAATGCATCTCTGCCTCAGAAGTATTGATATGGTTTTTCTGTGTCTCCACGCAAATTTCATCTTGAATTCCCACGTGTTGTGGGAGGAACCCGGTGGGAGGTAATTGAATCATGAGGTCAGGTCTTTCCCATGCTGTTCTTGTGGTAGCGAATAAGTCTCACGAGATCTAGCCTTATTATAAGGGGGAGTTTCCCTGGCCAATCTCTCTCTTTGCTGCCATCTATGTAATATGTGACTTGCTCCTCCTTTCCTGTTGCCATGATTGTGAGGCCTCCCCAGCCATGTGGAACTGTAAGTCATTAAACCTCTTTCTTTTGGAAATTGCCCAGTCTCAGATATGTCTTTATCAGCAGCATGAAAATTGACTAATACAAGTATCAATAGGGAAAATATTACAACTGAAATATTTTTGTTTACTGTCTCATCTAAAACATGGGCAGAGTGAGATTAAACAGAAGTTGTGCAGTTGTTTCCCAAGAGGGGAAAATGACAAAGACGTAGTATTCAGATAAAATTAGTTGAAGGAAATAAATGATCACCATAGTGGTGGAGAAGAAAAAGTGAGCTGAATGGTAAAATCTTCAAGAAATGAGGTTGAAAGAACCCTAATTCTATAGAAGGCTACAATGAAGAGGACCAGCAGCTTGAATAAGCTTGTTGGCATGAGCTGTAAATGAGCTGGAGGTTTAGGATATTAAAATGGACGGTAAATATGAAAGGGTCAATAAGGAATAAGGAGAATACCTACCCCACCTCCAGGCTCTGTGGAGTATTGACTACAGAAACAAAAATGAAAACAAACAGAAAACAAGCTTCACTATAAAACATCTTCAGAGAAGAGCTGAAAATATAAATTATTGTACTAATGACTGAAAATGCATGCCAGAGATACAGAGGAAGAGTTATTGGTTTGGAAAGGAGTAAGGAATTGAGTTAGACTAAGAAATTATAGACCTAAATCGAGATGAGAGTCCATAAAGGAGGGAAAGTAGTAAGGATTTTAGAGGTATTTCACCAAGACATTTTTTCCTAAAGTTAAGGCACAAGTTTTGAAAGTAACAAAAAACGGTGAAAATTAAGATAGACCCTAGTGAGAATAATTGTAATGATGGTTAATGCTTCTATATTTATTTTAAACAAAATGTTTACATTTCCATTATGAATATTTAACTTTTATTTAGTTCTCATTAATTTACAAAGCCTTTCACATAGTCCTTTCTACTTGATCCCCATAACTCAGAGGTAGAAATAAGGTAACAACCTACACTATTTTCTAAGGTCACCAAGTTAGTGAGTAGACAGCTAAATATTTGAATCTGGGCTTTCTTCTGTAATAAAACTTTATTTTCTTTTTTTTAAGCATCACCTTTGTGTATAATAAGCCAAGAATCCCTGGCTCATTAAAAAAGACCTCTCAATTTACAAACAGAGAAGGTTAACTTACTTTAAAAATCTAATACAACCTCAATGTTAACATGATTGCATATACTATGAGCAACAGCATTTAATAATCATATGATATTTGGATATGCTTTGCTAATGATATGTGCATTTATTATATATTAAAATCAGGACACGCAGATATTATTTAAAAATTATCAAATGTATAGAACTAAATCTATATCAATAAAAATAACAATTATGTGCTGTCTAAATAAGTACAGAGACATCCTGATTAAAAACATCTTCTGGCCTTGAAAATTAAATATAAAGACTGTAAAAGCATACAAGTGGTTATGATGAAGATCACAGTCTTTATATTTAAGTCTTGTTTAATAAAAGCTTAGAATATATAGCAAAATATTGTTTATGATTGGTGTGAAAAATTGAAAAGGAAATATATAATAGGAAAATATGAAATAACAGTTGTTTGGAGGGTAGATTTATGGGTAATTTTCTTTGCCTTTTTAGAAAAGTTTCATCATATTTTTGTCATCATGTTTGAATTATTTAAGAAAAAGGAATATAAATTTTGATGCTACCATCTTGTTAATTAAGGGTATCTTTGCATGATTGTACCTATTGGATATTTTTCACTTGCATTTGCCATTACTCATTCTCTGAGCTTTTACTTAAAGTTGTGATTTTGAACATAAATCTAGTGCTTGTAGTGATCCTTAACCCCACTCTGCAAATGCAGAAAAGGTTCTTTCTGTTTTACGTCTATTATTATTTACTAGATTCTGTCAGGCCAGTTATCCCTCTTCTGCCTGTCGAAAAGTGTGTCCAAAGGAGTATGAGTGTTGACCCTTGGTTCATATGCATAATTGTGGAGAATAGAGAGTGTTTATGATATTAGAGCTGACAACAGCCATTAATCCAAGTAACAAGAACAAGAACAGCAACCCTCAGGTAAGTTTTAGCATAACTCAAGTTGTGTTATTTGTGACATTATCCTTTATATTCACAGATGGTAGATGAATTATTCACAATACAATTAAAAATGCACACTCTTAGTTTTACTTTCTTTAGCAATTTAAATGATCAATGTATAGTATGATTTAACAAGCTCCTTCAAAATACCTTAAAATGGGCAGTTTGTTAATTATCCCAGGTTACAATTTAAATCAGAAATGAAAAAAAAGTATTATAATAAAGTTCTATACAACTTAAAATATGCAGTTAGTGGGACAATTTAAAATCATCTGGAAAAAAGACATCAGTTTTTACTATGAAATGCAAAATATATGAGATCTAATTAAATTTCAATCACTTTCAATAATCAGCACTTGGCAATTTCATAATTGCTTATTTTGTGCTATTTAAGTATCATTTACTTATCAAGGGTAAGTAACACATTCTGTAGTACTACTAAAAGCAGGATTTATACCTCTTGTGTAATGCTAGGATTTTTCAGGCAATCTTTTTCAGTTTAAGTAACAACAAACACACCTCACTAAAATAAATACTCTAGTTGATTTATAGAAGTAATACATGTGAAAGAAAAAGGAATAATTCATGATCAGACCAAAATGATCTTGACCTCAAAGGATTATTTGGGAAAATATATTCATACTGATATATGACATGAAAGCTCTAGAACACATGGCTTCCATCTGCTTGTATTTACTCTTGATGATGTTAAGACACAATGACCATCCAAACTCCTATCCATCCAATCTCCTGAGTAAACATCCATCCAATCTCCTGAGTAAAGTGTCTAGTCCATCAATCATGGGCATACATGTTTCAAGATAGGTGTCAGATGTTAGGAAAAAGAAATACTGGTGATTTTAGGTAATTGCATTATATTTAATATTATATTGATTATGAAATCAAAAGGAAACTGAACAGCAAGTATACCTTGGTATAAAATATACCATTCTGAAGCATGAATTATTTCCTTTTCCCTCACTCACATTATTTCTGTAAATCCACTAGAGTATTTGTTTTAGTGAGATTTTTTTTTCACTACTTAAACTGAGGTATATAAAATATACTACTCTTTTATGAATAATTTAGAAAAGCCTCTGAATTGCAAAAGAAAGATAAAAAGCCAATATTTAACACGTATTTTTTTTACAAATTTAGAAAACATAGGGAAAATGGGTAACATTATTAAGAAACAAATTTAAGATTACTTAATAAAAATGACATATGTTTGTTTTAATTTTCCGTAAAGAAAATAATATCTTCAAGTGAAAACATTGTTTACGGAAAAGAGACATTATATTTTTTTTACCTACAAACATATTTTATATTTTAAAATGTATACTTTTCATTATATTTAGGAATTCTTCTAATGTCAACATATTCAGTAATGTAAAAGTTGGATTTGTTTTCCTATTTATTTCAGTTTTATTAATCACAGCAGAAAAATAATAGTGAGTTTATTAAGTATATTAATAAGTATATTAAGAATAGTGAGTTTAAATGTAATTGTATTATTAATAATTTTGAATATTAAAAAAGAAATAGTTATCTAATGTACAATGTAAACAAGTTTAAGTTTAAAGATATATTTGGATTGTGATATGTATTTATACAAAGTGATTTGATGAACTCAATAAGTGGTTTTATGATTATAATTATACAAAAAATGTGTATTCTTTTAATATTCATTCAAATTAATATAGAGGAAAACAGAAAGACCATTTGGCTTTACTAGCAGTTTTAAATATAAACTGAATAATAATTCTATAGGTGGTATGTCTATAGATTTTCACTGCCATTAAATTGCTGGCCAATTTATTAATTGGATATTTGTCTTCCCAGGATGCTAAAAATTTGTTTCAGAGTAATAAATAGATATATAAATCCTTCATGTGTCTTTAAAAGAAAGGAGGCTTAAAACCAGCTGGGATTCCTTTGGTTCATTTCCTAGTTGCAAGTGTCAAGGAGCATCCCCTCCTCCCAAGGCTTCTGTGATGTGCGAATGTAAATTGCCATTCACTTTTGACAGGCTGCTGTTCCGAGGAATGTGGCTATTTATTTCAACAGGGAATTTTTCCAGGTTACTAACCTTTCTAGTGTTGAAATGAATTTTCTAATACACAACTGACCTTTCAACTGTCTAACCTCTAAACACATAAACAATTTTCTTTCCTATTTTTTAAAATTGCTCTCCATGTATTATTTGTTGTGCTTCTCTCTATGTATGCATTTTCTTTCCCAGAGGTAGATGGAAGAATTAATAGGAGGGAGAAGTTACACTTGTGAATTCATAATCCATAAAAAATATTTTTAAATGATTACATTTTCTTTCACTAATGAGGAAGGATTTCATTTTAATTCCTATAGTAAACTTTATACTTTTTATGTATTATTTCACCTGTTTTTCTTTGTTTTGAATCATACAATTTGTGAGTAATAAATCTAAATCATTTAAAGAGCTTGTAACATGAAAATATGGTCCATGTGGTAGACAGAAACTGCAAAAATAATTAATTTTTTATGACCAGGAGTTAAAAATATAAATGGATAGACAAAATAAAGATGATTATTAAGAGAAAAAGATTTTCTGCTGAAAGATGTCAGGTATTAAAATGTATAAAAAGTGAGTTCTATGTCATAATAACTTTAAATACATATATGTCCTAAAGTTAGCTTCTTATTTAATGGGAAAACACTAGAGTCATCTTCACCAAAGTTAGTAATAAGTCAAGAAAGCCCACAGTTTTCATTTTTATTTAACAACTTATTGGAAATATTAGCCTATGAAATTAGGAAAAGGGTAATATATGCAGGCATAATGTTCGTAAAAGAACAAATGTTATTATCTATATGGATGACATGATTTCCATCACCAATTCCTTTGTGTTGCTCATGTAGTTTAACTCAAAGCAAAAAATTATATATATATGTGATACATATATTATATATATTATATATAAATACAGGATGCAAAATCAACAGACAAAACTAAAGAACTCAAAAAACAGAAATTTTAAAATCATAATGAAAGAAAAGAGCTTATTTACCATGGGCATGCAATTCTATCAGAATACCAATGACATTCTTTATAGAAATAGTAAAAATCATTTTAAAATTTGTATGGAAGCACAAAAGATCCCAATTAGCTAAAGCAATCTTGAGCAAAAAAGAACAAAGCTGGAGGCATCATACTACCTGACTTCGGAATCTACTACAAAGCTATAGTAAACAAAACTTCATGTTATTGATATAAAAACAGACACATAGATCAATGGGACAGAATAGAAAATCCAGAAGTAAGTCTACCTTTTTACAGCCAAATGGTTTTCAACAAAGGCATCAAGAATACACACAGAGGAAAAGACACCCTCTTCAATAAATGGTGCTGGAAAAAATTAAATTTTATATGCAGAGGAATGAAACTGGACCCTTGCCTCTCACCATGTACAAGAATAAAGTTAAGATGAATTAAAGCCAAATGTGAGAAACAAACTATAAAACTGCTAGAAGAAGACATTGGGGAAACACTTCAGGACATTGGTCTGGACAAAGATTGTATAGCTAAGACTTCAAAAGCCAGGCAACAAAAATAAAAATAGATGAAATTATATTAAACTAAAAAGCTTCTGCACAGCAAAGGAAACAGGCAAGAGAATGAAGAGACAACATGTTAAATAAGAGAAAATATTCGCATCTGACTGGGGACTAATATACAGAAAACACAAGGCATTCAAACAACTCCACAACAAAAAGAAAAGACTTACAATCCCATTAAAAAGTGAAGTAAGGACATGAAAAGATATTTCTCAAAAGAAGATGTACAAAGGACCAACAAATATATGAAAAAATGCTCAACATTACTCACTAATCATCAGGGAAATGCAAATCAAAACCACAATAAGACAGCATCTTACACAATTAGAATGGCTGTTATTAAAAGATAAAAAATAGTGGGGTACAGTGGCTCATGCCTGTAATCCTAACACATTGGGAGGCTAAGGTGGGAAGACTGCTTGAGGCAGGAGTTCCAGACCAGCCTGGGCAACATAGTGAGACGCCATCTCTACAAAAAACCACCAACAAAATTAGCTAGGCATGGTGGTGCATGCCTGCAGTCCTACCTACTTGGGTGGCTCAGGTAGGAGGATTGCTTGAGCCTGGAAGGCTGAGACTGCAATGAGCCATGACCACTGCCACTGCACTTTAGCCTGGGTGACAGAGTAAGAACCTGTCTCAAAAAAATAAGAATAACAAAAATAACAACAAAAAAACAAACTTTGGCAAGGATGCAGAGAAAAGGGAACATGTATACACCACTGGGGGCCATGGAAATTATTACAGTCACTATGAAAGAATGGTCTGGAGATTTCTTGAAAAGTGAAAAAATTAAACTACCATACCATCCAACAATCACACTACTCAGGATTTATCCAGAGAAAAAGAAATCAGTATATCAAAGGGATACCTGCATTGCCATGTTTATTGCAACACTGTTAACAATAGCAAACATAGGAAATCAACTTAAGTGTCCAGCAAGAGATGAATGGATAAAGCAAATGTGGCATATATAAACAATGAAATATTATTTAGCCATAGAAATAAATAAAATCATGTCATTTGCAGCAATGTAGGTGGAACTGAAGGTCCTTATGTTAGGTGAGATAAACAGGTATAGAGAGATAAATATAGAATGTTCTCATTTATATGTGTAAGTTAAAAAACTGATCTCATGTGAGGATAGAATGGTAGATACCAGAAGCTAAAAAAGGCATGTGGGGAGGTGGAGGGATAGAGAGAGGTTGGCTAACAGGTAGAAACCTACAATTAGATATAAAGAATACATTCAATGATAATGTTCGCTAGCAGAATAGTGTGACTATAGTTAAAAATAATGTACTGTATATTTCAAAACAGATAGAAGAGAGGATTTGAAATGTTCCCAACACTTAGAAATAATAACAACTTGAGGTGATGGACACCCCTAATACCCTGACTTCCTCACTTTAACAAAACATCAAATGCATGCCATATATATGTGCAAATATTTGTATCAATATAAAATAGTAATGTAATGAAATAAAGAAATGTAGAACTTTAGTATATAATAAAGGTAATGTCCTAAATTGCTGGGGCCAAAATAATGTTGTTAATAAATGATGTTAGGACAACTGGATAGATACTTAGTAAGGGATAAAATAGCATCCATTTTTAAGATATACCAGTAAACCTTAGTGGATAAGATATTATGTAAAAATGAACATTATAAATGTAGCCGAAGAAAACATGACAGCATTCCTTTAAATTGTATTTTTTTTTTTTTTTTCCTGTCGCCCAGACTGGAGTGCAGTGGTGCGATCTGGGCTCACTGCAAGCTCCACCTCCAGGATTCACGCCATCCTCCTGCCTCAGCCTTCCCAGTAGCTGAGACTACAGGCGCCCGCCACTATGCCTCGCTAATTTTTTGTATTTTTACTTTTTATTTTTAATTTTTTTATTTTTTATTTATTTTATTTTATTTTATTTTTATTTTTGTTGTTGTTGATTTTTTTTTTATTATACTTTAAGTTTTACGGTACATGTGCACAATGTGCAGGTTAGTTACATATTTATACATGTGCCATGCTGGTGTGCCGCACCCACCAACACGTCATCTAGCATTAGGTATATCTCCCAATGCTATCCCTCCCCCCTCCCCCCACCCCACAACAGTCCCCAGAGTGTGATGTTCCCCTTCCTGTGTCCATATGTTCTCATTGTTCAATTCCCACCTATGAGTGAGAATATGCGGTGTTTGGTTTTTTGTTCTTGCGATAGTTTACTGAGAATGATGATTTCCAATTTCATCCATGTCCCTACAAAGGACATGAACTCATCATTTTTTATGGCTGCATAGTATTCCATGGTGTATATGTGCCACATTTTCTTAATCCAGTCTATCATTTTTGGACATTTGGCTTAGTTCCAAGTCTTTGCTATTGTGAATAGTGCCACAATAAACATACGTGTGCATGTGTCTTTATAGCAGCATGATTTATAGTCCTTTGGGTATATACCCAGTAATGGGATGGCTGGGTCAAATGGTATTTCTAATTCTAGATCCCTGAGGAATCGCCACACTGACTTCCACAATGGTTGAACTAGTTTACAGTCCCACCAACAGTGTAAAAGTGTTCCTATTTCTCCACATCCTCTCCAGCACCTGTTGTTTCCTGCCTTTTTAATGATTGCCATTCTAACTGGTGTGAGATGATATCTCATTGTGGTTTTGATTTGCATTTCTCTGATGGCCAGCGATGGTGAGCATTTTTTCACGTGTTTTTTGGTTGCATAAATGTCTTCTTTTGAGAAGTGTCTGTTCATGTCCTTTGCCCACTTTTTGATGGGGTTGTTTGTTTTTTTCTTGTAAATTTGTTTGAGTTCAATGTAGATTCTGGATATTAGCCCTTTGTCAGATGAGTAGGTTGCGAAAATTTTCTCCCATTTTGTGGGTTGCCTGTTCACTCTGATGGTAGTTTCTTTTGCTGTGCAGAAGCTCTTTAGTTTAATTAGATCCCATTTGTCAATTTTGTCTTTTGTTGCCATTGTTTTTGGTGTTTTAGACGTGAAGTCCTTGCCCATGCCTATGTCCTGAATGGTAATGCCTAGGTTTTCTTCTAGGGTTTTTATGGTTTTAGGTCAAACATGTAAGTCTTTAATCCATCTTGAATTAATTTTTGTATAAGGTGTAAGGAAGGGATCCAGTTTCAGCTTTTTACATATGGCTAGCCAGTTTTCCCAGCACCATTTATAAAATAGGGAATCCTTTCCCCATTGCTTGTTTTTCTCAGGTTTGTCAAAGATCAGATAGTTGTAGATATGCGGCGTTATTTCTGAGGGCTCTGTTCTGTTCCATTGATCTATATCTCTGTTTTGGTACCAGTACCATGCTGTTTTGGTTACTGTAGCCTTGTAGTATAGTTTGAAGTCAGGTAGCGTGATGCCTCCAGCTTTGTTCTTTTGGCTTAGGATTGACTTGGCGATGCGGGCTCTTTTTTGGTTCCATATGAACTTTAAAGTAGTTTTTTCCAATTGTGTGAAGAAAGTCATTGGTAGCTTGATGGGGATGGCATTGAATCTATAAATTACCTTGGGCAGTATGGCCATTTTCACGATATTGATTCTTCCTACCAATGAGCCTGGAATGTTCTTCCATTTATTTGTATCCTCTTTTATTTCATTGAGCAGTGGTTTGTAGTTCTCCTTGAAGAGGTCCTTCACGTCCCTTGTAAGGTAGATTCCTAGGTATTTTATTCTCTTTGAAGCAATTGTGAATGGGAGTTCACTCATGATTTGGCTCTCTGTCTGTTATTGGTGTATAAGAATGCTTGTGATTTTTGTACATTGATTTTGTATCCTGAGACTTTGCTGAAGTTGCTTATCAGCTTAAGGAGATTTTGGGCTGAGACGATGGGATTTTCTAGATATACAATCATGTCATCTGCAAACAGGGACAATTTGACTTCCTCTTTTCCTAATTGAATACCCTTTATTTCCTTCTCCTGCCTAATTGCCCTGGCCAGAACTTCCAAGACTATGTTGAATAGGAGTGGTGAGAGAGGGCATCCTAATAGACATCAACAGAACTCTCCACCCCAAATCAACAGAATATACATTTTTTTCAGCACCACACCACACCTATTCCAAAACTGACCACATAGTTGGAAGTAAAGCTCTCCTCAGCAAATGTAAAAGAACAGAAATTATAACAAACTATCTCTCAGACCACAGTGCAATCAAACTAGAACTCGGGATTAAGAAACTCACTCGAAACTGCTCAACTACATGGAAACTGAACCACCTGCTCCTGAATGACTACTGGGTACATAAGGAAATGAAGGCAGAAATAAAGATGTCCTTTGAAACCAACGAGAACAAAGACACACATACCAGAATCTCTGGGACACATTCAAAGCAGTGTGTAGAGGGAAATTTATAGCACTAAATGCCCACAAGAGACAGCAGGAAAGATCCAAAATTGACACCCTAACATCACAATTAAAAGAACTAGAAAAGCAAGAGCAAACACATTCAAAAGCTAGCAGAAGGCAAAATAACTAAAATCAGAGCAGAACTGAAGGAAATAGAGACACAAAAAAACCTTCAAAAAATTAATGTATTTTTAATAGAGACGGGGTTTCACTGTGTTAACCAGGATGGTCTCGATCTCCTGAACTTGTGATCAGCCTGCCTCGGCCTCCTAACGTACCGCGCCAGGCCCATTCCTTTAAATTCTATATGGAGAAAAACATTTTCAATTACATTTCTAAATTCAGATTCAATAATAATGATTAATAATTGAATATATGAAATTTTTAAATCGTTTCATTTTGGAGAGTAAAAGAGTTAGCAATGACAAAGACAAATAACTAACTGGGTACAAATATTTGCAACATGTGCTGCAAAATAAAAGGGCCATTAACCTTAACGTGTAAAACAAAATTTCTAAAAACCTTGAGGGAAGACTAAAAGCTCGTGATAATAAACAATGCCTGAATTTAATTTTTAAGATGTTCAAAAATATATTAAAAAGGTCTATATATATATGAAAAGATACTAAAAATCACTTATAAGTGAAATACGAATTATAACTACGCTTAGTCACAATGTCTCACCTATCGGACTGACAAAACTCAAAGACATGACAACATACACTGTTGGCCAAGTTGTGAGAAAATGACGTATCACTGCTTTTAGGACTGTAAAATGATACAACCCTGATGGAGAACAATTTGGCAATATCTATCAAAACTACATATGTACTTAACATTTGGTTCATAAATTACACTTCTCAGAATTAACCCTGGAATTTTGCTTAACGCATTAGGTGAAAAAAAAATGCCACTAAAAAGGTCTAATTTACTGGCTTTGTGTAGGAAATAACAAGAAAGAAATATATATGAACATACCTGCTCAGATTTGCAAAAAAAGTATTGGCTGCTTACAAGAAATAGGATAAAAAGAATGGCAGAGAGAGGAGAAAGACCAATACCTGACTTAAATGTTTTCAATTTTTCTGTTTTTGTAATTGAGGTGAAATTCACATAACATAATAAAGTGAAAATTCAATGGCATGTAATACATTCGCAATGTTGTAAAAACACTATTTCTATTTATTCCCAAAATATTCTCCTCACCCCAAAAGGAATCACCATACACATTAAACGGTTACTTCCAATTCTTCCTTCTCCCCATCCCCAATTCCACACAACTGGGAACTACGAATCTGCATTCTGTCTCAACTGATTTATCTCTTCAAGATATTTCATATAAATTGAATCCTATCATAGATACGTGTGTCCTTTCATATCGGTCTTCTTTCCCTTATCATAATATTTTGGGGGCTGATCCACATTGTATCATTCACTTCATTCCTATTTATGGCTAAAATTATATATCATCCATTGATGAATATTTGGGTTGTTTCACTTTTTGGCTATTGTAAATAGTGCTGCTATGAACATGCATGTACATGTATTTGTTGGAGTAACTATGTTCAATTCTTTTGGATGTACACCTAGGAGTGAAATTGCTGGGTTATGTGGTAATCCTGTTTAACTTGAGGACTCACAAAACTGCTTTCCACAGAAGCTCTACCATTTTACATTCCTGACGCAAAGTGAAAGAATTACAATTTTTCCATATCCTCAACAATGCTTGTTGTTATATGTCTTCTTGATCATGGCCATTCTAGTGGGTGTTAATTAGCATTTACATTTGCAATGTGATTTGCATTTACATTTCCCTAATGACTAATGATGTTAATATTTGCAAATATTTTCTATCATTCTATAGATTTTCTTTTCACTTTCTTGACAATGTTCTTTGATGCACAAAATATTTCCCATTTTTATTAAGTCCAATTTATCGAATTTTTGTTGTTGTTGCTGATACTTATGGTTTTATAGCTAATAATCTATTGCCAAACCGAAGGTTGTGTGTATTTATCCTTATGCTGCCTTCTAAGTGTTGCATGGTTTTAGTTTCTATGAGTAGGGCATTGATCCATTTTGAATTAATTTTTATGTGGTGTGAGATAGCAGTCTAACCAAATTATTTTGCATGCAGTTATACACTTGAGTTAAAAAACGTATAGAGGTATATGAGTTTCTGATCCCGGAAACAGAGCACAGTGTGGAGATTGAGAAGTTCATATATATGTGAAGAATTTATATGTATCAAATATATGCATTTGATATAGATTTATATATATTTTGATATATATTTAGAAATGTATAAGAATTATCTATCATATATGTATTATATAAATATGTATTTGTTATATATATAAATTCTTTACATATATATGAATAACTTACCAATGTTCAAATATACGTGTGTTCTTTTTCTTAAGTAAAAATCAGCCACAACATTTAAAGGTCTGTGTAAGTAATGATGCTAAACTGCGGATATGGCAGAAAATTCTTGGGAAAAAATATCAAAGTTTCCAAGGACGTATGCTTCAAAAATCACTGTGTCCAAACAAAAACAAGCATACTCTTTACAAAGTCTTATCCTCCTCCTGTATTCTATGTCTGTTAATGCTACCATGACCTTCCCAATCAATAACATTACCTTCATTCCTATTTTTTTTTGCTCACACACTCCTCACCAATAAGTCACTATATTCTGTCAAATCTTTCCCTTTATTATCACTTGAGTTTATATTGTAATTTCTATTTCTATTGCCTTTCCCTTCATTCATGTCATCATATCTCATTTCAGTTACTACAGCTGCCATGTAAAACTTTTTTCTAATATGACCCCTTTTAAATCCTTTCTCTTCTCTGAGCTGCAGTTGACTTTCTAAAATACAAAATTGCTCCTGTCACTTCCCAGCTAGATTAATAGCTATAATAGTTTATTTTTTAAAATATAATTGTTTAGGTTTATGTTCTATGCAACCTACAATTCTGGCTGACATCTTAACTGACAATATATAAAACAGCCCATGGATGTTGGACATTGCCAAGTATCTAAAGGGTGATTAATAGAAGGAACAGTGTTCTATATAGCTAAGGGAGGATGCATTTAAAAAAAAAAGAAAGTGATCAACTAGAGAAGCTAAAAGATAACTTTCTTTACTAAATAAGAAACAACCAAAATGGATTATCAAAACTGTGTACTATAGTATACATGTAGTACACATATAGTATATTGTCCTCCAAATTTCTAAAGAAAGGAATGATGCTGGTGTTAACATGAAAAGCTCCAGGATATTCAGCAATTCTGTAAATGATTTGTTTATTATCTACACTCTTCCTATCTTAGACATGCATGTAGTTTCTTTCTACTGTATTCTTCAGTGCTTCTCTTCAGCTTTATCTCTATTATTAGTGGAGAATCCAAATTGAGGCAAGTAAAAAGAAAGTTTAAAGTCCTCACAGCCTTTCTTCCCTGTGCAGTTGTTTTATCTATTCCTTCTTTAGAGGTGAAAAATCTGAAACTCCAAGACACTACATATTATATCGATAGCCCCATATCTATTTTATACAAGAGTCGAGTATTGTTCAAGGTAAGAAAATTGATGAGAGGGTCAGAGTACAGTCAATGTCAAAACAGAAGTACAAGTCTGGCTTACTCAAATTATAGTTACAACTTAATGGTGACACTTGCCCTGAAACTAGGATATCTAGTTTAAAGTATTTTTTTTTCCTTTATACTTTAAGTTCTTGTGTACAGGTGCAGAACGTGCAGGTTTGTTATATACATATACATGTGCTATGGTGGTTTGTTGCACCCCATCAGCCCGTCATCTACATTAGGTATTTCTCCTAATGCTATCCCTCCCCTAGCCCCCCACCCCCGACAGGCTCCAGTGTGTGAAGTTCCCCTCCCTGTGTCCATGTGTTCTCATTGTTCAACTCCCACTTATGAGGGAGAACATGTGGTGTTTGGATTTCTGTTCTTGTGTTAGTTTGCTGAGAATGATGGTTTCCAGCTGCATCCACGTCTCTCCAAAGGACATGAACTCATCCTTTTTTATGGTTACATAGTATTTAATGGTGTATATGTGCCACATTTTCTTTATCCAGTCTATCATTGATGGGCATTTGGGTTGGTTCCAAGTCTTTGCTATTGTGAACAGTGCCGCAATAAACATACGTGTGCATGTGTCTTTATAGTGGTATGATTTATAATCCTTTGGGTATATATGCAGTAATGGGATTGCTGGGTCAAATGGTATTTCTGGTTGTAAATCCTTGAGAAAACGGCACACTGTCTTCCACAATGGTTGAACTAATTTACACTCCCACCACAAGCGTAAAAGCATTCCTATTTCTCCACATTCTCTCCAGCATCTGTTGTTTCCTGACTTTTTAATGATCACCATTCTAACTGGTGTGAGATAGTATCTCATTGTGGTTTTGATTTGCATTTCTCTAATGACCAGTGATGATAAGCTTTTTTTCATCTGTTTGTTGGCTGCATAAATGTCTTCTTTTGAGAAGTGTCTGTTCATATCCTTCACCCACTTTTTGATGGGGTTTTTTTTTTCTTTTAAATTTGTTTAAGTTCTTTGTAGATTCTGGATATTAGCCCTTTGCAGGTAAATAGATTGCAAAAATGTTCTCCCATTCTGTAGGTTGCCTGTTCACTCTAACAATAGTTTATTTTGCTGTGCAGAAGCTCTTTAGTTTAATTAGATCCCATTTGTCTCTTTTGGCTTTTGTTGCCATTGCTTTTGGTGTTTTAGTCATGAAGTCCTTGCCCATGCCTATGTCCTGAATGGTAATGCCTAGGTTTTCTTCTAGGGTTTTTATGGTTTTAGGTCTGACATGTAAGTCTTTAATCCATCTTGAGTTAATTTTTGTGTAAGGTGTAAGGAAGGGATCCAGTTTCAGCTTTCTACATATGGCTAGCCAGTTTTCCCAACACCATTATTAAATAGGGAATCCTTTCCGCATTGCCTGTTTTTGTCAGGTTTGTCAAAGATCAGATGATTGTGGAATTGTGGCATTATTTATGAGGCCTCTATTCTGTTCCATTGGTCTATATATCTATTTTGGTACCATTACCATTCTATTTATGTTACTGTAGCCTTTAGTATAGTTTGAAATCAGGTAGCATGATTGCCTCCAGCTTTGTTCTTTTTGCTTAGGATTGTCATGGCTATGCAGGCTCTTTTTTGGTTCCATATGAAATTTAGTGTTTTTTTTTTTCCAATTTTGTGAAGAAAGTCCATGGTAGCTTAATGGGGATAGCATTGAATCTGTAAATTACTTTGGGCAGTATGGCCATTTTGATGATATTGTTTCTTCCTATCCATGAGCATGGAATGTTTTTTCATTTGTTTGTGTCCTCTCTGATTTCCTTGAGCAGTGGTTTGTAGTTCTCCTTGAAGAAGTCTTTCACATCCCTTGTAAGTTGTATTCCTAGGTATTTCATTCTCTTTGTAGCAATTGTGAATAGGAGTTCACTCATGATTTGGCTCTCTGTCTGTTATTGGTGTATAGGAATGCTTGTGATTTTTGTACATTGATTTTGTATCCTGAGACTTTGCTAAAGTTGCTTATCAGCTTAAAGAGATTTTAGGCTGAGACGAGGGGATTTTCTAAATATACAATTATGTCATCTGCAAACAAAGACAATTTGATTTCCTCTTTCCTAATTGAATAGCCTTTATTTCTTTCTCTTGCCTGATTGCCCTGGCCAGTATTTCCAATACTATGTTGAATAGGAGTGGTGAGAGAGGGCACCCTTGTCTTGTACCGGTGTTCAAAGGGAATGCTTCTAGTTTTTGCCCATTTAGTATGATATTCGCTATGGGTTTGTTGTAAATAGCTCTTATTATTTTGAGATACGTTTCATCAATACCTAGTTTTTTGAGCGTTTTTAGCATGAAAGGCTGTTGAATTTTGTCGAAGGCCTTTTCTGCATCTATTGAGATAATCATGTGGTTTTTGTCATTTGTTCTATGTGATGGATTTCGTTTATTTATTTGCATATGTTGAAGCAGCCTTTCATTCTAGGGATGAAGCTGACTTGATCATGGTGGATAAGCTTTTTGATGTGCTGCTGGATTCGGTTTGCTAGTATTTTATTGAGGATTTTCGCATCGATGTTCATCAGGGATACTGACCTGAAATTTTCTTTTTTTGTTGTGTCTCTGCCAGGTTTTGGTATCAGGATGATGCTGCCCTCATAAAACGAGCTACCAGCTCCTCTTTGTACCTCTGGCAGAATTCAGCTGTGAATCTGTCTGGTCCTGGACTTTTTTTTGGTTGGTAGGATATTAATTGGTGCCTCATTTTCAGAACTTGTTATTGTTCTATTCAGGGATTCAACTTCTTCCTGGTTTAGTCTTGGGAGGGTGTATGTGTCCAGGAACTTATCCATTTCTTCTAGATTTTCTAGTTTATTTGCATAGAGGTGTTTATAGTATTCTCTGATGGTAGTTTGTATTTCTGTGGGATCAGTGGGGTTATCCCCTTTATCATTTTTTATTGCATCTATTTGATTATTCTCTCTTTCTTCTTTATTAGTCTTGCTAGCAGTCGATCTATTTTGTTGATCTTTTCAGAAAACTAGCTCCTGGATTCATTGATTTTTTTGAAGGGTTTTTCGTGTCTCTGTCTCCTTCAGTTCTGTTGTGATCTTAGTTATTTCTTGCCTTTTGCTAACTTTTGAATTTTTTGCTCTTGCTTCTCCAGTTCTTTTAATTGTGATGTTAGGATGTCGATTATAGATATTTCCTGCTTTCTCTCATGGGCATTTAGTGCTATAAATTTCCCTCTACACACTGCTTTAAATGTGTCCCAGAGATTCTGGTACATTGTGTCTTTGTTCTCATTGCTTTCAAAGAACATCTTTATTTCTGACTTCATTTGGTTATTTACCCAGTAGTCATTCAGGAGCATGTTGTTCAGTTTCCATGTAGTGGTGCAGTTTTAAGTGAGTTTCTTAATCCTGAGTTCTAAGTTAATTGCACTGTGATCTGAAAGATAGTTTGTTTTGATTTCTGTTCTTTTCCATTTGCTGAGGAGTGTTTTGCTTCTAATTATGTGGTCAATTTTAGAATAAGTGCGATGTGGTGCTGAGAAGAATGTATATTCTGTTGATTTGGGGTGGAGAGTTCTATGGATGTCTATTAGATCCGCTTGGTCCAGAGCTGAGTTCAAGTCCTGGATATCCTTGTTAATTTTCTGTCTCATTGATCTGTCTAATATTGACAGTGGGGTGTTAAAATCTCCCACTATTATTATGTGGGAGTCTAAGTCTCTTTGTAGGTCTCTGAGAACTTGCTTTATGAATCTGGGTGCTACTGTACTGGGTACATACATATTTGGGATAGTTATCTCTTCTTGTTGCATTGATCCGTTTACCATTAGGTAATGCCCATCTTTGTCTCTTTTGATCTTTGTTGGTTTAAAGACTGTTTTGTCAGAGACTAGGATTGTGACCCCTGCTTTTTTTTTTTTTGCTTTCATTTACTTGGTAAATATTCCTCCAATCCCTTTATCTGGAGCCTATGTTTGTTTTTGATAAGGGACAGACTGCCTCCTCAAGTGGGTCCCTGACACCCATGTATCCTGACTGGGAGACACCTCCCAGTAGGGACCGGCAGACATCTCATACAGGAGAGCTATGGCTGGCATCTGGTGGGTGCCCCGTGGGACGAAGCTTCCAGAGGAAGGAACAGGGAGCCATCTTTGCTCTTCTGCAGGCTCCTCCGATGATACCCAGGCAAACAGGGTCTGGAGAGGACCTCCAGCAAACTCCAGCAGACCTGCAGCAGAGGCGCCTGACTGTTAGAAGGAAAACTAACAAACAGAAAGGAAGAGGATCGACATCAACAAAAAGGTCGTCCACTCAGAGACCTCATCCAAAGATCACCGATTTCAAAGACCAAACGAAGATAAATCCACGAAGATGGGGAGAAACCAGCACAAAAAGGCTGAAAATTTCAAAAACCATAACACCTCTTCTCCTCCTCCAAAGGATCACAACTCCTCGCCAGCAAGGGAACAAAACTGGATAGAGAATTAGTTTGGCAAACTGACGGCAGTAGGCTGCAGAAGGTGGGTAATAACAAACTCCTCCGAGCTAAAGGAGCGTGTTCTAACCCATCATAAGGAAGGTAAGAATCTTGAAAAAAGGTAAGATGAATTGCTAACTAGAATAACTAGTTTAGAGAAGAACATAAGTGACCTGATGGAGCTGAAAAACACAGCACGAGAACTTCGTGAAGCATACATAAGTATCAATAGCCGAATCGATCAAGCGGAAGAAGGGATATTAGAGATTAAAGATCAACTCAAGGAAATAAAGTGAGAAGACAAGATTAGAGAAAAAAAGAGTGAAAAGAAATGAAGAAAGCCTCCAAGAAAGATGGGACTATGTGAAAAGACCAAATCTACATTTGATTGGTGTACCTGAAAGTGATGGGGAGAATGGAACCAAGTTGGAAAACACTCTTCAGGATATTATCCAGGAGAACTTCCCCAACCTAGCAAGGCAGGCCAACATTCAAATTCAGGAAATACAAAGATACCCCTCAAGAAGAGCAACGCCAAGACACATAATTGTCAAATTCACTAAGGTTGAAATGAAGGAAAAAATGTTAAGGGCAGCCAGAGAGAAAGGTCGGGTTACCCACAAAGGGAAGCCCATCAGATTAACAGCGGATCTCTCAGCAGAAACCCGACAAGCCAGAAGAGAGTGGGGGCCAATATTCAACATTCTTAAAGAAAAGAATTTCAACCTAGAATTTCATCTCCAGCCAAACTAAGCTTCATAAGCAAAGGAGAAATAAAATACCTTACAGACAGGCAAATGCTGAGAGATTCTGTCACCACCAGCCCTGCCTTACAAGAGCTCCTGAAGGAAGCACTAAACATGGAAAGGAACAACTGGTACCAGCCACTGCAAAAACATACCAAATTGTAAAGACCCTCAACACTATGAAGAAACTACATTAACTAACAGGCAAAATAATCAGCTAGTTTAAAATATTTAAGTTTTAAATGCTCACATATTCATCGCTAATGATATTGTTTCCAATATCAATATTAATAATAAATTATGGACTTTAACACCTGGATGAAAGGATTATTTATTCCATTAAATGTCCAGAGTAATATATACGTGTCTATGGATGATTTTTGGATGTTTAAGACTAGACTCAAACAGATGGGGTTAGTGAAGAAGTATACAGTCTCTGGTCTTCTGGTCCTATAAGATAAAAATACATTTTGAATGCCAAGGTAATGAAAATTATTAAGTTGTTTCTCACAGAAGAAAGTTACCAATCATTGATATATAAACAAATGACATTACTGTGGTATGTTGTTCAAATAAGTGGATTTTCCTTAAGTGTCTTGCAAAGTGCTTGTTGGCACCTGTGTACATGTAAATCCCCACATATGTCTAATGGTGCATGTAATCCAGGCACTTTGGGAGGCCGAGGCGGGTGGATCACCTGAGGTCAGGAGTTCGAGACCAGCTCGACCAACATAGAGAAACCCCGTCTCTACTAAAAGTACAAAATTAACCATGTGTGGTGGTGCATGCCTGTAATCCCAGCTACTCGGGAGGCTGAGGCAGGAGAATCTCTTGGACCCAGGAGGTAGAGGTTGTGGTGAGCTGAGATTGCACCATTGCACTCCAGCCTGGGAAACACAAGAAACTTAGTCTCAAAAAAAAAAAAAAAAAAAGAGGGAGGCTTTTATTTGCATAAAAGTGATGAAAAATAAAAAGGAAAAAAGGAGTTTAATTTGCATAAAAATATTACACTTGAAATGCTGCTTTTATAAGTGCAAATATAAGAAGCAATAAGAATTGATAAAACATAATTATTGAGAATATAAATAACAAAATTATTCAATTATATAACATATATAAACTATCTCATATTTCACATTTTATAAAGTCCTACTAATAAAGTTTCAATAAGTGTACAGATGAATAAATGCATATGAACATAACGTGTATAAAGTTGTTATTTGAAATATACTTTACATATTTCTATTTGTTTTTTATTCTACATTTTCCTCTATCATTGATGATTTTATTATGTTTTTGTATATGTATATATGAAATATACATCTATCTATCTATCATGTATCTGAAATATTAATCTGTTTCTAAACATATGTACTGTAAAACATGGCAATCTTGGAAATTTTACTCCCGTCTTATTCCTTCTATTCTAGTCTGTCTTCATCCTTGCCCATCCATTATCACACACCCATGTAAGAAAGCATCTCATGAATTTTAAAATTTATTCTTTCCCTACTCCTTTTACAGAGATGAGCAGAAATGGGTATATACTTTATTTTTCCTGATATATAGAGTTATGTGCTCTATATATCAGGAATTTTGCTATATATCAGGAATTTTGCTCTATGTATCAGGAAATATATGCTGAATTTTGTTCCCCCAAAATTCATATGTTGAAGAGCTAATTCTCAGTTCCACAGAATATGACCATATTTAGAAATAGGGCCTCTAAAGTGGTAATTAAGCTTAGATGAAATCATATGAGTGGACCTTCATTCAGTATGACTGGGTCATTATTTTAAAAAGAAAATTTGGACATAGACACAGGATGCATATGCACAGAGAAAAGACCATGTGAGGACACAGGAAGAAGGCAGCCATCTGAAAGAAAAGAAGATAGACCTTAGGAAAAACCAAATTTGCTAACACCTTGATACCAGACTTAGAGCCTTTTTGAAGCTGTGAGAAAATGCATTTCTGCTGTTTAAACCACATAGTCTATGGTATTTTGTTATGACATTCCTAGCAAACTAATACACATAGTTATAAAGCCTTTATTGTATGTATATATTCAGCAATTGACATTTAAATTTGAAAATAAGAATAATTATTAGAGATCATTTAGCCATAAACCTCTGGAAGCTACCTAAGTACATACAAACAGAATAATTACTAAGTTATGTTACAGCCAGTAGACATAATTTTTTGTAGTTATTATTACAATTCATTTAGATGAATAATTATACAATGTTTATAACTTTCTGTGCTAACTGGTTCTAGAAACTACATTTGGAAAAATAAGTACACAAGCAATCAATAGAAAATAACTGCAAAGCCTCTTCTTGTGTTGTAGTTTTTGTGTACCACATTACCAACTTTAACCTTACTTCTACTGGAAGCTTGCAAAGTATTTTTCATAGTTTTTGGATCAATGTCTTGTAAAAATCATATTAGTAACTGCTGAGCCACTGAGGCAAGAGAGCAGGCTGTGTCATATGGTCAGGAGAAGCAAGATGAGCAGTAAGCACAAGGACAGTACATTGCTCTTGGTCTTTAAAAAAGGCTCAGATGCAGTGCTGGCTTCACCAATTCTGTCAACAATGCAAGAAGAAATATATTTACCATTTAGAAGAGTCAAGTGATGGATGTGAAAGAAAGTGAATAAAAGTGCTGTATTTCCTCAGCACAGATGCAGAAATGGCACCAACTGCTGACCTGAAAGAAAGCCTGTCTTTTGCTTCCAACATAGCAAAGTATGATTGAAGCAGTTTGATAGTGAAGACTATTTTCTGTTTTCTGTAGTATTATTCACCTTAATTTCAGTATTTGATGTACTTCCAAACATCAAGCCGGTTTCATGATGTTAGCAAATTGAGCATTGGGAATTGATATCCTTGCAAACAAAGGGGGTCCACAAGTAAAATTGGGAATTAGAGTGAACGGTTGAAATCTCTAAGAGTGTAAGGGAAATTCTCAAAGAGTAGAAGAAATATCTGTGGCTTTGCTTTAGAGATTCGAGTATCCACAGGAGTAATCTGCTAATTTCCAAACCCCTAGTTTGTTTTTACTGTCCAGCTATGGCAGGAAAAATAACCCATGGTCAAAGTGGATGATTTAAGGAGATTTTAATAAAGGGGGTATTTTTAAAGATATGAGGAGAATTTAAACAAAATATAAAGAATGGTGCGGTACCAGGGAGCTGGTAAGAGGAGGAGAGGGGTCTGTCACCACTGCTCTCTGGAAATGGGTCAGATAAAAGGAGAGTAACTACTGGAACTGGAAAGACAGAGTCACATGTACAGGGTCTCCTTGGCCCGAGCTGTGAAGTCTATGGTAACACATCCAATAAGAAACCAAAGGGCTGATTTTTTGGATGTCTTGCTTCTCCCTCCCTCATATCTCCTGCTAGAATTCACCATTGAATAAGCCTAGATGTTAGGGAGTATGAAGGTTAATTTTAGGTGTCAGTTAGGTTGTGTTATAGTATGCAGTTTTTAGTCAAACACCATTCTAGGTGTTGCTGTTGAAGCCATGTCGTTACATGTCTTTCGTCGGGGGTAATACCCGAGGTTCGTTGTCTCACGCTGAGGAAATCAAGGACACAGACACAGGTGGAGTAAGGTTAAGAGCAGAGGGTTAATAGGCGAAGAAAGAGAAAAGCTCTCCCTCCTGCAGAGAAAGACGAGCTACTGAGCGGGTCTTCGGTTTCCCTGGTGAAATGCACGGGGTTTTATAGATGAGTTTGAGGAGGCCATGTCTGATTTACATAGGGCACGAGAGATTGCTTGGACCAGATGTGCCATTTGTATAGCGCGGGGAGAAACTGGACGCCCCAACTTAATATTTTATTATATAGATGGGTTATCTACCTAGTCGGCGCCATGTTGCTTGTTTCTTTACTGTACACGTGGTTGACAAAGAAAAGAGAAGATGAAGCCTCCGTGTTGAACATGGCTGGCCCCTAGGTAACCTTTCCTTATTGGCACAGCTGCTGACATTCACCCTTGCAAGCTTGTAGCTTGCTTTTCTACGTCTGCAGTTTGATTTTTCAGGCTGCTCTTAGTTAGAAAAGTAAAGATTTGGGGGCTGCTTTTTTGTTAAAAGGGCAGGCTTACCAAGGACTCTCTTACCCTCACCAACTGCCTTAATAATTTCTTTTTAGTTCCTGTATCACTGTGAAGGTAGTTTTAGAGACGTGATTAACATGTATATTAGTAGTCCTTGAGAAAAGCAGATTACCCTCCATAATATGCATAGACTCCATCCAATCAGTTGAAATCCTTAAAAGAAAAGAGGTCTCTCTGGGAGAAAAGAATTCATCATCCAGACTGCCTTTAACCCAAGAAAGACTGCAACACCCATTCTTGCCAGAATTTCCAGCTGTTGGCCAGCCTTGCAGATTTTGAACTTGCCAGTCCTCACAATCACATATCCCAACGTCTTAAAAATGTTTTTCTATATAGATAGATAGATAGATGACTTCCTTTATTTCTGTTTCTCTAGGGAACTATGACTCAGAGAGAGAGAAAGAGAACTCACTGAAATAGTATATGTATTTGTATATATCAGCCTCTTGAAAAAAGAGTAGCGTGGAAAAGGGGGAAGAAAAGACCAATTGAGAGGAATAAAAAAAATCCAGAATGATCACCAATCAAATTTGTAAGTACAGTATCTGTGTACACATTTTTGCATACAGATACAGTAGTCCTTCCCTATCTCTGAGGAATATGTTCCAAGAACCCTAGTAAATGTCTGAAACCATTGATACCAAACCATATATATACTGTTTCTTTCCCATACATACATATGTAATAAAGTATAATTTATAAATTAGGCACAGTTGGGGATTAACAATAATAACTAATAATAAATTAGAACAGTTGGCCAGGCGCGGAGGCTCATGCCTGTAATCCCAGCCCTTTGGGAGGCCAAGGTGGGTGGATCACGGGGTCAGGAGATCAAGACCATCCTGGCCAACATGGTGAAACCCCGTCTCTACTAAAAAAAATACAAAAATTAGCTGGGCGTGGCAGTGCACGCCAGTTGAATTGCTTGAACGCGGGAGGCGGAGGCTGCAGTGAGGCAAGATCATGCCACTGCACTCCAGCTTGGGCAACAGAGAGAGACTCTGTCTCAAACAAACAAAAAATAGTAATAATAATAAAATAAAACAATTATAACAATACACTGTAATAAGTTATGTGAATTAGGACTCTCTTTCTCAAAATATATTCCTGCGCTGTACTCATCTATTTTCAGATGTAATTGACTGCAGGTAACTGAAACCATGGAAAACAAAACTACGGATAAGGGGGAACTAGTATAATACTGGCTATAATGCAAACAATTTGAAATTTTCCAGGGAATACTAAAAGGATAAACAAAACTTTTGGAAGTTACCTGATTGACAATATGTAAACCTTGACCTTAGATAAAGCTACCTTTCTACTGTGCTAATGCAAGTGTCCAAAGTCAAACCTAATAATTTTATAGCAATGAAAAATTCCCATCATTATCACCTGGGAAATTGTTAGAAATGCAAATTCCCTGGCACCACCCCAGATGTACAGAATCAGAAATTTTATTGTTAAGGCTTAGCAGCCTGTGTTTTAGACAAGTTTCTGAGTAATAATAATGCATACTGAAGTTTGAAAATCAGGGTTAATTAGTAAAATAGAAAATCGAATATATTTTTAACATAGTGCCAGTGTTGTATTTATTATTATATTACTTATTTTGTGATTATAGTAAGAAATCAAGATCATCATACCATTTAAGTATAGTCTATATGCACTTGTACCCCTGAACTTAATATAAAAGTTTAAAATAAGACAATATTAAGTTAAAAATTTAGTAAAAAAGTTTTTTAAAAGTATAGCCTATTGATGATGTACATTTTCAGCAAATGACAGGTAAAAAATTAGAACTAGGTCTGCTAGCAGATTTTTGTTACAAGTCTATCAATAGTAGCACCACGAAAGCCATGGAAAAATATGATACATTAGTCATGATTTTTAAAGAGAAAGTCACCCATGGAGAGAAAGAAAGGCAGCTTTGACTTGCTGTGGGAGGGAAATGGCAGTGCAGTGTGGAGAATTTGATCCAGGTGTCAAAATTGGGAAATAGACATATTAATGAAATATTAGTGCCTATGGATGAGAAACTCCTATCCAGTACCAGTCCCAGATGATGACACAGGGAAAAAAAAAAAATCAGTGCCCAGACTCAGGCCATGGAAGGATGTGGTATGCAGCAAATGGAAGTGGCCAGTCCCAGGCTGTGGCACTGAGACTATCTGCTTTAGGGCACAAACCATCTTACATTCACAGAAGAGCGTAAGGAGGAGCAGGACATCTACCTCTCTCCCCAGGTACGTATTATTTAATAACTGCCAAAGTGGCTGATGTTATCAAGGGAAATACACTAATGGAAAAATAATTAGATAATTGAGGAGTACAATTGCTGTTAAAGATGACAAGCTGAATAGATTTATAATAGACAAAATAAAGCTATTGAGGGCTTGATATTAGTATTTGCAATGTGAAAAATCATATGGAAACACTAAATGTAAAAAAATATATTTTAAGTTAAAAAAATTTAAAAATGGAACAAAATTGAAAAAGTAATTATTGAGCTGAATAATCTGATTAACACTTTTCTTCACAGAAAAACATGATAAAAAATGGGAAATAGAAAAGAAAATTTAAAATACCTGGAAGATACAGAGAGAAATGCCAGTATCTGTATACTAAACTTCAGTAGTTAAATGTTTGAGATTGTAGTTTCTGTTTTTCGGATGCCACAGAAGTTTGTGTTGGACTAAGAATACATATAGCTCATAACAATGATAAAATCTGACTTTAAAAAAGATGATATTTAAAGCCATTGGATAACAACCATAAGGAGGAGAAATAACATAATCCATCTCAGGCCTTCTAGATCATCCAGTATGCCAGACACTAGGCATATGAACAATGTCATTCAAGATCACTCACCTCCTAGCTGGCCTAAACCAAAACCACCTATCTCAAACTGCTAAATTGTTGGGGGGAAAACAGTTGTTATAAATTACTGTTTTATGGAAGTTTGTTAAGCACTAAATACAGATACCCAGGGAAAATCACATGTAACCATATATAAATTGGATGTCCTATTTTACAACTTCTCCAATATTGTATTGGAGAAACAATTGACATTATAAATTCTTTTAATTTTAATTATTCTTATCACATGCACTAGTATTTTTTTGTGATTTAACTTTATATTTTCTTAATGAATAATAATATTGAGCATCTTTTTGCCCATCACTATATGTTTTTTTGGTCAAGTGTACCTTTTATTTTATTTTATTTTATTTAATTTTATTTTATTTTATTTTATTTTTTGAGATAGAGTCTTGTTATGTCACCCAGGCTGGAGTGCAGTGGCACGATCTCGGCTCACTGCAAGCTCTGTCTCCCGGGTTCACGCCATTCTCCTGCCTCAGCCTCCTGAGTAGCTGGGACTACAGGTGCCTGACACCATGCCCGGCTAATTTTTTTTGTATTTTTAGTAGATACTGAGTTTCACCATGTTAGCAGGATGGTCTCAATCTCCTGACCTTATGATCTGCCCGCCTCAGCCTCCCAAAGTGCTGGGATTACAGGCATGAGCCACCGCACCTGGACAAGTGTACCATTTTTAATAGGGTTGTTTCCTTATTGGGTTTTGACAGTTCTTCAAATGCTGTTATGAGATATAACATAACTTGCAAATATTTTCAACCAATCTGTGGGTTTTAATTCTCTTACAGTCTGATTTAAAGGGGAAAATATTTTAATTTGAAATCCAATTTACCAATATGTCATTTTGTGGATTTTTGTAGTTACATCATAGAAATTTTAGTCTAACACAAAGTCACAGAAGTTTTGTTCTATTCAAGGCTTGGCTTAGGTAAGATGAGTAAGTGACCTCAGGCACACAACTTAAGGAGGCACTCACAATCACAGCCACGCAATAAAAGCCCATGTATTTTCCCTTCCCTGGGCCCCTCCCACCATTAAAGTATAATCTCTGTGAAGGTAAATGTTTTTGCCCGTTGAGCTTTTTTCTGTATTCCCAGTTCTGTCGCATACTAGAAATTCAACTGGTATTTGTTAAAAGAACAAATTAAGAACAATGTTTTTAATTTGAGAGAGCCAATAAAAAGATAACTACAGGATTGGAAAGTTTCATTGTACTCCCATTTACATATGAGATTTAAACCATTCTGCAGAGGACTGATAGATACATCCATTCTAGAAATAAATATATGTTTATTTATAATAGCTATGAGATTAAGGAGTCAAAATGATTTCAGTCTTCTTCTTTATACTCTTCTAGTTGCAGTTTTTTAAATAATCACCCATTCTTTTAATAATTGATAGAGGAAAAGCATAAGAGGTTGATGAGTTAAGGTAAATTCCACTAGTATAACCTAAGCATGCTCGCACATCCTTTTAAATGCGGGATGTAATTTATTTTTATTCCTAAAATTGTCAGATTCATATAATGCCTGGTATACATTAGAACTAAATAAAAAATGATATACTATTCCATTTCAATTATGAGAGTCATGTATTATCTCATATTTTATTTTTTATTTATTTTTTTAATTTTTTAAATTATACTTTAAGTTTTAGGGTACATGTGCACAACGTGCAGGTTAGTTACATATGTATACTTGTGCCATGTTGGTGTGCTGCACCTATCAACTCGTCATTTAACATTAGGTATATCTCCTAATGCTATCCCTCCCCGCTCCCCCCACCCCACAACAGGCCCCAGTGTGCGATGTTCCCCTTCCTGTGTCCGTGTGTTCTCATTGTGCAATTCCCACCTACCAGTGAGAACATGTGGTTTTTAGTTTTTTGTCCTTGCGATAGTTTGCTGAGAATGATGGTTTCCAGCTTCATCCATGTCCCTACAAAGGACATGAACTCATCATTTTTTCTGGCTGCATAGTATTCCATGGTGTATATGTGCCACATTTTCTTAATCCAGTCTATCATTGTTGGACATTTGGCTTGGTTCCAAGTCTTTGCTATTGTGAATAGTGCCGCAATAAACATATGTGTGCATGTGTCTTTATAGCAGCAGGATTTATAATCCTTTAGGTATATACTCAGTAATGGGATTGCTGGGTCAAATGTTATTTCTAGTTCAAGATCCCTGAGGAATCGCCACACTGACTTCCACAATGGTTGAACTAGTTTACAGTCCCGCCAACAGTGTAAAAGTGTTTCTATTTCTCCACATCCTCTCCAGCACCTGTTGTTTCCTGACTTTTTAATCATTGCCATTCTAACTGGTGTGAGATGGTATCTCACTGTGGTTTTGATTTGCATTTCTCTGATGGCCAGCGATGATGAGCATTTTTTCATGTGTCTTTTGGCTGAATAAATGTCTTCTTTTGAGAAGTGTCTCTTCATATCCTTCATCCACTTTTTGATGGGGCTGTTTGTTTTTTTCTTGTAGATTTGTTTGAGTTCATTGTAGATTCTGGATGTTAGCCCTTTGTCAGATGAGTAGATTGCAAAAATTTTCTCCCATTTTGTAGGTTGCCTGTTCACTCTGATGGTAGTTTCTTTTGCTGTGCAGAAGCTCTTTAGTTTAGTTAGATCCCATTTGTCAATTTTGGCTTTTGTTGCCATTGCTTTTGGTGTTTTAGACATGAAGTCCTTGCCCATGCCTATGTCCTGAATGGTATTGCCTAGGTTTTCTTCTAGGGTTTTTATGGTTTTAGGTCAAACATGTAAGTCTTTAATCCATCTTGAATTAATTTGTGTATAAGGTGTAAGGAAGGGATCCAGTTTCAGCTTTCTACATATGGCTAGCCAGTTTTCCCAGCACCATTTATTAAATAGGGAATCGTTTCCCCATTTCTTGTTTTTGTCAGGTTTGTCAAAGATCAGATGGTTGTAGATATGAGGCCATCTGATCTAAGATCAGAGGGTATTATCTCATATTTTAATTAGTCACAACTGCACACCATGAATAGGCCTTTAAATATTTAACTATAAACAGTAAAATGATCTGTGTTTAGGTCAAGAAAGTTGTCTCCAAAAAATCCTATTGGCTTTTTCGAAAAAGGGAAAAGCTCTCTAGGCTCTAAAACGCATGTTGCCTTTGTACATGCTATTACTTTTTACCTAGATGTATTATAAAATAATTTATATGCATTAAGCCTTCAATACAGAAACAAGTTTAGTTCTCTTCGTGGTTCTCCTTCCCCCAATATTTCCACCAAGAAAATACACCTACCAAGTAGTAGTTGGGAAGGGTGTGGTCTCTCGTGCCTCTATCAGTTTTTTCAGCTCTCTTTAGGAATAACACAGCACTAAGTATGATTCACCCAAAATTTACTTTTGGTTTATCTATCATTGCTATTATTGTATCTTTTGTTTCAATTTCTCTCTTCAATGCTTTTTTTTAAAATAAGAGTATTATGTCTAAATCTCAAATTTGAGGGCTTAAAATAATGATTGGAAAGAATATGAATGATTAACTTTTGTCAAATAAGTAGGGATATGCATACGTGTGTGTGTGTGTGTGCATGTAGTCACAACTGTGAGTAGAGACTATAATTTTAAGTTACATTATTTTTTTTTTAGAATTCTAAAACTAGCCTGTTATGGTTTACTAACTTTGGTTTATTATAGAGTATATCAGTCTTGATTTTTGAAGAAACAATAGCTATCTTTGGTGTCTGTTATCTTATTTTTTTTTAACAGGTTGAAAGGGTACATGTGAAGTTTTGTTACATGAATATATGGTATAATGGTTAGGTTTGGACTTCTAGTTTATTATTATTTTATACTATATTTGATCTGAATAACAAAGTCCCTGAAATACTTTTACTATTTACATTTTCAATATGTCTAATTTATAATGAGTACATTACTCAAAACACCTATCTAGTCATTAAACCTTAACTCTTTAATTTTTTAGGTTCTATTTAAATGGGGTTACTAATAAGGCATTAATGCTTGTTGGCCAAATTTGTGGCCAAGGGTTTAGGAAGTTTAAATCTACCAGAAGGAGTATAGTTTGCTACCAAATTATTTACCTAATTACCTCTGCTTATTTTATTCCCAATATTTGGTGCATGTATTACAAATAATGCCTCCATAAGATACTTGTTTGTAGGAATGCTGGTTTATTTACTCAGAACAAATATCTGGTTATAATCAGTAAAAAGAAAATCTTATAATTAATTTTTCCAATTTCTTAAAAGTGTTGAGGAGCAGGGTAGAGAGCCAAAAATTGCCCACCAAATTTGGGAAAACATGAGAATCTAGAAAGACAGGAAAAATATCTCCCAAATATCTTTGGCTGTGAAGGAATTTTCAATCAAGAACATACTGAGGCTTTGAATTGCTGATGACACAAAAGTCAAGGTTCAGGATCTCCTCATTATAGGAAACTCATATTTAAAAAGCTGCAAACCCAAAAGATTACAGAATTAGGAATAAAATTAAAAAGAAAACACTTTTTTTCCATGATAACCCTCACTTCCAGGAGACTGTAGGAGTGGAATAGAGAAAAAAGAAAAGGAAAAAAAAATCTGTCTGAGGAATCTTGGTTGCTATAAGTCAGCTCTCTTATGTTGTTGTTGTTTTTGTTTGGCTTATTTTTTGTAGCTAGTTGATTTGATGATACAAATGTTATTTAGCCTTGTCTCTGACTACCAGAAACTTTGATACCCTGCAGAAGCAAAGACAATCGTCTCCAAAATACCTGTTTTTCAGATCATAAGGAATCAATATAGTTAATACAGGCATCACTCATTGAAGACAATTTGGTTCACAATATAGCATATATGAAACACATCAGATATAGAAATTAGTGGATGTATAAGACAGTAAAATTTGATATTTTTGAAGAAACATAATTTTACAATATAGAGAAAAAGAAATTATATAGCAGGATATTACAGATATAAGAAAAAAATAGAATATACAAAATCAGGAGTTCAAAGGTCACTTTGACAACCAGTGTGATGCAACTAGAGAGAGTAACTGAACTGGAAGATGGACCAGAAGAAATTATCCAGAATACAGCTCAAAGACAAAAAAAAAAAATATTTAACAAAGGAAACAGAGGTTTAAAGATTTAGAGGATAGTATGAAAAGGACTAAGATATATTTATTTAGAATATTAGAGAGGAAAGAAAGATAAAAACAGAGGCAATATTCAAAAAAATAATGGCAAACAATTTTCCAGAATTGAGGAAAGACACAAGCTGCAGATTCAAATTCACAATGGAATTGAAGCAGATTAAATAAACGTAATTTTACACTGATAGTGCATCCTCATAAAATTAAAACAACAAAAGAAAAGAAAAGAAATAAGCAGTGATTATAAAGGTAGCCCAAGGCAAAAGATGGAGTGCCTAAAAAGGAATAGCAATAAGATTGAAGATTTCATCACAGTTTAATAGAAACCTGAATACAGTTAAATTATTTTTCCATTGGAGAGAAAAAAATAATCACCAACCTAAAATTCAAATATTAATAAAAATGAATTCCACAAATGAGAAATAATAAGCATATTTTTAAAAGCACATACACACACACACACACACACACACACACACACACATTAATTACCAGCAAATTCTAAAGTGAAATTTTAAAGGCTGTTGTAAGTGAAATTGTAAGTGAAATTCTAAAGGCTATATACCTCAAGCAGAAGGAGAATGAACACTCAGAGAATTAGAAAATTTATATGGAGCCAAAGTATGATAAATAACTTAGGTAAATAATAATAACACCTTACGAGGTTTCTTTAAAATGGCATAGAATTAATAGTCATGACAAGAAAACATATAAGTTGCAAAGTATATATATGGCATAAAGTGTTTTAAATGTATTAACTGTAAAAAATGGGGTTTTTAAAATTCAACTTATATGTTGATATAACTTCATGATTTAACTTTGAGGGTAGCAAATGGAAGAATGGGCACATATATAACTTTCACATTAGTGTAGTGGCAATAAAATTAATGAGAATAAATGAACCAAACAAGGAAGACTAAAGAAAAAATAAACGTGGGTAAAGCAGAAAAATTATAATGCACAAACAAAATGTATTTAAATGGAATATGTCAGTATTTATATGAATATTATATGAACCAAATGCTCTATTAGAAAAAGAGTACAATTTTGGAATGGATTTATTTTTTAAGAGGCCAGATTATTTATAAAGATAAATCTGAAACTAAATTCAAATAATAAAAAAAGCATGAATCTAAATGGTGATACTCTTACGGGATCTTTGGAATGTTGCTGTTCTAGTTGGAAACCTGTAGCTGGTGGCACCTTTGCCTGAGTTTTGCTCAGGTCTGCTGGGCTTGTTCTTCCCACTTGGCCTGGCAGGTTGTGCTTGGCTCATGCTACCGGCCTGGATTCCATGCCTCCAAGGGAGACTGTGAGTCAGGCATGGAGTAGTGAGAAGTGTGTGAGAGAGCATGGTGTCTGGCCACTGTGCAGTCAGACATGCCAGCTGCTGCCTTGGGGTGGGCAGCTCCAGGTGTCAGCATGGGTGCTGGCTCTCTTCAAGGCTGCAGCTGGACCAGGCACACCACACACAGCTTCCCTGGCTAGCACCAGGTAATGTGGTTGCTCCTGGAAGCTTGTAGATGCCAGGAACCTCAGGGCCCCAAAGAGGGAGTCACAGCTCTGGTTTGGGCAGCTCCAAGGTATCGGCTCCTTGAAGGACCTCAGCTTTTCTTTCCTTCTCTGAACCTGCAACATGGTGAGTAAGGGACATGTTTCAGCCCTGTTTGTGTTACAGCTCTTTTAGCCTCACCATTTGGCAGGTCTCGAGTTCTTGTCCTGCCACTAGGAAGAATGAGGTACATAGACAAATGGAGGATGAACAAGACTGAAAAGAGCTTTATTGAGTGATGGAACAGCTCAGAAGACACCCGCAGTGGGTAGAACCTTTCTGCAGCCAGGTTTTCTGGACAAATGTTCATCTCCTAGCAGAGAGGAAACCCTGGAGTGGTAAGCTCCTCTCTGCAGGCAGGTTGTCCCATTGAGTGTTCATCTCCCTAGAGTGGAAAACTCTTCTCTTCAGGCAGGTCATCCCATTGTCTTTGCATCTCTCATCAGAGAGGGTAGCTCCTCTCTGCAGCTAGTCATCCCATCTCTCCAGCTATAAGCAGAGGGGGTAGCTTCACTCTGCAGCTGGTCCTCCAGTAGTTGGCTCTCCTCTAGCTGAGTCCAAGGATTTTATGGGTCTCAGAGGGGAGGAGGTATGCTCCAGTTGGTACATGAGCACCCATGGACAGCCCAGAAAAGGCACCACAAGTTCCCACTCTCATCTGTGGTTCTGGTAGCCCAACCCCCAGCCCTCAGGCCCTCCCTGGCGTGCAGGTGGGGCTTCACCAGGGACCTGCCCCCTTCTTCCCAAGAGCCTGTCTGCCTCTTGCTGATGTCCATCCATCCACCCAGGCTGTTCATGCCAAGAGGCACCTGTAGGCCAGTGCTGAGCTGCTCTCAGCTCCCCTCTAGGCCTCCCCACTGTGCTTGTTGATGGCCAAAGCCCGGAGGGGCCTGAGGCCACAGGGGGCTTGTATGTCAGTGCTGCCCCAAATGTGTGCACACCCGGCTGGTCTGTGAGAGCACCCACGCTCACCCCTAACCCTTCTGCAAGATCACAGTGGGCACTGGGAGTGGGTAGAGGCCAGGCAGTGGTAGCAGACACCCCTGAGCCTGCAGGGGGTATGGGGGACTGTCCTAGATCCCTAAGGGTGCAGAGTGCAGAGATGCCTGGGGCCTGCACCTTTGTAGGCGGGGGTCCCACCATCTCTGTGGAGTGTGCAGGCAGCCCTGGCCTTGCCTCCTCACAGCCTGGGGCAAGGCTCCAGGTCCTCACTGGGCCTGGGCTGGTGTCTGGGGCAGGGTGATGTCACCACAAGTTCATCATGTGACCCTGGTGCTCAGGGATGGCCCAGGGCTCCCCTTCACTTTGTTCAAGGCCCTGACGATGGTGGGGCTTCTCCAGGAGCAGACCGTGGCCCTGGGCCCAGTCATTGGGAGTGTCAGGCCCAGTGGTCGCCACAATGCGGAACAAACCCTGGGGATGCAGCCTAAGTCGGCCTCTTGTGGAGGCTCCTCCTGAGGCCCAGGAACCAAATGACATCAGCAGAGTGGGCACATGGTGGCCTCGCTGCTAGCCAGGTCCCCAAAGTGGGTACTGCTTCCACTTCCTACCCCAGGACCCAGAATCACAGCCCCAGCTTCATACCCTGGGTCCAGCACCCACACTCCATGTGCAAGTGCAGCACTGCCCCAGGCCCAGCTCCACCTCAGGGCCCCTTTCTATATGTCCCTCCATGCCTACCATGCTTCTCCTCTGCTGGTGGGCAACTCGGCCAGGTTCCAATGCAGCAGCCCCCACAGCAGCGGGCTCCCGGGGGCTCCCAGGGGCAGACTGTGGGGACTGTCTACCTCTTCCCCACATGGCAGGAGAGAGCAACTGTGTGGGGCCAGGGTCTGCAGTGGTGGAAGCTCCAGGCTTCCGGGGCAGGTTCTGCCTGGCTGCATGAGGATCGTGGCGGTGCAGTTGGTTGCCTTGGGGATGTGGTGCACAGGAGCTGTGGGGCACAGGGGTCCCACTGCCACCACTGCCGCTCCTGCAGCTGCTCCTGATGTCACCACTTACACCTCCCCACTGCAGCCAATGAGATGGCAGTTACCATTCTGCGTGGCCTGCCAGCTGCCATCAATACAAATATAGAGCATGCAAATGATAACCAAAGAGAGCTGGGTTATTAAGAATTAAATATATTTATTCAATAATTTTTAAATATTACTTTCCCAGAATGATACAGCTTTATGCATCTAGACTATAGCTTGAGTATACAACAAAGATTAAAAACTATTAGAATTAGATATATCCATTTTGTCTATTTTTATAGTTGACAAAAAATGATTAGAAAACGAGAAACGAGAGAGAGAAAAACAGAAACAATCAAATATATAGGGAAATTTGAACATTAAATGAACATTCATAGAAGAATACACTTAACAATTGTAGAATGTACATTTTTCACACACACATGGATCACAAAACTGAACATATGCAAAGGTTTAAATATCATGTTGCCTTACAAGAATTATTTGGAAATCAGAAATAAAGCAGAATACCCCCATACGTTTGGAAATTAAGAAAGAAAACACTGTTTTGGATTACAATACAATAATAAAAACAAAATTTAGAACCAAAGGATAATTAAATGTCCATCTAAGGAAGTATTGAACAGAAAATTTCTGGCTTTATTTAAAAAGAGAAATATCTGAAGATTAATAAACTAAATATTTATCGGAAATGTTGGTAAATAAGGAAAACACTGGAAAAATAAAAAAATTAAAAATGTATATTAATAATGTGATATTTAACCTAAGTCAAGCCATATAGTAGAATTTTTTAAAAGTCTTAAAATAGTAGGTAGTATCGGCAATGTATAGATTTTACTGTAGTGTTTGACATGCAAATTAATAACAGAATGCTACTATCTTAAAAGCTTAGAGATAAATATAAAAGCAATGAAATAAAATGAGTGAAACATTTAAACAACACTTTATAAAATGTAAATTCAATTAGCAAATGTAAATTTGCAAACGTTTAAAGCTTCATTAAAATAAAAAAAATCAAATTAAGGCATATATCCACCAGATAGGACAAATTTTGAAAGTCTGAAAATACGAGGGGATACAAAATACTATGGTCTCAATGTTTGTGTCTATAAACCCCTAAATTTATGTGTTGAAATCATAACTTCCAAGGGATGGTATTTGGAGGTGGGGCCTTTTGGGAGGTCATTAGGTCGTGGGGAAAGAACTCTCATGAATGGAATTAATACTCTTATGAAGTAAATCCAAAGGAGGGTTTTTGCCTTTTCCACCATGTGAGAACACAGTAAGGAGACACTATCTACAAACCAGGATGTGCCTTCACCGGATACCATGTCTGCAGGCCTATTGATCTTGGACTTTCCAGACTCCAGAACTGTGAGAAATTTCTGTTGCTCATAAGCTACACAGTCTATGGTATTTTATTATAGTAGCCTGAATGGACTGAGACACTGAAGATGTGGAGCAATGGGCAAACTTTACACCATGCCTTTGTGAGAATGCATTGGTAATAGCACTTCAGAAAATATTTACACATTTACTAAGATTGAAGATAATTACATCCAGGGAACTGGCAGTTTCACTCTTAGGTATGAAACTTAGATCCGGGGTTGTCAAACTTATATGTGTGTGTATCCTTTGGCAGTTTGATGATGCCTAGAGATCACTTCTCAGAAAGAAATTTTTAAAAATGAAATAAAATAAAATACACAAAATTCTGAGATAAAAGTTGTCAAAATATTTTAAAAATCTTATATACAGAGAGAATATTATAGAGTTAATCCGTTCATCTAAGTTATTTTACATTTATTTAGAATTTATTTGGCTACATATTTACTATATAGCACTGTATGCTGGAAAATGACATTAACCATTGCAGAAAGTCTTCTATGGAACAAATAAAGAGAAATATCAAGTTCAGAGCAGCTATTCTGAGGGATATTGTTAACTGGGAGGTGGGAAGTTAATGGGAGGTGTCTGAATACAGAAATTGAAAATGTGAGTATGGCCTCCTCTTATATACGTTTTTCAACAAATATTTATCGAGATATTCTTGTATTTCAGGCTTATCTATAAGAATCTAATAAAAGAGTCAACACTCTGCTGTCCTTTACCAGATAATCGAATGTTGAGAGACTTTAATATTAAGTAGTAATAAAAACTATGACAAACACAAGATTGGGTGAGGGGATAGGTGATACAGATGTGAAGAAATAATCACAAGTTGTAAGAATACCTGGGGAGAGAGTATTAACATTTCATAAAAATTTCATTAATTTTTAAAATTTTGAGCAATTCCGAGATGTTACACTTCCAAATTTACATGATGAAGTCATTTAATTTTTAGGCTTCTGGAAGCCAGATAGTTTTATGCTTACCTTGTAAATCCCAGAGGAAAAAGTGATTATTTATTCCAATAATATTGGGATGAAAGGGTATGGGTTCTATTAAAACTTGTAAAAGTTAATGTATAGAAACCCAATACTTTAAAGTGCATTTTAATAGCATACTTAATTAAAGAAAAAGGAATCTAATGACAACATCCCCAAATCTAGAGGTAGTCATGCCAGTGGTCATGACCAGGGTCAAGATGAACATTCACTGGAGGATTTACAATGAAACAAAAGCTGAAATTATGTGTACGTACTAATTTCATACAGTAGCTTCCATTTCTCTGCAAATGTCATTGGCAGTTCACTAAACTATTAAATTTCATAATCTCTCCAACTGTTTTTATGGGTAGATAACTAGAGAGTCTGGCATGCTCACATATAAGACACAGCTTGTATTCCTCCTGTAGGGCAATGAGCTAATGAGTATCCAGTGTGATTTATATTAAATTACTTTATGATTTCTGTCCTACATGTAGCGTTTAGAAAGTATATGATATATGCCATTCTTTACTTTGGAAAATATATGATAAATGCTGGTTCATTTATTCTTGTTCTTAGAAACAAATTTGTATTGATCTTGGAGTCAGAATTTATGGAAAAAGGGTTTAATACTTCCACTTAATACCTATGTTATGTGGGAAACTCACCTAATACCTTTGAATCTTCATTTACTCTTCTTTAAAAAAAATTGATAGTGATTGCCCCTAATATATTATTAAAGTTTCTATATAATCTTATATTTTATAATGGTTACCATAGTGTTTGGCACCTGGTATTAATGATATGGTTGCTCAATATTAATAATTATTGCAAAAATTTATCTCAAGTAACTATTTTCTATACAGATGTTTGTAGTTTAAAGTAGAGCAGATAGTATTTTTTTGCAAATATGATTCTAAACAAAATAAAATGAATTTAGAATATTCATGAATAAAATCAATGTAGAATGTTTAGCAGTGTCCTGACCTCCAGCCACTGTCAGTAGCACCACACTAGTTGTGAAATATAAAAATGTCTCTGAACATTTTCAAATGTTCTTAGGGGAGCAAAATAGCCCATGGTTGAGAACAATTGATACAGATGATTTGTCATCATGAAAAAATTGTACAATCAATATATGATAGATATAAGAGTAAAATCAAACTTGTTAGAATTGTAGATGGAAATATCCTTTTACCATTGGTTTCAGTCCTATGTTGCCCCAGAAATTACAGATAGAGAGTGGCATAAAAGTAATCAGTCAGCTGGGTAAGATGTAAGCTCTTCCAACCTCAAAAGACCCCCATTAAAAGGTTTATCATTAATTATGCCAATGTAGAAGTGACATTTGATTTGTTTGTGGCTTTGCGGACAAAATTCAAAAAGTTTATTAGGGGGGAAAAAAGGAGGAAAAGTGTTTTATTTAATCTGCCTAATCCCAAAGTTCTTTAAATGCAAAATGATAGTAGGGTTTTATTGGAGCTTTATCACAAACAAATTATATGAGAAGAAGATAAAATTAATCTAAAAGATATATATTTTTAAATCTGTTAACTCAAAATATTTAGTAAAAATGTAATTTATTTACACCTATTTCTGGAAACATGGGACAGTAAATGTTGAGAAGAAAATTGGATTCTTTAAAAAAACTTTTTAAATGCATAACTGAGCTATAAAAAGAGAAAAATCCACAAAGTTAAAACATGTGGAGAAAGCAGAAAATCAGAAAAGTAGAAATTACAAAGATGAATTTGTTTATTTTTCACATATTTTAAATATCTCATGCATTAAAATCTGTTATTTATTTGTAGTTGAATATTTTTGTAATAACAATACCTTTTAAAATATTAAATTATTTATATAAATAACATATTTCCATTGACACAAATTGAATAAGACATAAAATCAAAACAAAAATACAAAATTCACCTAAAATCCAACCATCATGAAATAGAAATCTACATTTTCTTGGCCATCTATTTATGCCCAATATATGCCCCAATATATTCATCAACAGACTCAAATAGAATCAATGTAATTGAAACGACACATAGCGTTTTTATTAATTTTTAAAAGTCTCATGTATACTCTTGCCACCTTGTTTTACTCCTTACTTAGTAACACACAGTGGAAATCCTCCTAAATCCTTCTTGTAGATTCAACTCATGCATTTTACCAACTGGAATACTAAATAATTTGTTCATTTCCCTATTTGTGTAAATTCATTTTGCCGTCAATATTTACTGCAATGAAAAAGGCTGCCATAAGCATGTTGTATGCATTTCTGTACATGGTAAAACTTATTTTATAATTTAAAAATTTCAAGATTTAGTTCACAAAGGATAAAATAGTATGTTAATGGACACTGTTTCATGTATACCTTTCAAAATAAAGTGTCATAATTTTTTGAATTTTATTTTCAATTTTTAGGTAGAAATTTTTGTTAAAATGTTTTTCTAATTTTAATAATGGAATTTATCTAATTTTTGTAATGGAATTACAGCTTTTTTATTTAAAATACCTTTCATCATAAAATTATCTGATAAATGTAATGCATTTTAAACATTTTTTTTTGCTATATATTTCTAAAGTTATATCATCCTCAGTATATGGAGCCTATACAATATATGCTGTTGAATTTTATTGAATGTTTGAGGCTAATATAATAGTTGTATTGCTGTTTTTGAATTGCTTGGGTGTCACAAAGTAAGATATTTTTAGAGAATATATTTCAAAATCTCTTCACATAGTCTACATATATTCATACACACATATTTAAAAATATAAAAGAAAAAGATGCCTAAACCTTAAGTATACAGCTAAAACTTATCAAGAAAAAATTACCAGAAATACCATCCAGGTCCAAAAATAAGAATAGACAGAAGTCCTCCCTATACTCCTTCTAGATCACTTCATTCTTTCTTCCTCATGAAGGTTAAAAATTGCCTGGGCCTGCAACACATCAATTTGCTATATATTTTTTAAAATTTATATCGTTAGAGTCTAATAGTGTTGTCTCTAGCCTCTTTCACTCAAAATTATATCATTGTGAGATTTGACTATATGTTATCTGTATCCGTAGTTCATTTACAATGTAGTACTTTATACGCTAGGATACATTGCTGCTTTATAAATAAGTGTATCACAGAAGTAAGTGTAGCTCATTAAAAATTATGTAGAGCCTTCCATTAATCAAGTATCATCTGAATCATCTATTCGAGTAGTTTTATTCCACACTTCCCTCACTTCTAGAAAGTTTTATAATCTTCATGAGTTTTGGATTTCCAGAATTCAATAGCGTAACATTGGTGGTAGATAAGAAGGAATAAACAAGAAATATATATGTGTGTTTGCAAGTGTATGTGTGTGTGTGTATGTGTGTGTGTGGAGGGGTGTTTGTATTGGATGATGACTCTTTTGTAATTATAACCAGTCAAAATTATTTCATTAGTAATGCATTCAACTCTTTAAATGTAATTCTTTGAAGTGGTCTTCAATTAGTTTATCTCCTATAACCTACAATTTAGGTCACAAAATGTGAGGGGGCACTAGTTCACAGAAATTTTAAAAATGTAAACAATGAGGTAGCTCTCTCATGTAAGCAGAGAAAATCTTTGTTTTATTTAATAGGTGGAACCAAAAGTTTTGCTGATAATAAGAGTAATCTTTGTAGAATTATCCACTCATTTGGAGTGCCATAAAGAAGCTGTTGTCAATAAAAAAACTGTGATTATTACAATGTTTTGTTCAATTTCTGTGGTAATTGGTTATTATCATTATTTACTACTTTATTTTATGGTTATTGCTTGCAATTTTAGACTTTAAATATGAAAAGCATTAAGAGTGCTAATTTAATTATAGTATTGGATTCTTGAAAACTATACAGTGTTAAGATTATTAATAAGTATATTTCAAATGGATAGTCTAATTCCAATTTGCATTTTTGCCTGGTTTCTTGTTCATCATAATTTTGAACAAATTGATATGTTTGTAGTCTTAAAAATTGTCATGCAGAAGTGAATGTCATTCTCATGGGGCTGGTTTTAGGAGCTAAATTTCGTCATTTTGTAGTTAAATAAGGAAACAGAATACTGTGATGGAGAGAATTCTTAATAAGTGTCTTAGTGCATTTTCACACTGCTATAAAGAACTGCCCAAGACAGGGAAATTTATAAAGAAAAAAGTTTTAATTGACTCACAGTTCTGCATATCTGGGCCTTAGGAAACGTAAAATCATGGGGAAGCAAGTACTTTCTTCACAAAACGGCAAGAAAAAGAGAGAGAAGGGGGAAGTGCCAGACACTTATCACCAGATCTCATGAGAACTATCTTGAGAACAGAATGGGGGAAACTGCCCCCATGATCCAATCACCTCCTACCAGGTCTGTCCCTAAAACATAGGGATTATAATTTGAGATGAAATTTGGGTGTGGACAAGGAGCCAAACAATATTATTCCTCCTCTGGCCCCTACCAAATCTCAAGCCCTTTTCACACTTCAAAGCCAATCATACCTTCCCAACAGTACCTCAGAGTCTTAACTTATTCCATCATTAACCCAAAAGTTCAGGTCCAAAGTCTCATCTGAGACAAGATAAGTTTCTCCCACTTACGAGCCAGTAAAATCAAAAGCAAGTTAGTTAACTTCCAGGATACAGTGGGGGTACAGCACTGTGCAAACTGTGTAAATGTTTCCTTTCCAAATGGGAGAAATCGCCCAAAACAAAGGGGCAACAAGCCCCATCCAAGCCTAAAACCCGGTTGGGCTTGAGTTCATGTTTCACATCCAAGGCATGCTGATAAAAGGGGTGGGCTCCTATGGCCGTGGCCAGTTCTCAGGGACTTTCATTGAGTGCCTGTGGCTTTTCCAGGCACATGGTGCAAGCTGTCAGTGGATCAGCATTCTGGGTTCTGGAAAACAATGACCTTCTTCTCACAGCTCCACTAGGCAGTGCTCCAGTGGGAACTCTGTGTGGGGGTTCCAACCCCACATTCCTCCTTTGCACTGCTCTAGCAGAGGTTCTCCATGTGGTCTCTGCCCCTGAAGCAGACTTTTGCCTGGACATCCAGGCGTTTCCGTGCATCCTCTGAAATCTAGGTGGAGGTTCCCAAAGCTCAACTCTTGTGCACCTGCAGGCCCAACACCTACAAGGAAACCATCAAGGCTTGGGGCTGGCAACCTGTGAAGCAATGGCCTGAGTTGTACCTTGGCCCCTTTTAACCATGGCTGGAGCTGAAGCAGATGGGATGCAGGGTACCAATCCTGAGGAGCACAGAGCAGCAGGGACCTGTCCCTGGCCCACAAAACCATTTTTAACTTCTAGGCTTCTAGGCTTGTGATGGGAGGGGCTGCCACAAAGATCTCTGACATGATCTGGAGACATTTTTCCCATTGTCTTGGTGATTAACATTGACTCCTTATTACTTAGGCAAATTTCCACAGCTGGCTTGAATTTCTCCCCAGAAAATGGGTTTTTCTTTTCCACTTGGGCATGCTGCAAATTTTCCAAACTTTTATGCTCTGTCATCTCTTTAGAACACTTTGCTGATTAGAAATTTCTTCCACCAGATATCCTAAATCATTTCTCTCGAGTTCAAAGTTCCACAGATCTCTAAGTCAGGGGCAAAATGCCACCAGTCTCTTTGCTAAACAATAGCAAGAGTAACCTTTGCTACAGTTCCCAGTAAGTTTCTCATCTCCATTTGAGACTACCTCAGCCTGGACTCCATGGTCCATATCACTATTATCATTTTGGTCAAAACCATTCAACAAGTCTCTGGGAAGTTCCAAACTTTCCTACATCTTCCTGTCTTCTTATGAACCCTCTAAACCGTTCCAGTCTCTGCCCATTAACCAGTTCCAAAGTCGCTTCCACATTTTCAGGTTATTTTTATAGCAGTACCCCACTCTACAGGTACCAATTTCCTGTATTAGTCCATTTTCACACTGCTATAAAGAACTACCCAAGACTGGGTAAATTATAAATAAAAGAGGTTTAACTGACTCACAGTTCTGCATGGCTGGGGAGGCCACAGAAAACTCACAATCATGGTGGAAGGTGAAGGAGAAGCAAGTACCTCCTTCACAAGGCAGCAGGAAAAAGGGGGAGAAAAAGGGGGGAAGCACCGGACACTTATCAAACAACCAGATCTCATGACAACTCACTCACTGTCATGAGAACACCATGGGGGAAAGTGCCTCCATGGTCCAATCACCTTCCACCAGGTCCCTCCCTGGACACCTGGACACAGTTCAAGAGATTACAGTTTGAGGTGAGATTTGTGTGGGAACAAAGAGCCAAATCATATCAATAAGTTATATATCCATTATTTAAAGGCTTCTTCTTAGAGAAACATGAAAACTATTCAAATATCATATAATCTGAAAGAGTATAAAAAGGGATGACATTTATGCATCCTTCCATTTGTTTCCTCTTTGATAAGACATGATAAAACATAGAGTTTCTGTCAAATGTGTGATAGAATGGTATATAATTTATCTCAAACTTTGCTTAATCTACTCAACTTTATACTTTCAACCACATGTACTGTTTATCAAAGCATCAGTGATTTGCATTTTTAAGACTTTAATAGATTTCATAAGTGAGAAAAAAATCCCATTTGAGCAACTAGAAATTAGCAGGAAAAAAGTACAAAAATTGATGTGATTAAGGGTATTTTGAAGGTCTTCTTTCATACCTTAGTGAGAGTCAGTACATTAAGAAAGAGTTAGGGTATAAATAATGTGGCAACATCCTCTTGCAACAACATCCTTAGATTGATCAGAGGTAAAAGGCATTCCTGTGTAGAGTAGGAAGGGCAATACCCACCATGTACACACATGTAAACATACAAACATATGTACACACACATGCAGAATATAATGATTCAGTGGAGTTTTCAGATTCACAGAAAACAAGATAGAGATATTTCAATAGAGACAGAAATGTAACTGAATGTCTTCATTCAGATTCCCTAGGAAAAACTGAAAAAGGAATTTGCAGACTAGAAGGGTATTGAGCAGTGTTGTCAGGAATAACATCTGTTAGAGAGCAAGGGAAGCAGAACTTAGAAAAAAAAAAAGAACTAATCACCTTCAGCTGGTTCCATCAGGCGCTCTGAAACTGGCAAAACCCTTCAGAATCATTGCCCAGTGAGGCATCAAGGAATCTTAGAAGCACTATGTAGACTAGTCACTGGAGGTGGGCTGCTGCTGATGAATCCGTAAACTTGGGCAAAGCAGTTCTTTAAGGGCAAAGGCAATTCTCAGGAAGAGACTCCACTCTGACCTATCAGTTGCCAAGACTCCTGAAGAATGAATGACTGAGTTCTAAAAAGAGGAGCTGGGTGGCACATTATATCAACAACTTCAATGTATGGTTTCTGAGGATGATATATATCTCCCAAAGTTCTCAGAGGTGACATAAGCAAGATGGAAAACTAGGAAGCTCCAGACCTTATCTCCCCCCAGAAGACATCAAGTTAACAGCATTATCCAGACTAAAATACCTCTGAGAGACCAGCTGAGAGCTACAGTGGCCCGGCCAAATTAAAGCCAAGGAAAGATCCCAGCAAAAGGAAAATTCAATCTTTTGTGCATCTATCTTTGCCCATCTTCTAAGTGGCATAGCACATGCATCCAGGAGGAAACCTCCTATACCAGGGCTTCTCCTTCAGGAGAGAAATGAAAGATTGGTAGTGCATATATAAACAGTTGGAAACCGTATATATGATAATGGGTTGACATCCAAAATATATATGAAATGCATACAATTCAGTAACAAAAGACCAAATAACCCAATTAAAAAATAGGTAAAGGACCTAAAGAGACATTTCTTAAAAAAAGACATGAAAATGGCCAATAAGGATATTAAAAATGTTCAAGATCATTAATAATTAGGGAAATGTAAGTTGAAAATGAGATATCACCTCACACATGTTAGAATGGCTATCATCAAGAAGACAAAAGATAAACAAGTGTTGGTGAGGATGTGGAGAAAAGGAAACCTTTGTACATAGTTAGTGGAAATGTAAGTTGGTACAGCCATTATGGAAAACAGAAAATAATTTAAAATAGGACTACCGTATGATCCAGCAATACCACTTCTAGGTAGATATTCAAGGGGAATATCTGCGCTCCCATATTTATTGTCACATTATCTGCAATGGCTGAGATATTAAAACAACCTCAATGTCCACTGACAGATGAATGGATACAGAAAATATATGTGTGTGTATGTATAATATATATACACATACACACACATATATATACACACAAACACAGAAATGCGCACATTCAGTGGAATTATATGCCACAATTGTATATTACATGCATACATATAGTGAAATATTATTCACCCTTTAAAAAAGAAAACTACCATTTGTGACAACATGGATAGTGCTAGCGGACATTATACTAAGTGAAATTATCCATATACAGAACGACAAATATTGCATGATCTCACTTATTTGCGGAATCTAAAATCACTAGTAGTGATAAATTTTAAAAACTCTTCAGGTAGAATTCAAGCATCAGCATATTTAAAGTTTCTTAAGCAAAATCATGTACGGCCAAGTTCAGAAAACCTGACCTAGTAAGGCATTAAACTAGTAAGTAGACCCAGTAAATGCCTCCAAAACTCAACTTCCTTTTGTATAAAATGAGCATAATAATACTTGCTCTGTTATTCCCAATATATGAGAAAGGAATTTCTAGACCTCAAGGAATAACCACCCCCACCCCAAAATCAAGCTTTAAAGTAAAATCTTGGTGGTAGAGTCTAGATGTTAGGTATCTGGATTTTCATAGTTAAATTCTCTCAACTCTACTGTATATTTGCAGATATTTTCAGTTAAAAATTAGGTTTTGCTGTGTTGCAACAAAAAAATGCTTCCCTAAAATTAGACATTGTTTTATAGCACTTAATAAAATTTAAAAATATTCTTAATCATTTGACAGAGTTGGTCCTAGTTATTTTCTTCACCTCCCCATTAGAGAATTGTATTTCATTGCCCTGGGAACATCAGGGTTGGCCTTGTGACTTCTGGACAATTAAACTTGAGCAAGAATGACATATGCCTGGCAGTTCTGAAGTTCTTGTTATCTCTTTTTCACCATGGCTGTTACTCGTCATGGGGCTATCTTTCCCCAGGGTAGATTTGCTTCTTCAACCTTGATCACTGAATGAAGAGAAGAACTTAAGGTGACCCATAAGGATATGTAAGAGGAACAAAAAAATAAAACACTGTTGTTAAAAGCAACTAAGTTGTAGGAGTCTTTTATTAATGCAACATTAAATAAATTCACCTGATGAAGAAGAAAATAAGCTAACATCCGAGGAAATTAGTTTGTATATGGAGTTTCAAAAACACCTAGTTTAAAAAAAAAATTATGGAATGAAGAACATGTAATTAACTATACAGTTGACTCACAAACAACAAGGATTTGAACTGCCTATATCCACTTATTTGCAGATGTTTTTTTCAATAAATATACTGGAAAATTTATCAGAAATTTGTTACAGTTTCAAAAAACTTGCAAATCATGTAGCCTAGAATATTAAAAAAAGAGGTATACCATAAATCAAAAAATATTTGTAGATATTAGTCTATTTTATCATTTATTACCATAAGATACACAAATTTATAAGAAGTTAAAATGTATCAAAACATGGACACAAACACTTGCAGTGTTTGTTGGTGCCATTTGCAGTAACGAAGTAACTGCAGTAGAGAAATAAATGTAAATAAGCAATATTAAATTCTAACTGCATAAATTAACTCTAGTACAAACTGCACTGCTGTAATAATTTTACAGCCACTTCCTGTTGCTATTGTGGGGATTTCAAATGTGAGAATCTATTTACAATGCCATGCTATGCTAAGCATTGTGTGACCAGTGGTGTCTTCAGTAAATTGCATATTGCAGTAAATGATCTTGCAGTTCTTGAGTATCTTTCCTTGTGTTTAGTTCAATGTTGCAAACTCTTGTAAACTTTGAATAGCATCATGGATCCCATACGAAGTGCCACTAGTGATGCTGGAAGTGCTCCCAGGAAGCAGAGAAAAACCATGATATTACAGGAGAAAACTGAATTGCTTGATACGTACAGAGGACTGAGGTCTGCAGCTGCAGTTGCCTGCCTTTTCAGGAAGAGGTTTATTTTGTAAACAGATGACATATACTTACAGTATCGATACATACAGTTCAGTACTGTAAGTATATTTTCACTTCCTTATAATTTTCTTAATAACCTTGTCTCTTACTTTATAGTAACAATACAGTATATAATACATATACAAAGTATGTGCTAATCAACTGTTTGTGTTATTGGTAAGGTTCAAGAGTAGGCTATTCATAGTTTATTTTTGTGGAGTTAAAAGATATATGTGGATTTTCAACTGTGAGGGGTGTTAGCACCTCTAACCTCCACATTGTTTAAGGGTCTACTGTGCTCTTAAGTTATGTCTGTAGCTTCCTGCATTTAACACTGTCCTTTGAGTCATACCTATTATTACAAGTGAAACCTACCATCTTTTTTTGAAAGATTTACAGTATTGCATTTTAAAGCTGTTTATACTTTCTTTAACCAGTTTTCTAGTTGAAACAAGGTTTTAATCTAAGTTTTATTAATATTAACAAGGCTGCAATGAAAATCTTTGTAAAATTTTAATACAGTTTACTAGGTAAACTTATTTTCGTCTGTTTTCAGGACTGTGCCTTTAAGTGTGCTCTGTGAGCTCATATCTTCTCCATACTATGTAAACGCTTGTGCAAGTCCTTCAGTTTCTCAGTCAGGCTCAATTAATAAAATGTTTTTCAATCATTTATGGTAAGATTGAATAATAATAAATGTCATATCAAAGTAATGAGTTTTCATTTGTTTATCCTCTCCAATTTGGGCCTGCCCCGACTGTGAAATCTGCAGTGAAGTAGATAATAAGATAAGCTTGTCTGTCTTTCTTGTTCTTATTTTTCCATTCCGTAACTGCGGTTTGGGGCCCTTGTAGGTCTGGAGTATCAAGTAATGGAGGAAAGAGAAAGCGTCAGAAATATCTCATTTGACAGGTAGAAATAACTTGCAAGAATTTCGGCTGGTAAGATTTTAATCTAATGCTGTTGGCTTCTGGATGTGACAGAATCCATTATTTATTCTTTCCCTCCTATTAGCATGTTTGAGTTCCTTAACTAGTCCTTCACCTCAAGTTGCTGAGGATCTTTCATCTACAGTATATTTGCCATGGGCAATGCAATCTTCAAATGGCAACTGAAAAATCTTCCTTCCCGTTTGAGTTCCAGCAGCACAGCCCTTTGTAAATGGCATCTCAGAATTCCAGAAGTAGTTATTATGGAGTCAATATCTTTTCCATGGGAAACTTGCATACTTCTGCAACTACAGCCTCAGTATACCTCTGTGCTTGTGCCATCCCATAGGCAGGGGCAGCTGCAATGCCAGCATCTTTCTTTTCAGATGAGAGTGAGACACTGAATGCTGAATATTTTTTAAACCGCAGGTTAAGCACATCAAGCAATCTCGGAAGTTTATTGAAGGCCCATCACTTGGCTTGAGAAAAGTGGCAATTCCTTTCTCTCTCACATGGGGAAAATGTGGAATAAAGCAGTGTATTGAAATATTCTTAAACTCTTTCTCAAGTTATCCTCATTAGTGGCTCCATGAATTACTCAATAAAATCATACAACTTTTCTTGGTTAGTGTGAAGTAGCTGGATTTAGGGCATGAGGATAATGACAAATTGGTACAGAAAATAGGAAAATACAAAAAACGAACACGCATGTATCTTATCGGTTCATAACTTTATAGTTACATGTAATCTGTGTTTCGGACGTATCACTAGACGTATTATTGTTTTGTCAAAGAAAATGTGCACTGTTAAAGTTATTGTCTTAATACTCCCCAAAGAGCCCTCATTCATTTCCATGACAACAAAGAGTTTGAAATGACTTGACCCAGATCCTTGTTTTACTCCATTTATGAAGAATGCTACATTTGTCCTTTGGATACATGAAAACACTATAGTAATTTTTTATTAATTCTTTTAAAAATTAATGAGGTTGCACATATTTTCATTTGTTAATATGTCTTTTTATAGATCTACTCTGAGTTTGTATAGAAAAATATGTACTGCTTCATCTATTTACAGGTCATTTTACAGATAATTTAATAATATTTTAAGTATAATTAAATTTCTCTGTATTTGTGTCAGATTGAATAATAAGGGGGTGTATTGGGCTTTTCTTGCATTTGCTATAAAGAAATACCTGAGACTGGGTAAAGAAAAGTGATTGCATTGGCTCACAGTTCTGTAGATTATGCGAGAATGGCACCAGCATCTGCTCAGCTTTGGGGTAAGTCTCAGGGAGCATTTACTCATGGTGGAAGGTGAAGTTGGAGCAGGCACATCAAGTGGCAGAGGCAGAGGAGAGAGAGAATGGGTGAGGAGGTGCACACACTTTTAAACAACCAGCTCTCATGAGAACTCACTGTCATGAAGCCGGCACTGAGTCACGAAGGATCGGCCCCCATGATCCAAACACCTCGCACCACGCGCCATCTCCAGCATTGGAGATTACAATTCAACATGAGATTTGGAGGGAACACATATTCAAACTAAATTATGGTATAAGTTGTTCAATGATAAAGAGATTAGAGTATTATATATTATTTAATCAATGACAATCATATTGATAATTAAATTGCATAAGCCAGAAATCTCAGCATCATCTTTGATTTATCCATCTTCAAACTAAGAATCTTTGCTACATGCTCACTTTTCTTTATTCCCAGGGCACATCACATGCTTTAGAATTTTGTACATATTTTGACTCAGAAATTCTACATCTAGAAAGTTATAAAACATGTGTTCAATTATCTATGTACAGAAAAACTTGTTGTATAAGTTCTATCGAGCAATTGAGAAATGTTTATGTAAATTAATTTACTTCTATAGTAAATTAAGTGATTTATAGTCTTGCCATAAAGCATTTATTTCAAATGCTCATTTTTTAAAAATAAAATAAAAGATATTTTAAATACAGTATTATATCATTTGCAAAAGCAATTTTTTCCATATATTTTTGAATATATATGCTATATATAATTATATATGTATCTACAGCCAATTCATAGAACATAGAATTTGCAAGCAACATATACAATGTATATAATTATGTATGCATTTATAGGCCCATCCAGGGGACTAGAACTAGATTTAGAAACACATATAATTTAGCTACAGTACTTGGTATATTCTTGCTTTAGGTAATGGGATTATTCATTTTTCTACTGTTTTTGTTCTTTACCCTCTATTGATCATGCAAGTTTCACATGAGAAAATAGTTATATGTGATTTTAATATATATGAACAAAATATTTATAACAATTTGAGTGAGACTAAATATAAAATTAGAATATTAATACAAGTAAATAATAATAATAATCAATTGTGATTTTAGAAAACAGAAATGATATATATACGGTTGTACAACTGCTAGAGATGAACCATGATTTGATTCTTCTTTACACATCAGAACACACAGTTAATAATAGAATTACTAAACTGGCAGGTCAGAAAAAACACAAGTTTTGCAGGAGGTGAAAGTTTAGTATCTTTTTCTCTTTTTGTCTATTTAGAGAGGACCCTGTAAGGTGTAGCAAGTGACATCTTTTCAGAATTGCTTCTTATGAACAGTGGCAGGTTTTATTATGTGGTCTGCTAATACACTCCACGGCCATAAAATAATAGTATGTATTTTAATATTTGAAAACATAAAAAACCTATGACCAATAAGATAAACTAGCACTAAAACAAAAATAATTTTTGAGGAAGTAGGATAGATGGAAAAGGAAATAATTTAAAATAGATGTCAAAGCTTGTGATTCTCCTATATAAAGTTAGATCTTGATTATATCTTTAAAAGGTTAACATTCCCTGTGGGAAGCTCCCTTTCTGGGTAAAAACATTCTATTTTAGAATTACCCATGGTGAAAACCTACATGTGCCCTAAAGAAAAACTATTTCTGAGATATTTAAGTAAGCTATTATTTGGAGAACTCTTCAAAATAGAACTTTTCTTGAAGGTGCACTGAATGTTCAGAAAAATTATTTTAACTGACTCTTTACAATTCTACCATGAAATAATACAGTCTATAAAAAAGATCCTGGAGCAAAATTTAGAAGTATGGAGGAGGGTGTGTATTGTTTAACCAGCTGCTATAAATTTAATGTGGTAACATTGTAACAAAGAATTTTATTGATTTTTTTTTCCAAGTTACTTATCTACACATTCATTGTGTGAGTTCCCAAATTTATTTTACTCTGAATTCCACTAAGAACATATTAATTAACTGATATTTAAAATGGAAGTAAAGAAATATGATTTAGTTTGAAAAAGATTTAACTGAGTACAAAAATTGTGCTGACATTTAAATGCTTTATTGTTGCTTGATTTTGAAAAATGTCACATAAGTTGAAATTTAATTTATTTTATCAACATTTGCAGCTTGACTCTTTGAAACAAAATTTCAGGTTGTGTTCTTCTCCATTGTGTGTTATGTTTATTAATCTAAATATATTATTCACTTGATCTGTACCAATACTATTAAAATCTGTGGGTTCTTATAACAGTTTGCTTAGTTTTTTAAATATAGAAAGACAGTCTGTCACCATACAGGGCACAGGATAGTGAACCTAGCAAATAGCCCTTAATTGGCACTCTCTTTTCTATTTTATGACAGGGAATTAAAAACATTAAGATGAATGTCATTTAAGGAATGTTACTTACAAAGATAGTACTTCATTTCTTAGCTTACTATTACCTTTCTATTTAAATCTGCAGGTGTTCAAATCTGAACCTGAAGACATTTTAATTACTAAAATATCACAACTCCCAGTTCCTCCCCTTCATGAAGTTCTGGGAGAGAATGGGTTTGTGGACACTAGTAATTTCTTTAGATGATGCTAATTCTTTGAGTTATATACTTATATTTTGTGCATTATTTTGCATTAATTCTAATATTAAAAAGAAAAAAATCTCAATACATTCTTTCTATCTTTCTATGCTAAAGCTGATGCTCTATGACCTGATTTCAGCATTTGATGCCTTATAACAGCCTTTATCTATATTTCATGATTTCTCGCCTATGCTTCATATATTGGATTTAAAAGGGCAATTAAATAACATCCCTTGTATCAGCTAGTTATTACTACAAAAATGCTACATGCCACCACGTGCCTGAAAAACCACAATAATTTATTCTCATGGATACAGTTCAGCTGGGAATGGTTGGTGTAGGGTGGGTTTGGCTGTGTGGCTCTAGTTTGCACCTGGGTTTGGTTTGGCTGGGATTAACTAGGGAAGGCCATTTTCCATGTGTTTGTGATAGCGTCCATGCTGAAAGAGCAGCAGCTGAGAAGGGGATCATAATTTGGCAAAATGCAAGCCTCCCGAGGCCTAGACTTGGGACTGGAACATTGCCAATTTCTCCTCTTTCATTAGCAAAAGAACATTCCTTTCTCCTGATTGTAATTCTAAGCCAACTGAAAGAAAGAGAAGAAACAGTCACTGAAATGCAAGCTTTAGTTATGGGCTAACTTAGTTCGATTATGTTTCACCCCTTTATTAGGCTAGCTTAACTCATATGTTTCTGGTATCCCTAAAAAACTGAAGACTCAACTCATTGTGAATTCTGATAAACTTCCGACACTCTAATGCTGGGTTGCACATGCCAAATGTGTTCACATAACTCTATTAGATTAACTACTTTTAATCCTGGGGTGGGCCAAGAAGACAGATTACAGAAAATTGGTACAGAAAGAAAAATAAGAAGTGAAAAATGAATTTTAAATAAAATAAAACATAAATATAATAAAAAATAAAACGTGAAAAATAGATTTACATAAATGAATTTTTAAAAGAAAGAAGAAAAACAGAATAAATGGAACAAAAAGGGATATTTGGATGATGAATAAAGTCGTAAGTCCCTGGTTTAAAGACAATCATGGTGAGAGTTCATGGATACATCCCTCTTGTAAAATATAGTAAAGATATAAAATAGGTTTGATTGTTATTCTTACGGGCACAGAAGTAGAATAGTGTCCACAACCTCTTTAATTCTTGGTGTGACAAAAGAAGTGTGCTTATTCTGGAGAGAATGTTGCTGAATCCAACACAGTTAGCATTCCTTCATACCTTCATACCTTCATAATGTTCAATATGTTTATAGAAAAAAAGCCAATAACGTCTGTGTGGATATACAACAGTGGAAGTTCCTTGACTGAGAAGGTGATGTTCTTGGTCTTATTATTAAGGGTACTCAAATGAGGTTCCGTGCAATTTAGTTCATTCTCAAAGTAAAATAGATAAAGCAAAATATGGGATCAACAAAGTAAATCAAAATACATATAAAATATGTAAATCAAAATACATATAAAAATATTAATTAAATATCTTTGAAAGATCTGCTTCCACTCTGAATAGAGAAGGCCACAAGGGAAGGCTATTCTAACAGTAAGAAAAAATGTGAAAGATGAAAAAGAATGTACATAACAATTTCAGTCCACCAGAAAGCTGTGATCCCAAGGCAATCTTACAAACTGAATTCCAATGAGTAACAAGTTACTCTAAGGAGAGACAAGTCATATTATTTATTTTTAGCTTGGGTAAAGCATGGGAGAAAACAAATGGAAGCCTTAAAAGTGGGTAAGAAAAAAGAACAGAACTGTTAAAAAAAACTTTTCAAAAGCTGGGCAAAGTCTAACATTGCAATTTAGAATTTATATGTGTCCCAGACACAGGACAGCATGCATCTACCTGCCAGGAATTTCCATACGCTTTTGTAGCATCCTTCTGGAAAACACGGGTACAAGGAAAGAGATCTAAGGCTCCCTTCATGGTACAGATATTCAGGACTTTCCAATGTGTGAGGGTAGAGGCAATATACTTTGAAAACATACATCCATAATCTGCTTGTATGTAAGGTGAAGATTGACAACCACTGATTTACAGGCATAAAACCTGCCTGTGCCCTTGTCCTCTACATGATACCAATTAATTGTGTGCTGCTTTTAAGGAAGGGTAGAAAATGTACTCACTCCCTCAGAACTTTTTATTGACACTAGATTACAAGACCCTACTGCTTGTGTAGCAGAAACATGCTTGCTCATGTCCCAAAATCCCTGCTGATTCAAGGCAGAGTTAACCTGCCACAGGTGGGAAGCACAGGAAAAGAACCTGTGCTAAGTACTAACAACCTGCGCTAAGTGCCCGTGGGCTGGCTAGAGTCTGGAGCTCATTCCATGCCTCAGTCCATTTTTGGCAGGTCCGTGAGCTGAGAATGCGTTTTTACATTTTATAAAGTATTTTTTAATTAGTGTATGTGACTAAAAGCTTAAACTACTTTCTATCTGATTATTTATGGAAAATGTTTTATAGCCTTGATTTACAGCCTATAATGAATAGTAAGCATTTTTTGTTTGCCCCTGGGAAATAGGCAGGAGTGTTATATAAGTGTTGTTTCCAAGTCATGGTTACACAGTGCCTACCTAAGACTGAGTCTAAAGAAAAGAGAACTGAGGAACTCCTATGAACTCACTATGAACATTGAATTAAGTAGCACGCACCAATGGGGAAGAGAGATTTCTTTTGTGATGTAGGTGTGCATAGTCCGCTGCATCTGGGGGATGAAGTGGAATACTGAGAAAAACTCTTCAAGCCCTCTAGGCCTCATATCAAGCACAAGCAAGCAACTTAACCCCATTTTTTTTTGAAGTTACTGCTCTGAACACAATGACCTTGAAGCATATGGTACATTGAAAGCCATCACACTAACATAGTCAGTCCTCACTATCTGTGGCTTCTTTATTTGCAAATTCATGACCTTGAAGCATATGGTACATTGAAAGTCACCACACAAACATAGTCAAACCTCGCTATTTGTGGATTATTTGCAAATTCACCTGCCTGCTAAAAATTATTTGTCATTTCAAAGTGCATGCTTGTAGCACTTTTATAGTTATTTGGGACTGCACAGAGGAGTGAAAATTTTGAGTTTCTTGATGCACGCATTCCCAGATGAGGTCAAACAGGGAAATATTCTACTTTCTTGTTTCAGACCTTATATTGTAAATGCATCCTTTCCAAGGATTACTTAATAATACAGTTTTTTTATTCTTATTTTTATTTTGGCCCCTAAGTATTGTGCTAAAGTGTGTTTAGTGTTTGGAAGCAGAAGGCTAGGATGTGCCTTACAGAGAAAATGCCTACGTTAGATTCTCTTTGTTATATTAAATAAGTTGTCTTTACACAGGAAAACAAATGAAACAAAGTCATATATTGATTGGTTAATAAAAATGTAACCAGAAGCTCTCAGGAACCTAGATCTATATTTTTCCTAGAAGCAATGGTTCGGTGTCTGGAAACATTTTAGAACATAACTACTACAGGTAATGATTACTGACTATACAATATAAACCAATTCCAGATCAGCTACAGATTTACAAGATTCCACTCCCGACACTGATATTCAGACAGAAGAAAACACATGTCAAACAGAAATATTATTTCCAGTATCTGTTCTTTTGCACACAGTGTTTAGAATTAAAATGGAAATAAGGCTATTCACAAAAATGCAAAAGAACTACAACCTATTATTAACAGATATAATAGAACAAAAAGAGACATGGAGATGGACCACATGTTCTATCAGAATGAAAACAAAAATAGCTATGAAAAATGTGTTAAATAATCTTGAAAAATAAGACAACATATTTGGAAGAGACTAGGAATTTCAGAACTATAAAACAGGGTAAAACTGAAATGGCAGAAATGAAAAACACAGTTATCAAAGGTGAATTCCTTTGATGGGATTATTACCAGAACTGACGAAGAAGACTAGTATATCAGTTGACGTGAAGATAAACAAATATAAATTCTCCAAATTGAAACATAAGTGAAAAAAGAACAAAGCATCCAGCACCTGTGTAAGAATATAAATGCTCTGTACAATATTTAATAACATAAATGGTCTGTATGATACATACATATAATTGAAACACTGAAAGCAGTGCAAAGAGAGTGAGAGAGAGAGAGAGAGATACATAATCAATTTGAAAGAATTAGAATTTTCCAGGTTTCACAAAAGTAAAAAACCTAGGTGTACCTGAAGCTCAGAGAAACACAAGTAGGATAAAATGATAATAATAACCTAGTGTATTATAGTCTAATTTCTGAAGACTGAAGATAAAAAGAAAACCTTGAAGGCAGCTAGAGAAAAAAGAAATATCACATATTATCTAAATAGGATTAAAATGAGAGCAGACTTTTCTTCAGAAACTATGCAAGTCGGAGAAATGAATCATGAGATAATCTCTAAAGCACAGGGGGAAAAAAAAGAAGTGTTAACCTAGAATTATGTTCCCAGTGAAATAACTTTTAAACATAAAGGCAAATAATTCATTTTCAGATAAACACGAAGTGGGTATTTACCGACAGAAGACATAGACTATAAGTATTGTTAAAGGCACTTCATTAGGCATAAAATTATGATACCTTATAAAAAACAAAATTTATGAAAGTAAATGAAGAACACAAAAATGTTATAACTGTGGGAAAATGTAAATAATTGTATTGGATTTTTAAATTGTATCTAAAGAGAATTGAGTAAATAGAATAAAAAACTGATACTAATAGACAATATCTAAAACAAAATTGGCAGGAGAGTGACCGCAGCAAAATGATGGATTAAGACTTTTCAGCAATTATCTCCTCACAGAAACGTCAGTTTGAACAATTATCCATCCACAAAAATACTTTCACAGAACTAAAGGATGCAGATAAGATGTTACAGTACCAAAGATTAACATGGAAATTAAAATTAATGTATTAAAAATGTTAGAAAGGACAGTTTCAGATTATCTGCATCATTCCTCTCACAAGCCTGGAAAGCACAGTATGGAGAGAGATATCCTTTGCGTAAATAAAGGAGAGTGAATTGAGTATCTGATTTCATCATAAACCCAGCTTCAGGCCTACCACAGAAAACCTGGGGACAACAGCAGCAGAAGACACGTTCTTCTTAAGCACATATGTAACAACCTCCATGATACATCATATGTTAGGCAACAGAACAAGTCCCAATAAAGTTAAGAATATCAAAATCATATCAAATATCTCAGTCAACCACAGTGCAATGAAACTAGAATCAGTAACAGGTGAAAAATTTAAAAATGTATAAATATGTGAAAAATAAACAACATATTATTGGACAACCAGTGGGTTATAGAGGAAATCAAAGCAAAATTTTAAAAATTATTGATAGAAATGAAAATGGAAGCACAAGATACCAAATGCAGCAAAAGAAATTCTAAGAAGGAACTTTAGAATGATAAATTCTTACACTAAGAAAAATGAAAGATCTCAAATAAACAATCTAACTTTAAACCTCCAAGAAGCAACTTAAAAAATTAAGTCAAAAGTTAGCAGAATAAAAGACGTAACAAATATCAGGGAAAATACAAATAAAATTGGAAGTAGAAAAAATATAAATAATCAACAAAACTCAGTTGGTTTTCTGAAAAGATAAATAAAATTGACAAATTTTAGCTTGACCCGCCAAGACAAAAAGAGGGAGGGCTTGAATAAATAAAATTATTAATCAAAGAAGAGACATTCCAACTCATGTAAAAGAAATGCAAATAATTTAAGAGACTACTGATGAGAATTATATGTGGGCAAATAGGATAACCCAGAAGCAATGAATAAATTTCAAGAAATATGCACCCTGCCAAGACTGAACAATGAAGAAATAGAAAATCTAAACAGTTCAATAACAAGTGAGAATATTAAATCAGTAATCAGAAACCTCACAACAACAACCAAAAAAACCCTCAGAACCTGATGGCTTCAATGCTGAATTCTACTAAACATTTAAGTAACAACTAATACCTATTCTCAAACACTTGAAAAACCTGAAGAGGAGGAAAAACTACTAAATTTATTTTAGAAGATCGCCATTACTCTCTCACAAAAGCCAAACAAGAACACTACAAGAAAAGAAAACTACAGGCCAACATCTCTGTTAACATTGATGCACACATTCTCAACAAATTTTTATAAATCTGAATTCAATAGCACATTAGAAAAATCAAACACCATGATCAACTAGGATTTATCCCCTTGTTGCAAGGAAGATTTGACATATGCCAATAAATTAATGTGATATATCACATTTAGAGAATGAAGGGAAAAATAATAGGATTATCTCAGTGGATGCAGACAAAGCATTTTAAAAACTTCATATCTTTTTATTATAAAACTCAACAAATTAGGAATAAAAGGAATATACCTCAACCCGGTAAAGGCCATATATGACAAATCCATAGATAACATTACACACAATGATGAAAAGTTGAAAGCTTTTTCTCCAAGATCAGAAACAAGACAAGGATGTCCACTCTTGTCCAGTCAACCTAAGGGTCCATCAAAGGAAAGATAGATAAAGAAAATGTGTGTGTTTGTTTATTTATAAATTTAATGTAATGCTAACAAAAATACTATGAGGTATTTTCACCTATCAGATGGGCAATATCCAAAAGTTTGATGACATACTCTCTTGAAAATCCTACAAGAATATAGTTGCTTGAAACATGGCTATTGTAAACTAAAAATAATACAACCCCAGTTTCAAAACCCTCGTTTTGAAAGGCATCACTCTAAACCACTCTGCAAATAATAAATTTCCTTGAACTAATCAGAAAACTGAGATTGTAAGGCAAGCGACCAAATTGAAGAATGAAATGTGGTAAGAATATAAGGTTTTGAATCTAAAATGATTGTTAGAGGTCAGAAGATTATATTTTTTTAGGAGGGAAGAAAATAGGTGTGCCTAAAGGGAACATATTTAAAGTGATTTTTTTTTCTCTCTCTCTTATTTATTTGATTTTGGAGATGAGGAAAATGGTCCAGAAACAACACCTGGGAGGAGAGAGAGAACTAATTTCATCTCTCCAAAGTAGAGAAAACACACTGATTTTAGCTAACCCCTATTAAAGGATTCCAGAACATAAACATACATTGGACACCCAGTAAAATTTGAATATCAGATAGATAAGAAATATGTTTGATACTTATGTTCCATACAATAATTGGGATATTCTTATATGAAAACAATTCTTCACTGTTTTATCTGAAGTTCAAATTTACCTAGGCACTCTGCATTTTATCTGTCAACACTATTTAGGAAAAATGTGATTAATTTCACACAAAAAAATCATGTAACTACTCATTTACACTATGAATTGTCACTCAGAAGCTTGGCATTTGAGTAATTTTTTAAAAATATATTGAGAGCAGAAATGAGTTCTATTTCTCCTGTTATCATGAGTTTATGTTACTATGTAACTTTATAATCAGACGTGTTACTAAAAAGACAAAGATGTCAAATATATTTAGTTAGATTAGTATATTATGTAAGGTTCATTGAGTTGCTGGAGAACTTGAGAATCATGACAAATTAAGCTCTTTGGCCATGTACAGAAGTAGAGGGTAGAGTTGATAGATGGGAAGGAAGCAGCTGCAGATTCTAACTTGATTTCTCAATTATATTCATTTTTCTTAGTGGCATAATGAGTATCTAGGGAATGCCTAATGCCAAGAGTGGAAAATAAATAAAGTAGAGGAAGCGTAATGTGAAACAAAAAGATCCAGAAAAGCCACATGCAACCTGAAGAAATAACTCACTATTTTGACCCTCATAATCAATGTATGGTGAAATAAAGGATTAGCAAAGGAGTGGGTACCCATACAACTTCACTCTCCATTGTAATAGGCTGCTGTAGACTTTCCAGAAGTAAATTATGTTTTAGCCAGAATTTAAATGTTATGTTCTATACTATATTTATATTTCTCTCTAAATATAGTATATATATATTTCTCTCTAAATATAGTATATATATATTTCTCTCTAAATATAGTATTTATATTTCTCTCTAAATATAGTATTTATATTTCTCTCTAAATATAGCATATATTTAGAGAGAAATATGTATGATGGTTTTAATTGTTTTAATTGTTTGGTTTAGAGAAAGCAAGACCTAAAGGTTATCGCATAGTGGCTAATATTGCTAACATAACTTGTTTTATTTTAATTTACCCTCTCTCTTTCTCTCCCTCTCCTTCCTCCTTATTCTCTCCCTCCTCTTCCTTCAGATTTTCAGAAAACATGCTTTAAAAGAGAGATTATCATTGCTTGCTATAAAATTCAGGTCTTTAATTGACTCAAGCTTCACTACACAAAAGCATAATCAATGTGCCCAAACATGATTATGCCTGCCTAGTTGAAGAATGCAACCCTTAAAGTAAGAAGAAAACATTTTTGTATTCCTAATGGTTAGTTCATTAAGAAATACTCAATGGCTGAGGAGTTGCTGATAAAATTACTGAAATTTTATAACACTGTGTCCCATTAAAAAAAAAAATCAGCTACATAAACAGCTCTGATTTTTTAAACAACAGAATCATGGTCATGCTTATTTGCTACAATTATTTGTAAGCCCATGGTAAAATAAAAAGCTTCCTGGATCTGAAAAGGAACATTGTTAGAATGATACTAAAATGATCTTAGGTTTCTGTGTCCACCTCCCTGGCCTGGCCTTGATTCAGTTGCACATGGAATCCCTCACAGGGCTTCTCTGTGGATCACATGATGAATCACTGTCTATATCAAACAGTGTTTTACTTTTGTTTTTTGTTTTTGTTTTTGTTTTTGTTTTGAGACGGAGTCTCGCTCTGTCACCCAGGCTGGAGTGCAGTGGCGCGATCTCGGCTCACTGCAAGCTCCGCCTCCTGGGTTCACGCCATTCTCCTGCTTCAGCCTCCCGAGTAGCTGGGACTACAGGCGCCCGCCACTACGCCCTGTTCATTTTTTATTTCACTGTGTTAGCCAGGATGGTCTCGATCTCTTGACACAAAGAAGGGAACAATAGCACCATGGTCTACTTGAGAGTGAAGGGTGGCAGGAGGGATAGAATTTTTAAAAAATACCTATTAGGTACTATGCTGATTACGTGAGCGACTAACCTGTACCACAAACCCCCATGACACACAGTTTACCTATGTAACTATCCTGTACATGTACCTCTACATCTAAAGTAAAAGTTAAAAAAAAAAAAAGAGAAGAAAAATTTAGGTGAGGATAGAACGCTAATGTGAAAAAGTGAATTTATAAGCACCATGTTTGATTTGTGAGGATTGACTCGCAAATCCTAATTTGTGAGTGTATCAGAAAAGATTGTGATCAAGATGCTAACCATAGATGTTAAGATTATGAATCTGTTCTCTCTCATCATTGTTTATTCTAATTATGTTTTCCACAAAGATTTAGTATGAAAATAGAATTGTATAATGACATTGTGTCTTTTCTAATAAAAAATGAATTGACCATGATTTTTTAATTTAACTTTCTCTTGCTGGTTTTGTTTTACCTTACGCCAATTTGGCATTTCTTTTCATGATAATTTGCTAAGTGGTACTTTGTTACCTAGGAGTGCATTGCTTTATGCTTCCAACATGATTCTTTGCCTTACTGATGAAACATACAAGGAAATTAAGCTATCTTCCTTTGCTTTTAGAATTAGATATTAAAGAAAAATGGCATGCGTCGTATTTCAAAGGATGCTCGGTAATAAAATTCAAGGCATCATAAAATAGCATTAGGCATTTGGTTAGAACTGCGTGTACTCAGGCACATCCTGGTCAGTTGATTTTTAAGTAGAAAACAAAAATGTTGGGCACACAAGGCCACTCTGGAGGCTCATCAGAGTCCTGCAGCTGTTGCCTGTGTGAGATGAAACTTCTCCTAGAGTTACTTAAGATTGGCAACAGTTGGTATGACTAAGGACAAGTCGATTTTCCTGCTAGCTCTCTTTATGAACCTTTGTAAAATACACTCTTTGGTTAGTTTGAAATGTGAATATGAAAAGCATGTGTTTCTGGATGAGACAGGAAATATATCTATTTCCTAAGATTGTTTTACTTATGAATTACAATAAAAAATTTTATCCACCAAACAGCAACATCATGATGAAAAAAATTTTCTACATCCTTTTTCAATTTATTTAATTTAATCATGAAATGTTATTTATGCCACTGGAGTTTTTTCATGATGACGGATTTTTACATTTTTATTTATAAAATCTCTCAGGAATAATTTCAGAAACTTAAGAAATATAACCAATTTTACTTCTTAGGATTATTTGAGTACCGTTTAATACATCATCTTGTGAGTTTATCATAGTATGTTCTATGACTTGTAAGGTTATATTTTTTTTCTCAAAGGTTTCTAAGGAAATCTATAGAGATAATTTGCACAATTAATAGAAATATACATATAATCCTTTGGACAAACACATTTTTACATTTTATTTGGTTTTTGTTTAATTTACAAAATATTTTACCATTCAAATTTTTAATCTTATAAAATAACTTGTAAATACCAAATTATTTAAGATTTATGTGTTCTTTGTATACTTTATTGTATTTTATTTGCAGCAATAAATATTATAACTACATTCACATTGATGTCATTGCATAAATATATTTCTGACAATTCCTTGTCTGTATTGTACTTTCTAGCAGATGTAGACTATCATTATAACCTTAAGAAAAAGATGCTATTTCTGTTTCTTGCAAGTTTAAGTTAAATATGTGCAGCAAAGATGGCTTAATAAAGCCAAGAAAATGTAGATTTTCTTCATTTACCTATACACATTTGAGTGTTCAATAACAGAATATGACTAAAATTTGGTGCATAGCTATTTCTCCATAGGGAATAGATCTCACCATCACTCATTATATTTGTGTATAGTAGAACTCTACAGAAAAAAAGTTGGATGATGAATGTTTATTAAAACATTTTGTGATATTTATTATAGTTGTTCATTTAAAAATTATAATTTAAATGTATTTAAATGAATGTATTGTGACCTGTAAAATGTTAAAATATTATATTTCCATTAAAGGAGAAAGATAAAATTATTATTGTAGATAATTTATGACTAATAAAAAATATGGTATTCGTCTAGCTATATTGTAGGGTACAAATTCCTACCACTTTGCATACTCTGTATGCAACACATTATAGATTGTCTAATACATGTAATAATTCATGACTACGCACTCATAATCTATGGATTTTTCCAGTTATTCAATTTATTAGTGGGAATTTATGGTTTCCCTATCTTCTCATTGAAATACTTTCTTCACTTGGCTTCACTTAAAAAAGAAAATTCTAAGCCGGGGGATGGTGGCTCATGCCTGTAATCCCAGCACTTTGGCAGGCCGAGGCGGGCGAATCACGAGGTCAGGAGATGGATACCATCCTGGCTAAGGCAGTGAAACCCCGTATCTACTAAAAATACAAAAAAAAAAAAAAAAAATAGCCGGGCGTGGTGGCGGGTGCCTGTAGTCCCAGCTACTTGGGAGACTGAGGCAGGAGAATGGCTTGAACCCCGGAGGTGGAACTTACAGTGAGCAGAGATAGCACCACTGCACTCCAGCCTGGGCAACAGAGTGAGATTCCGTCTCAAAAAAAAAAAAAAAAAAGAAAGAAAGAAAATTCTAGTTTTTCTACCTCATTGATTACTTCATTTAGTGTACTTCACTATTTTAGCTCACTTTCTCTGTCTCCAAATGGTGTCATGCCTTATTTTCTTCTCTTATTTCTCTCTTTGTTACTGTTTCTCTTCCTAATTTATTCTCTCTATTTATACCTCTCTTTCTATATCATCATCCAGTATTAGGGTTTCTAATACTTTTGACCTCTTCATTACAGACCTCTCCACTGAGCTGTAAATGTTTGTGTATTAAATTCCACACAAATATGTAATTGACATCTCAAGATTCACACATAGAAAAATGTACCAATTTTATCTCTAAATTTTCTCTTTCCACAGTCTTTCCCACATGTATAAGTGGATACACCAATCTCTTTCTACTCAAGGCAGGTATCCTGGGGACTGCATTTACTTTCTTTTTCCCAAATCTCATAACCAATACATCAGTTAGTACTGTAAGCTATATCTGCAAAGCATTTCAAGCATCTGAGTGTGTGTCTTTATCCCACTGTGCATCAAGTGCCTACCTAGTGTCTTTTCTTCTGCACTTGCTCCCCTGGTGTTTATTTTGGACACAGCAGCCAGAATAATTCTCTTAAGCTGTAAGTCAAATCTGGTCACTCATCTACTCAAACTCTCCAATGGCTTCCTATCTCTCTCAGTGAAAAATACCAAAGTCTTCACGATAGCTTACAAAGTTCTACATGTTCCAGGCTCCTGACACCTTTCTTGAGTCATCCATTTGTTAGTCTCCTTTAGATTTTCTGCTTCAGCTAAACTGGATTGTATCCCATTCTTTCCATTGGAAAGGGATGTTCCTGCCTCAAGATTTTTCATTTAAACACTATCCTATCGCTATTTGTCTTCTCCAAGTACATGTATGGCTCATCACTTTCAGGTTCTTAGTCAGTTACTCAAAGATGCTTTAACTAATCGTGTTATTGAAGTGAAATTGAAACTAACCTCCCCAAGCCCAGAAATCACATGTATAATTATAGCTTAAGTCTACTTCATAGCACATTTTCTCTTTGCCATTCATTCATTCATTCGTTCATTCATTCAATTGTTCCTTTCTTTATTCATTTATTTATTTATTTTCTTTGTCTTCTCACTAGACTATAAGCTACATAACAGCAAGAGGTTTTGTCTGTATGCTTCACTGCCATATACTAAGTACCTAGCATTCAATATATAGTAGATTATTTAATATTTATGGAATAAATAAATTAGTGGAACTTATTGGGTATAATATTCTAATTATGAAAGTTAATTTCTTCTGTATCATATCAGAGACTACTACATATATTGCTAACTATATGATCTTTATTTTTATTTTGCATTTTTGCCTAACTGCAAACTCTCTGAGAGCAAGAGCTATCTTATTCATTTTTATGTCTCCACTACAATACTGGGCCACATTCCTTGAACTTAATATATATTTATAAAGTGAATTGGCGGAACCAATTGCAAAGTGCAGGTTAGCAGAGGTAAAAATAATATAGTGTTGACTAGATACATAAGTGCTACTGAGGAAATACTAAAAAGTAATCAATTTAGGTGGTATCAAGAGCCAATTTTTTTCCAGAAATATATAATAATACCCAATTCTTTTCTTTAGCTTACAAGGTCACTTTGAGAGAAGTGAATATATCACCCTGGTGTTTACTCTCACCTATTGATACAGAAATTGCTATGTGAATTAAACATATTGCCAGGTGTAGAATGTCAAATAAATTGAAAAATATAACTTGTTTCCTGCTTATCAAGTGACACTTGTCCTTCCTTTCTATTCCTCAGCACCAGATGTAGAGGACAGCCATGTATTGTGGCCCCACACATTTCTACTTTCAAAGCACACCTCTGCCTAATCTGTTATGGGTCATGAGTACCCCTGGGTATCACCATCTTTGTTTCAAACTACTGCCATTTCTGTTTTACTACTGTTTCTGCCAGAAAGACCATTGCTGGTGGGCCCCACTATCTCTTCCTCTGGGTACAGGTACTTCTTTGATGAGTATTACTATGTTTGCTGCATACCACTTACACATTTTTGGCCCTGCAGCTAAGGAGATGCCACAACTAAAGGCTGTTGATAGATGAGTTCAGGAGAAATGCCTCTTTCCTATTTTGGGGATGTTCTCTTATACTTCAGTCTCTCATGGCTTTAAAAAAGGAATTTTTAAAACATAGATACTTCCCTTTTACAATCTGTCACAAAAAGAAACTGAAGCTGACCAGTAATTGAAAACCGAGTAAAAATATTTTACTGCGATGAAAGCTAGAAGCCACTGTTCCAATGGGAAAGTGTAGGTGGACAAATTTGTTCTGTCTAGCGGCAACTTCCCTTAGGATTTCTCCCTACTAAGTGAAAGAATCTCATCATTTTCTCATTAGACATAAATGATCAATTTTCAACTCTGCAAAGGATGCAGAATTTGGCCCAATCTAGATCCCATCCCCAATTCATAAAGTGTGTTTAATTATCCCTCTTATAAATGTCACAACTACTTTGTGAACTTGATCTCATAAGTATTGTCTTCATTTCAAAGTTTCTTTGATGTTCTAAGCATTGAAGTGATAACTGTTGAGTAATTTAGTGATAGAGTATAATTGCAAGTTTCTATATGAATAAATATAATTGCATTATTCTTTTACAAGAACTCTAAGAGGTAATGCAAGAAAAATATACTGAATGTTACAATGAATTATGTCAGGATAATTACTTAATTCCATAAATTGACTTAAAAAATTATTCTCAGTCTGAGTTTTGAATAACATAAAACATTTAAAATATATTTAGAATAGGCAATTTAAAATAATAGAGTTTCTGGCATAATTTCAGGACAAAAAGTTTTTTTAGTACAGTTTAATCCCTGATTATTTTTTAAAAATTGATTGCTTTTAAAAGGTAGTAATCTTAGAATGTGTGTAAAATAGATGATACTTCTTAAATTTTAAATATCAATAGAGTGCATAGTAAAGATGTATGATATCATAAGAACCACCTGTTCTAATAAGGAGCATTGCACTTCCAGGTGGAAAATCTGGACTCATTTCACTCAGGGGTACCAGACACATAAGAAAGGCGGCTCCTGGGAGCTGAAGATGGGAGCAGGATAAGTAGGACTGATATTAAGAGCACTGATCCACAGAGAATTAATAAGACATTGGACAGAGGTAAAAATTTAAAGTAATTCAAAAGTATAAGTTGATTGAGGAATCAACTATAAAGGACTCATGGGGAGGAGGATCCAAACATGAGAAAATTATACATAAACCTAGAATACAATTCAAAAGCCAGATGTAAAATGAACACATGGACTTAATGGGAGATATTTCCTCAGGCTGCAGCATCAGCCAGAGCTGCTTGTCTAAGGTCTCATAAGCTTCTACCAGAAGACCCACGGAAGAGCATGGTTCTCCATGGTTTTACCAATTTAATTCAGCCACAAAGGAGTTGTTTGTCATTTTTATTATTCCTTTAGAGCCAGAATTGTAGCTGCACAGAAAAAGAATAATTTCTTTACTTATGTGTATGATCATGGGTTGGAAATATTTAATTATATCAGTCCAATAGAAAAATCTGACAAATTGCAATAGGACCTTTCCGTGGTAAATGACGTCCTTCCACTCCAGCTCAAATTCTCAAAAGGAATCTTTAATATTTCCATCTCCCCAACTCGAAGTTACTCATCTAAGCTATTTGATATGTACTCACATTTATACAACATTTTAAAATATTTAATATTTTAAGAGTACGTCAAATATCCCAATCACTATGCTACTTAGGGTATATATAGATGAACTCAAACTTATATTTCTTATCAAAGAACTTAACATATGATGGACTTATCATTTTCTTCCTATTCCATAGATGGCTCTGAAATACTGCATATCTTATATGGATGATTGTGAACATACCAAACAGCTTACTGTGCCCAGCAATATTTCTCCATTATGGCCCATCTACTAATAGGCTAAATATTTGTAATATAGTATTGTTTATGTCACCTTCTATAAAGAAAATGACTGCACTTTAGTTAGGAGTAGGCTGTGGCGTCCTTCTAGAGAAGCATGACTCAGTGGGTTTCGAGTGCAGGCACATAACCCTGTACATTATGTAACCACGCCATGTGAGCCGCATTAGGTGATCACCCACATGAGCTTGTGATTGGCTCTGAGCCACTATTGTCTGTAAAAGGTATAATAAAAGCTGTACATATGGCTCACTCATGCCCAGAGAGAGAGTAAATCCATGTGAAAACTGTCTACAATTCCTCAAGTGTTTTCCAAATTACCTGCCACTTGCCCACCAACTCCCCTCGCACCTCAGTTAGAACCGACAACTGGCATTACGAAGAGGATCCCGAGGTGAGTGAGCCTTCATTCCCTGCTGCTTCTGGGCCAGCCACGTGGCTGCAACATGGGTTGTGGTACCCAGTGGCAGCTGTGCTGCTCGGATGGGCTCCGCTGGAAACCTGAGTGGTGGTAGATGGTTTCCTGCAAGCATGGAGAGAGCGCTGAAGCAGCTGGAAGTACAGAGCGTGGAGAGTGAGTGAGCTTTTGCCAGAAGAGTTGAATAGACATTTTTGACTGTGCTACAAGAAGTACACACCCAGTCCCTCAGAGACGCAGTGCAGTTCAGGGCCCTCCAGGTGCAGGCAGGGCACCTAGAGGCCTAGCTACACAGCTTAGAAAAAGAGATAGATGCTGCCGTGAATGGACACCTCCAGACATAGGCAGGGCACCTGGAGGCCCTGCTACACATCTCAGAAAAAGAGATAGAAACTGCCATGAATAGAGACCTCCAGGTGCAAGCAGGGCACCTGCAGGCCTGGCTACAGAGCTTGGAAAAGGAATTAGAGGCTGCTGTGAATACAGGCCTGGGTCTCTCATCTCAGCCAGACACCCGCACTTGGTCTGATACCAAGGAGGAAGAACCCCCGTTGTGAGCTTGCCCAGTGGTCCATCAGAAGGTAGATCATGAACAGCCATTGGGGCCCCAAAGGCAAACTCAGGGACTCTCCAAGGTAAGACAACATACCTCATATACTGCCTGTACCCCAACTGAGTTGGGGGAATGAGGCAAGCATTGCTGTTATCATCCAGGGGAACCTCTGCTTGCCTGAGTGCTTCATTTGTGGGAAGAGGGAGCAGATAGTATCTCCTGTTCTGCCTCTAAGATGGAAAAGCTGGCCTCTATCATGACTCACCCTTCCCTCCATCAGTGGTTGCAGATGAGCAGGTGGTTGGTGCAAGGGCAAGGTAACCACACTCTGACTGAGTGACTATGGGCAGCCATACAGACTGTGGAACGACACCAGTGAAATACCCAAAACCGTGAGTAAATGGCAGTTGTATGCTGATTTGGTACAAAACATCCCAGAGATGGGTATGCGATAGGCTATGTTTGAGCTGAATACCCAGGGGCCAGATGATGAACATTTCACCTCCCACATGAGGAATATCATGTTGGATTCTGCACCCCCAAGTGCCTTTGGCTCCCTAGCTGCTGTCCTCATCTCATCCTGTACCTACGGCGCTGCATACATAAAGTGACCACTGCTACGGCGGCTCTCGGGGAAGCAGAAGGCTGTCAGTGAAACAGAGGGGTCCACACTGTAAATCAGGGGAGGATATCCCTCCTGCAGGGGTCCCCACAGTGGAAGAAAAAGGAGCCCCAGTGAGTGACACACTCACATGTGTGGATAGATTTGATTTTGGCCAGGGTTGACTATGAGCAAATTGATAAGCAACCTAATAAAGTACTCTTAACTTTGAGGAGATGGTTGTCTCTGGAGGAGCAGTCCCAGAAAATGCCTAAGGGGAAAAAGGACATTGCTGTGTGATCCAGTCCCACCCAGGTGCTGTAGCTCAATGACTACTTTCTGCAGCCAGGTGAAAATATAAGGCTTTTTCTGTTTGATTAGGGAGCTGGCTGAGGTGCCCGGCTTGTGGGGACACCAGATGACCGGAGGCCACGTATAGAATTAGCGATCCAGTGGTTCCCCCACCAATGTACAGTGGATGCTGGCACTGGTGGATGCTGGTGCAGATTGCAGCCTTGTTTATGGGAACCCGGATAAGTTTCCTGGCAATCTTGCTTACGTTTATGACTGTGGAGGCCAGTCAGTGAAAGTGAAACCTGTATCTCTGCTCCTTGGCATCGTCCATTTGGCTCTCCATTTATATGCTGTGTATGTCTCTCCCATACTGGAATACATTCTTCGGGTGGGTATCTTACGTGACCTGGCATTACAAACCATGGCCAGGGAATTCAGACTCTGAGTGCATGTGGTGAAGCCAGTGCTCCGAGGGCATATGCATCATTAGCCTTAGGTCTTGCCTCAACCCCAATTAATATCATTTGCTGGGTTGGCATATGGAGATAACTGAGACAACTAAAAAGCTGGAGGAGGTGCAAATAGTGCGTGGCACCCACAGACCCTACAGTTCTCCAGTGTGGCCAGTTAGAAAGCCTGGTGAAACTTGGTGGATGACGGTGGACTATTGGGAACTGAATAAAGTAACACCCCCTTTGCATGCAGCTGTACTGTCAGTCATGGATTTGATGGACCATTTGACAAAGGAACTGGGAGAGTACCACTATGCAGTGGACTTGGACAGTGCATTTTTCTCCATAGACATCGCCCCAGAGTCAAGAACAGTTCGCCTTCACGTGGGACGGGCAACAATGGACTTTTACAGTGTTGCTGCAGGGCTATGTGCATAGCTCCACGAAATGTCATGGTCTAGTTGTCATGGATTTAGCCACCTGGCTATGTCCAGAAGTGGTCTGCCTATTACATCATATTGATGATAATTATGTTAACCTCTGTTTCTCTTGTAGATTTAAAAGAGGCAGTGCCCCTCTTGCAGCAACATTTGGCAGCATGTTGTTGGGCCATCAACAAATCCAAGGTCCAAGGGCCTGGATTATCTGCCAAATTCTTGGGAGTTATCTGGTTGCGTAAGACAAATGCCATCCAGAGGCTATCATCGATAAGATTCAGGCGTATCCCCAGTCCACCACAGTGAAGCAGCTGCAAACTTTTGTGGGCCTCCTGGGATATTGGCAGGCATTTGTGCCCTATTTGGTTCAAATGATAAAACTGTTTCATATGTTAGCAAAGAAGAGAGCTACCTGTGATTGGGATGATGCAGCTAAGACCAACTTCCTGGCAGGCAAGCAGGCTATTCAGAAGGCACAAGCTCCATGGGTAGTTTACTAGAGGTGCCCGTTTGAGCTGGATGTGCATATGAGCACAGATGCTTTTGGTTGGGGCCTGTGGCAGCTCACAGAGCACTTGAGAATGCCAGTAGGCTTTTGAAACTATGGAAGAGAGCTGACCTCCACTATTCCTTGATAGAGAAACAGCTCTGTTTGGCACCCTTCAGGCTTGTGAGAGTGTGACAGGATGGGCTGCCATCATCATGTGGATGACTTATTCGATAGCAGGATGGGTGAGTTCATGGGTAATGACCCCCTGGACTGGAATGGCACAGACATCCACTTTGGCAAAGTGTGGCGCCTACTTGAAGTAGTGGTGCATGCTGAGTACAAGCCCCTTAGTAGCAGAGTTGCAAGAGATTTTAGGACCAGTAGTCCTAATGCAAGATAAGGTCATGGGGCCTGAGGCACCCCTAGACCCTGAGCCTTCACCATTTAAGGAAGGACATCCCCCCATTCCTGATGGGGCATGGTACACAGATGGGTCTAGCTGAGGTGCTACTGCTGCCTGTATCTCTGTTGCAGCCCAATCTAGTAGTGACACCATATGATTTGAAACCAGGTGTGGACAAAGTAGCCAATGGGCTGAACTTAGAGCCGTGTGGATGGCAATCACCCAGGAGGTGACACCTATGGCAATCTGTACCAATAGCTGGGCAGTCTACTGAGGCTTAGCCTTGTGGTTAACTACCTGGAAAATACAGAAGTGGCTAGTCGGCCACCAACAAATTTAGGGCCAAGCCATGTGGCAAGACTTCTGGGAAACTGGACATCAGAAAGAGACAACTGTTCATCATATGTCATGCCATATGCCTTTGGCCACCCCGGCAATGATGAGGCAGATGCCTTGGCCAAGGTTTGATGGTTAGAGTCAGTACCTAGACAAGATGTGGCCTTGTGGCTACAGCAGAAACTGGGACATGAAGGGGGTAAACTGATGCAACAGGTCAATAAGCATTGGGCTCTGTCCCTACCCACACAAGACATTTGGAAGGCTTGTCAGAAATGCCTGGCATGTGCTCAGGCATACCCTAGATGGAGGCAGGTGCCCAGTGTTACACAACAAGTAACAATAAGGTGAGTGGCCTTGACCAGGTGGCAAGTATTGGGCCCCTGCCAAATGCAGGGGTGGCCAACCAACAGCACACCATCCAGGCCCTGCCACACTTATTCACCCTCTGGCTGTTGAGAATGATAGGGGAACACATTTCACTGGAAAACAGGTACAACAATAAATATAATACATGGACAAAAAGTGGGGATTCTATGTGTTATACAACCCGCAAGCTGCAAGTAGGATTGAGTGATATAACGGGCTCTTGAAGAATGGGTTACACTTGCATGTCACATTCTGTCTTTGTGGGGCTGGAGTTCCAGGCTGGACCGGGTGCTCCAAACCTTGAATGAATGGCCACGGAAAGGTGGCCCGTCCCCAGTGGAGGCTTTGTTACACCTGGCTGCCACCCACATTTAGTTTCAGATACACACCAAGGATGGCTCCTCCAACCAGGTATGGGGATGAATGGTAACCTGTTGCCTGCTCCAATGCCCTTGCAGGTAGGGGAATAGAAAACCTGGCCATGGCCATGGACCCTCCAAAGCCCCCATTGCCGGTGGTTGGCCATCGTAGCTGCCTGTGGGGAGAATCTACAGCATGACTTTCATGTCACTCCTTGGGTGTTCAGTGCATGGCCCCCGTGGTTGACTGTTTATAGGGAATAGCCAGGGAAGGATCCCTCCTCTAGGGGACATATGTACTGTCTGTGTGGCTTATTATGATCTCCCCCATGACTTTGGCATAGACACAGGACTTAAAGGAACCATGGGAGCTGAGAAGGTGTGGTACCATTGCCCAGGGCAGAAGCCCTTAGAGGCTGCATTGTTATCCAGGGATGAAAGGTTAGCCTGTATTTTGCCTGAGGGATGTGATTTATCTCCATTAGTACCTGTGTCTTCTCTGTCATTTCATCCATAAGTTAACATGCTCCAACTGCATTGTGGATTGGCCCCACACCTCTGCTGTGGTGACCAAGGTTTCCAACTGTTGTATCTGTACCTCCCTTCAAGCAGCAGCTGCAGATGGCTTGCCTTAGCACATACATTCAGTGCCTGCAGAGAACTGGAGATGGCTGGAGACTTGGGGTTCCATGGCCAATGCCTGTAATGCAATGTGACAAGCTTTGGACAAAGCATGCCACAAGACGCATGCATGCCTGCCTCCTGGCTGGCCCACAGCATTTATGATGTGTGGGGCTAGCTAATTGGGAAACATGTGGTACCCCCAGCCCAGGCACCACAGTGCATAGAGCAACACTGGGGCAACACCACTGTGGGGCGGGTACCCATCGTGGCCTGTGTAAACATAACAGATGTCGCCACACTGAAGGTATGGTGGAACGAGTGGCCCCACCAAGGTCAGGCCCTGATAGATTTTGTGCCCCCTGGGAGTTTATGGGTCTCTTGGGACAAAGGGTGGCTTACTTACTTACCAGTGGATTGAACTGGATGATGTACCTGAGGGTGGCCTTATGCACCTGCCACTGTCCTCCCCATGTTGCCCAGATGCCCACATAACTGGGAGGAGGTACAATGCTCTTGGATTTTGTGAGTGTGATGAGCCCCTTGGTGATTCTACCCCTTGGCAATGACTATCCCTGGCGCAGGTGCCATAATAGTAGAAGCACAAGTTACTGCTCTTGCAGAGCATACCGCTCAGATTCTAAATTACACCTGAGTGGTCCTCCTCTTGTTAAAAGATGAGGTTGACCAGGTCAGAAATGTTATGTTGCAAAACTGAATGGCCTTAGACATAATAATTGCTGCCCAAGAAGGCATCTGTGCCCTTTTAGGAACACAATGTTGTACCTTTATCCCTGACAATTGGCAGAATATAACAGCAGCCTTGCAAGGGGACTCATGAGAGATTAAGGTGGTCAAGAGCCTTACTGACGACTCCCTGCAGAGATGGTGGGAATCCCTAGGCTCTGGCCTATGCTAGGCCTTAATAGTCATAAGTTGCATAGCTTGGATCCTGTTAGTGAGCTGTTGCTGTCTGTATTGTTGTTGTGGGTTATGGATTCAGGGCTTCGCCCTATTGGCTCGTGTCCCTGCCCAGAGGAAAACCTCAGCCTAGAGGTTGGAGTGTAAGGGAATGGCTGTGCTTTAGTCAGGAGTAGGCTGAAGCAGCCTTCTAATGCAGCATAACTCAGCAAGTTTGGAGTGCAGGCATACAACCCCACACATTATGTAAGCATGCTATGTGAGGCACATTAGATGATCACCCATGTTAGCTCATGTTTGGCTTGGAGCCATTATTGTCTGTAAAAGGTATAATTATCCTGATAACACCATATATACGGCTTGCTTGTACCCAGGGAGATAGTAAATCCATGTCAAAACTGTCTATGATTCCTTGAGTGTTTTTCCAGCTACCTGCCACTTACCCACTCAGTTAGAACCTGGCACCCTCCATCCTGAGAACCTTCATTGTCTTCTCACTGACTGAACCCTGAAGACCGTATTTAACCTTCAAGACCTTTCACCCTCAAGTCCACGTTCATATTTATTTAACCTTCAAGACCTTTCACCCTCAAGTCCATGTTTATATTTTCAGACTAATCTGCCCATTTCTTACCCATAAACAATTCATCTATGGAAAAATTTTCTTTTTATTATTTGAAACTCCAGATGCTTAATGCCCATTCTCTTTTTAACAATAGCATGTTAATCTACTCATAGTCCCTTTATGTATTTTGATTTTTTTGTGTGGCAAAATATATATAACATGAAATTAGCATTGCAACCATTTTAAGTATACAATTCAGTGGTATTAAGTGCACTCAGAATCTTATACAACCACCATCACCATCTATTTATAAAATATTTTCATTATCCCAAACAGAAACTTCATAACCATTGAGCAAAACCCCCCAATCTCCAATCCCATGGCCCTTGGTAACCTCTCATCTACTTTCTGTCTTTACAAATTTGCCTGTTCTAGATATTTCATGAGTGGCATCATATGATATTTTTCTTTTCGTGTTTGGCTTGTTTTACTTAGCATAATATTTCCAAGGATCATACATACTATAGGATGTTTCACTCCTTTTTAAGCCTAAATAACACATCATTTATATATACCACCTTATATTTATATATTCATCTGTTGATGAATACTTGGGTTATTTCAATTTTGTGGCTATTGTAAATAATGCTGCTGTGAACATCAGTGTCATAAATCTCTTTGAGAATCTACTTTAAATTATTTTAGATATATACCCAGAAGTGAATTGCTGTATCATGTGTTAATTTTTTTTGTTGTTGTTTATTTTGAGGACTAGCACACTGTTTTCTGTAGTGGCTGCAACCATTTTACATTCTCAACCACAGTGCACAAAGTTTCCAATTTCTCCATATCCTCATCAACACTGGCATACAAGTAACTGCGTGAGTTCCTGTTTTCAAATTCTTTGGGTATATACTAGAAGTGGAATTGTTTAGTCATATAGTAATTCCGTGTTTAGGTTTTTTAAGAAAAACCTCTAAACTATTCCACATAGGGGCTTCTCCATTTTATATTAACACTAACACAATATCTTCATGGAGTTGCCCAAACTTGTTATTTTCCTTTTATGTTTTTTTAATTTTTTTAAGTTGTTGAAATGATGTAGGATTTTTCTCAGCCATTTTGCCAGCTTGAGACCTCCAGCTGGAGATTTCCAGCCAGCAATGCCCCTGCTTGGCCCACATTCTCCACAGGAGGTGCCCCAACCACTCAGCCACTGGGCCACACCTAGTTTGCACTCTGGCATGAATCCTGCAGCCACCATGATTATGAGCTCAGCCCCCAGATGAAGAGGGTGTGTGGGCAAGTGAGTGAAGGGTCTGGCCAGCTGCTTCAAGTGCTGGCACAGGAGTGGGTTCCATGCAGGGCTTACAGCTTGACCAAGCATGTTGCAAGTGACTTCCATGGTGGACTCTAGCATCTAGACAAGGGGAACGTGAAGGCACTCAAGCAGGGAAGCCCATGACCCAGAAGTCCCAGAGTGGGTGTTACAGTGTGAATAATAACTCTTTTAGTCCCACTGTCCACAGCCCAAGACACAGTGGCAAGTTAACAGCTCTGTCAGTCCTGTCACCCCACTCTGGCCTGAGGCACCTGGGTTGGCTCAGCCCCAGCACTGCTTTCCATGGAGTGGGGCAGCCCCCTTCTGCTGGTGGAGGGTGGAGGGCCACAGCATTACTGCTTTCTTTGTACCTGTGTTCAGCACGGTCCCGAGTTGTTGTTCTGAGTCCAAGAAGAATGAGCTTATGCTGACAATCGAAGGGTGAGGAGAGAGGATAAAAGTTTCACTGAGTGATGAAACAGCTCTTAGTGAAGAGGGAATGTGGTCAGGTGGTCTCTCCCTCAGTGTGGCTGGGTCCAGGGCTTTTATGGGCTCAGAATGCGAGTGTGCTAATGCTGATTGGTTTATAAGTATGCAAAAGAGGCTAAAAGAAAGCCATCATTCAAAGGTGCACATGACAGTGTAAAAAAACAATTAGGGAAGGATACGTATATGTAAAATAGGTGCAGGGTGGGGAGCAATAAAAAAAAAAAGTGCACCAAATGGGGATAGAGGTGCTCAGTCTGGTCTGTGGATTTACCCAAGACTTGTAGTTAGGCTTCAAACTGCCTTCAACTTGAAGGTTGGGTTTCACTGGGACCCACCCCTGTCTGCCTAGGATTTGTCTACCTCCTGCCTGTATTGCTATCAATAACCATCTTAGGAGATGAGGTGTGAGTGGTTTCTCCTTGAGGTTTTAATTTGCATTTCTGTAATGACTAAAGATGTTGAAGATTTTCATGTTCTTATTAAGCATTTGTTTGTCTTGTATGGAAAAATGTCTATACAAGTCCTTTGCCTAATATTCATTGGGTTTTTTTGTCATTTTGTTCTTGACCTGTAAGAGTACTTCATTCAATATATTAAGCTCTCAAAAAATATACAATGTATACATATTTTAAATCCCTAATAGGTTTTATTTTCACTTTCTTGATAATTTTATTTGATGCACAAAAGTTTTCAATTTTCATGAATCTTAATTCATCTATTTTCACTAATGTTGCTTCTTTTTTGGTGATATATCAACAAATCCATTGTTTTATCCAGGGACATAAAGTTTTATGCCTAGGTTTTCTTCTGAGGGTTTTATTGGTTTAGCTCATGCATTTGTTGATTTTTGAAAAAGGTGTAAAGTGGGGTTCAACTTAAATCTTTTGCTTGTGGAAATCCAGTTATCTTGGTATTATTTGTTGAGGATAGTTCTCCTTCTCACTGGGAAACATAACTATCTTTTAAAAAAAAATCAATTGTCCGTATATGTGAGGGTTTATTTCAAGACTTTTAATTCTAATGAGTTAATATATTGTTTCTAATCTTTGTGCCAGTTTCACACTGCTTTGATTACTGTTGCTCTGTAAAAAGTTTTGAAATTGAGAAATATGAATCCTCCTTTGTTTTCTTTTTCAAAATTGTTGTGGGTTTTTGAAGTTTTTTGCAGTTCCGTATGAATTCGGGGACAAGCTTTTTCATTCAGGCCTAAATGGCTGTTAAATTTTTGATAGAGAGTGCATGAGGCCAGAGCTTACTTAGGGTGGTATTAACACAAAAATATTGTCTTCCTACCAATGAACATAAAATATCTTTCCATTTAATTGAGTGTTTTACTTTCTGCAATATTTTCTACTCGTCAGTGGTATCAGAATAACGTTGGACTCATGGAATGAGTTAGGTTGTGTTTTCTCTTCTATTTTGTGTAAGCGTTTCAGGAATATTAGTGTTACTTTAAAAATGTTTAATAAAGGTCACAGTAAAATCTTTTGATCCTGGACTTTACTGGGAGGTTTTCAATAACTGACTCAATCTCTTATTATAGATCTGTTGTTCTCTATTTATTCTGAGTCAGTTTGGACAATTTGTGTGCTTATAAGATAGTTTCTATTTCATCTAGATTATCCATTTTTTGATATACAATTATTCGTAATATATTCTTATAATCCTTTTTATTTTACAAAGTCAATAACTGTACCCCACTTTCATTTCTGATTTTAGTTATTTTTGTCTTTTCTGATTTGTCAGTCTAGCTAAAGGCTTGTTAATTATTTAAAAAGTATTTTCAAAGAACCAACTTTGGTTTCTTTTATTGTATTTATGTTCTTTCTTTTTATCCCCACTGTATTCTTATTTTTGTTTGTTTATTTCTTTTTTGGCCACTTTGGGGTATAATTTTCTGTTTGTTTCTGGTGGCTCAAGGTATAAAGTTTGGTGATTAATTTAAACTTCTTCTTCTTTTTTAATGTAGTTATTTGTATTCATAAATTTTCCTCTGGGCACTGCCTTCTCTACATTTATTAAATTTTGGCATGTTGCATTTTTTGTTTTTATTCATCTTATTTTCTAATTCCCATCATTATTTCTTTTTTGACATATTGGTTGTTTTAGAGAGTTGTTCATTTCCATGTATTTGTTAATATTCAAGTTTTCCTTCTGTTATTGTTTTCCTCTTTCATTTTCTTATAGTCAGAAAAGATACTTGTAGGATTTCAATCTTTTTATTAATAAGTTTACTGAGACTTGTTTGGTGTCTAACATGTGATCTATTCTGGAAACATATGTTCTATCCTAGGGAATGTTTGTGTATTAAAATATCTTAAAGAACTTCAGTCTCATAGAAGGGGAGTAGAAATGTGGTTGAAAGAAAATTGTGTGGGTAGTGGGATAGAAAGGGAGAGATGTTCGTCAAAGAATAGAAGTTTCCCGTGAGGAGGAATAAGCTTGAAGAGCATTGTGATTATGTTTAATAATATACATTGTAAACTTGAAAACTTCTCAGATAGTAGACCTTAAATATTTTTAATACAAAACGTGATAAATATGTGAAGTGATCGATAGGTTAATTAGCTTGATTTAATCATTTCAGAGTGTATGTATATATCAAAACATCATAAATATGTACAGTTTTCTTTGGCAATTACACTGCAGTAAAGCTGAAAAATAGTCATATTGTCTTAATGAATTGGCATTATTTTCAGCATGTCTTTCTATGTGTTTTGCAACAGTTTTTGACTTAAAGTCTTTTATGTCTGATAACAGTAGAGTGACCTCAAACTCTTACTTTGTTACCATGTGCATGGGATGTCTTTTCCTATCCATTCACTTGCAATCTATATATGTCTTTAGATTTGAAATGAGTCTTGTAGATAGGACACAGTGTAATCATATTTGTTTTTCATTTTTCATTTAGGCAATTTCTCCCTTTTGATTAGAGTTCAAACCATTTGCATTTAGAATAATTACTGATAATGAAAGACAAAACTTCAATTTTGCTTTGCTTTCCATATGTCTTTTACCTTTTTGTCAACTATTTCCTCCTTCCCTCCATTATTGTCTTTCTTTTGTTTAGTTGATTTTGTGTAGAAACCATTTTAATTCTATTCTCATTTCCACACACACACACACACACACACACACACTAAATGTAAATTGGTGGAATGTGTTAAAATCATTATATTTACATATATAATTATATATCATACATAACATATATTACATACAAATTAGTATATATAAATCAGTATATATAAAAGTACATATAGAAAATAAAGTATATATTACAAAGTATATATTACCTATATAATAAAGTGTGTGTGTGTGTATACACACACACATACTTTTTAAAGCAACATTGGGTTTACAGAAAATTTGAGTGGAGAATACAGAGTTCCCTTATACCATCTCACTCCCAGCCAGTTTCCTCTATTAACATCTTGCATCACTGTGGTACTTTTTTTTAACCATTGATGCACCAATACTGATATGTTATTATTAACTAAAGTCTACAGTTCACATCCTCAAATGCGTGTCATCACACGAAGAGGTGTTCTGTGTATAGACTGGAAGGTAGTAAATGTGTGTGAAAGAAGTGAAAGTGAAAAAATAAAGAAGCCAACACATAATGCACACCTACTAAGCTCAGAATACTGGTAAAGATATTTTCTTATTGTCAGGAAATATCAAAATAGAAGTTGTAAGTAAGAGAGATATTTGTTCATGAAGACAAATCTCCAGTTAATCTTACATCTGGGGATGAAGAACTTTTGGCCTTTGTGGTACTTTTAAAGTTAAGAGTAGATTCTAATTATGTGAGGTCTCAAAGAGAACTCCATTTGGAGAGATTGCTATAATTTAATTACACCATATATTTCATAATGTATAGTTATCAACTAAAAGATATAAAATAATTATTATGTTTATGAATTGAAGTTCAAGAAAACAATATTAATTGTATTATTGAATTATAGTTTTTATCTTTATAGGCATACTTTACAGATACTGATATAGCCAAAAATATTTATGCACATTTACTCTTATAAAAGTTATTCTTGGTAAACAAATATATCATATCAAGGGTGTTAAAGTAAGATCACCAGGGAAAAAATTAAAGAGAGAGAGAGAAAGAAAGAAAGAAATTTATTGGCTTATAAAAGAAGGGATACTGGGAAAGTGAAACATATACTTTGTGGCAGACAGATGTGGTTTTATGTATTAAAGACTCCTATTTACTAATTTATAAGCTAAAATATCACTTTGTTGCCATTCTAGAAAGGCACCCTTGTGTTCTGGAGAGGAATGATAATTTTTCTCTTTTTCAATGTTTGCAATTCTTTATCAGTTTTTTTATGGAATTTTACAAGGGCTATGTTAAGTATTAGTGGCATCCATTGGCTGTTCTCACTTCCTTAGCAACTTGCCCCTTGAGTTCCTATTGTCCTAGTAGTAAGTTCTAGCACTTACAGAAATGTAGCTTTACTGCCTTTTCTTTGTACATTCAACACTAAACTGATCATGGCATTTTCTGTTTCCTCCATGGTCTCCAAACCAGGGTCCATGTTTTCTCTACCACTTCATTTTGATCCCAGACAATTTTATCTCCTGAACTCAGAAATTTTTTGCTGTTTTACCCAGAGCAGAGTTTTCTATTGTGGCTTTGCTCTTCTGGAGCCATTCCACTCCAATGAAAATAAATGTATATTAGTCTGTCTTTTAATTTTCATACATATTGTCATTTGTCTGTTTGGTATTATTAACTGAAACTGCAGAAAGAAGTGCTGAGAAAGTTATATTTGGGATCAACAGCATTTCATTACAATCTGATTTTTCATCGTAACTTAAAAAAGGAACTTGAACAAGGTCTTTGAGCCTCAATAAATTGGCCTGCAAAGTGGGGATAATACAAGCTGTGATGATTAAAGATGATACTGTATTGTCTTTCTCTTATTTAGAAAGCTTCCCCTTACCTTCCTGGCAAGATTCTTCTCATTAGCTAGGTCCCAGTTGACTTCCCACTTTATTTGTAAAATATTTCTCTTTACTCGAAGCATAATTAATTGCTGCTGCTTCTGTGCTCCCACAGCACCTATTCATAAGCACTTATCACATTTTTAGCTACATTCCAGATTGCCCTTAGCCAGCAACAATTTGTGAACATTTTTTTAAGGCCAGCAATGGAACCAATTTATCTTTAAAAACTTAGAACTTTTCACTTTACCTATCATAGAAATAAAAAGACATTCACTGAATTTCGATTGAATTGTCTCCTCTGCAGAAAATCCAAATACTTGGTCATTTTATGTTCAGAAAGTCGTTTGCACCTCTTCAGATCAGAGATAAGGAGTAAAGTGACCTCAGTAATCAAGCCAATAGGCCACCCCGCCATGTCTGCTCTCTCAGTGCACACTTCCCAAGTTAACCAGAATATTAAGGCTAGTTTTTCAGGGAAGGTGCCCTCTATATTTGACAGTAGTAGAGACACATGGAGGGTATTTATACTTCTTCAATTTTGTATTTTGTACATTCTGAAGACAATTTATTTTCTTAATTCACTTCATTATTTCAGACAGTCAGGTTCTAATATAAATGATTATCAACAGCTATCTTTTTTTATTCATGTTCCATCTGTGTGCACAATTCATTCACAAAAGAATCCTGAATACTTTTCAAGCAACAAACTATTTCTAAGAAAAGTCCCATTTCCATAAATGCACGTACATTCATTTAAAAAACATTTCATTAATTGTACTTCTCAAAAGACAGTATTTTGCAGGCAGTGGCTTTAATTTTGGGGAACTGAATGTTTAGATCATGCAAAGAGCATAATGAGTGAGGTTGGGTGGCATGATATAATAAAAATGTTGAATGATATATGTTAGATTCATTCACTTAGTGAAACCCTTTGTCTTGGAAGAAAATATGGGGTGAAGATGATAGAAAACTTTCGTTTTTGCAAAATAAGTGAAAATTAGCCAGGGTTTTTGAAAAATTGTTTTTGGGGTCTTAGTCAAAGTCTTTTAACATATGAAAACAACAAGGAGGAAAATACGTAAATTTAATGTGTATGTTCAGTTTTCCTGAAAAATTCAGTTTTGAAAAAGTCTACTAAAATATAACAACCAAAGGAGACAATAGATCTTGTTCAAGGCAGATTGATGGCTATTGCATTGCTTTTTGCTTGTGTCAGCTAACCCTGGCAAAAAGAATCCTTTTGCTATTGGGGTGAAACCTGTAAACTTGGATGTTTTCTTCCTTGCTCTAAAAATCTTGTTTATACCTTGTGTCTTTTTCCATTCATCACAGCTATATTTAAATGTGGGTAAAATTTTGGAATGTTTGATTTTTATTATACCAAGGACATTTATGTTTAACCTGACTGTGTAATTAATAATTAATTGTAATTAACAAATATTCTTCTTTGTCCATGTGTAGAAAATACTTGTTAATTTGAAAAACACACCTTTTTGATTTGACATTTCTCTGCTTTTAAATTAAAACAAAACATAAAAGAACCAATTTTTGTAGAACATGTTAAAAACTAATGCCACTAATTTTCATTTGTAGTTTACATAAATAATCTTTATACATTACATGCAAACTACTTGCCTATGTACATAAAAGCAGTAGGCATTATTCTATATTCTACGTTGTATATATCATTATGCTGATATATGAAATATGTACATAAGATCTACAGTATACTACATGCAGGGGCATGGGCTTCAAAATTGTATGATTAGATAATGTAAAAATATTCAAACAACTACAATGTAAGCTTGATTTAAAAAGCTCTGTCATTTATGTTGCGTTTACTATATATTTAAGTTGGACTGTTGTATTTAATAAATTAGAAGCATTTTCCTTTTATTGATGAGTAGTTTTGTGTGTCTGTGTGTGTTTTTTTTGTGTGTGTGTGTGTGTGTGTGTGTGTGTGTGTGTGTGTGTGTGTGTGTTGTTTTGGAGATTTAGTCTGACTATGTCACCCAGGCTGGAGTGAAGTGGTACGATCTCCACTCACTGCAACCTCTGCCTCCCAGGTTTGAGTGATTCTCCTGCCTCAGCCTCCCAAGTAAATAGGATTATAGGTGCGTGCCATCATGCCTGGCTAATTTTTGTATTTTTAGTAGAGACGGGGTTTCACCTTGTTAGCCAGGATGGTCTCGATCTTCTGACCTCGTGATCTGCCTGCCTCAGCCTCCCAAAGTGCTGGGATTACAGGCATGAGCCACCGCGCCCAGACGAGTTCTCTTTTTCTCATCATTACCAGCATTTGATATCTTTTGTCTTTTTGATAATAGCCATTCTAAGCGGGCTGTGGTGATATCTCATTTTGATTTTCATTTCCCTGATGATTAGTGCTGTTGAGCATTTTGTATATATATGGGCTAACAAAAGGCATGATTAGGGCTAACAAAGGGATTATTATATACTATATATATAGCAATATATATTGTATACACTATATATATACACACACACTATATATATATATATATATGTATATATAGTGTGTGTGTGTGTGTGTATGAATCTCTTTGTTAGCCCTAATGCCAAAGGACAGTTACACTTTGTTGCGTAGTACAATTGATGATGACTTCAAGTTATTTATCTATTCTAGCTCTGCCAAATTGAGGCTTAGGCTTAATGTTCTCCTGACTCCATGGTTAATTTGATTGTTATGATAAATCAATAGGTACATGAAAATCCGAAATCCAAAGCTTAAAGCACCATCAGTGCTCTTTGCATCAAGACTCTTTTTTTTTTTTTTTTTTTTTTTTTTGAGATAGGGTCATGCTCTGTCCCCCATGCTGGCCATGCTGGAGTGCAGTGGTGCAATCATGGCTCACTGCAGCCTCAACCTCCAGGCTCAAGCGATCCTCTTACCTCAGCCTCTCTCGAGGAGATGGGACTACAGGTATGCGCCACCATGCCCAGCTAATTGTTGTATTTTTTGTGGAGATGGGGTTTCACCATGTTGGCCAGGGTGATCTTGAATTCCTGGGCACAAGCGATCCACCCACATCGACCTCCCAAACTGCTGGGATTACAGGCATAAGACACCACAGCTTGCTGAGGACTCTTTCCAAATGATTCATTGTAGATATCACACTTTTGGAGACACACTTCTCCACTTCAAGCATCTCCCACATGTGATCTGTTGTCTTGCATGTAAACAGAAAGAGATATGCTAGATAGAAAAACTGTAGTATGGTGACCTCAAAAAAAATATACTATAGATCTAGGTGGATAGATATACATATAGATATAGATAAATAAAAGGCACTTCAGATTTGGGGTTATAAAAACTGTAAGACTGGGATCAGCGAAACGTAATGTGGGTATCAGAAGAGGCAACCCTTTACCACTCTTTAGCATGTTAGACTTGCTTTTTCACATGTAAGACAGAATTTAGCAATATCAGTTTTCAATCGTAAATTCAATTTTAATTATAGTGGTTAAGTAAGGAAATTTACCCCCAGATTCGAATAGAAGTTTGTCTTCTAATCTCTTTGTTTTTATTGTTGCAAGATTAATTTAAAATAATCAATAAAATCCTTATTTATTGATGTGCTGTACATGTTAGGCACTGTTTCAAAGAAGTTTTACACAGTATTTGATTTGTTCTTCACAATGCCTAATGTAGTGGATATTTACTTATCTGCTTTTTTTGTTTGTTTGTTTGTTTTGTTTTGTTTTGTTTGAGACGGAGTCTCCCTCTGTCGCCCAGGCTAGAGATCTCGCTCTGTCGCGATCTCGGCTCACCGCAAGCTCCGCCTGCCGGGTTCATGCCTTTCTCCTGCCTCAGCCTCCCGAGTAGCTGGGACTACAGGTGCCCACCACCACGCCCCGCTATTTTTTTTTTTTTTTTTGTATTTTTAGTAGAGACAGGGTTTCACCGTGTTAGACAGGATGGTCTCTGCCTCCTGACCTCGTGATCCACCCACCTTGGCCTCCCAAAGTGCTGGGATTACAGGTGTGAGCCACCGCGCCCAGCCATTTATCTGCATTTTTTAAAAATACAAACCCAGTATTAGAAAAATAAACTTACCTACAATCTTACAAATGATAATTGTGAAGAATTAAAACCGAACATTGTTCAACTTCATGTATGTGATCCCTGTACTCTTATGAGTCCTTTATTTTGTTGTATGCTTTTATATTCTCTTTTCTGAGACTTCTGTGGTTGTTCTAGTGAAAAACAAATTGATAGGGTGTGTCATGAACTTCTAATTAGATGTCCTCTTGAATCTGAAGAAAATTTGCTAAAGTAAACTTCTGAGATTCTAAGTTATTTATTCAACTTATCTGCTAGAAAGATGAGTAATGACCAGTCTTTTGCATTTTATTGATTAAACCACATATATAAATAGATTGACAGATAAAATCCAAATATTAGTGATGAATATAAAAACCAAATTACAGTCCATTATTTGACCAAGAAGTGAAACTTTGAAGACAAATAAGTATATAACTGTAAGTGATAACATTTGAAATTTAAAAAAAGGTGTCCCTTAAAACAAATATAAATGAAGAAAATTCTTAAGTGTGAAAAACCAGTGTGAAGAAAGCTTTATATGGCTAGGAGCTATAAATAATAGAAGCAAAATGTAGTAACTAATGCAAAAATTGTACAAAAGGATTATATTTTAAAAAGATAATATTTTAGTAACTATATATAATAATTTTGAAATTCAATATTTCACTAATGTTTATTTTTAACATATTGTATCATGGACTTAGCAGTTTAGGTAGAAAGCTCTGTGAAAGTAAAAGTTATCCAGAGGCTATAAAAGAGCTTTCAAAATTCAGGGACATTTTCATAAGCCACCTCAAATTCATAAAGCAAACTGTCAATGGGATTGAACAGCAATATTTACCTACTCAGAAATATTTTCTTTCTAAATGTAAAGGGTAGTGAACATATCATTCAGTACAACTACTTGCTTGAAATTGTTGTAATTACGATTTCTGTAACACAGCATTAAAACATAGATTTAAGAAATCAGTATTTGCAGGTGCCAGACTCCAAGAAGCATTTTCTTGGAATATTGAATACATTAAAGTCACAAAATTGACAGCCTGGATAACTTTTATAACTAGAATGTCAGCATCCTTTTGCATTTTTAAAACATGTGAGGGATGGAATTCATTTTCTTACTTAGATTCCAGCTGTGGGAGGCCCATGGGAGCTTCTGAATTCTCTGCTCCTCAGACATATGCTGAGTTCCATCACTGGAAGAATTAGAAGCTCCAGCTTTCCTGAGGGTGTCCTATTTATAGCAGAAGCAAAAGGCTTTGTCTTTTGTCTCTTTGTAATTTGAAAAAAAAAAAATAGTACTTTAGGTATATTATATTGTAATCTCCAAAAGGATTCCAGATTTACTTGCAGAATGACCAACACACCCATACGTAGCTATTGCAAAGTGTCCTTTAAAATACTGATAAGTACAGCACGATGAAAACACAATCCTACCAAGAAATTCAAACTGATAGTCAACCTACAAAAAGTGTGTGAGGGGCTGTGGAGGTAATAGGCTATTAATAATGCTAATGGAGTTATATTACGTGAAATTGTTTTCACCTCAAGCCCAATTTACACCTTGATACATAAAATACATCCCACATAGGAAAGAAAGCCCCTCCTGCACTATAGGTACCTCAGTTTAGAAACTGCATTGAGATAGTGGGACAGCTATCCTGCACTGCACTGGATGTTTCTTTTAGAGGTGAAGTCCAATCATCCCATTCACCCTCAACCCTTAAACTTTATAAACTACTCAAATACAGCAACTTCCAGAGAAGAAAAATGAAGAAAGAAGGAGACTGGAAGAATGAGTAAGTTTCATATGTCACATTTTTCTATGGGATGGTTTCACCATAAATAAACTATTCTATGCAGAAGCAACTACAGCAAAAGTTCTCCTCCTTGTCATTTATGGTAGAATCTTTACCTTTTATTTTTACACTAGTATAGTGTATTATAGAGCCAAGTTTTAAACTTAGAAGGAACAGTTTAGTGCAGTAGTCTTGTATTGAAAAACTTTCTGAGAAATTAAAAAATTAGGCTAAGAACCATGCCCATCAACCTGACCCCCAACTTAAATTTGAAACAAGAATTCTGTCATCATCTAGTGGACAATAAACTTTAAATTTTAGAAAATATAGATTGGGAGGATATTTATGTATACATAATTTTTTGTAATAAAAAATTTTTAATTAAAAAATTTTAATTTAAATTTAAAAAATTAAATGGAATTTAAATTTAAAAAATTTATGTTCTCATATTCCTTCAGTGCTGGTTTAAACATTGTTAGACTGCTTTCATATGTCTTAAACTTCAGGCCAACTCTTTGTGCACTTTCTCTTTACTTAACCATGGCTTAATTGGGTATAGGTAGAGAGCTTACTTATAGTTCACTGCCACAAAATAAATTTTGCCACTTCGTAATTTCATGTCAAATGTGATGAAAATGAAGCAGTAGGAACCGAAATATATTTATTAAGTTTTTTTCAATTGACAAAAACTAGTTGTGTATATTTATGGGGTATAAAATTTTGACCTATGTATTCACTGTCCAAAGAGTTAACAAAGCTAATTAACATATTCCTCACCTCATCAACCTATTATTTTTTTGTGTGGTGAAGGCATTAAAAACTATTCTTTTGTAATTTTGAAATATACAATACTTTATTGTTAAATTTGGTTGTGATGCAGTGCAAAGGATCACCCTTTGTCCTCCAGCTTAAGTGAAACTTTATTAAAAGGAAATATTTAGAGAAATAAAATTTGACAGAGTTTAATTCAGCAAAGTATGATTTGTGAATCAAGCAGACCAGAACCAGTGGAGGCTCAAAGCCACTCTGTACTGCCGTGTGGTCCAAGAGGATTTATGGACAGAAAGAGGAAAGAGACGTACAGTAAATACAAGTGAGTTAGAGAAACAGCCGGAATGGTTACAGCATGGCATTTGCTTTATTTAAATATGGTTTGAACAGCTGGCTGCCTTTGATTGCCTGAAACTTGGTAATAGGTACAAGAGTAAGTTACAATCTGTTTATATATCCAATTAGGCTACAGTTCACTATGTACAGAGAAACTTTAGGTCAAATTTAAAATACCTACGGAAGCAACTTTAGGCTAAATGTAATTTAACACCTTTGATCAGCATTCCCCCTTTTCCCATCTCTCTGCCTCCCTTTCAGCCTCTGGTGGTCACCTTTCTACTCGTCGTTTCCATGAAATGGACTTTTCCATTTGGTTTTGTCCAGAAGTCTGTGGTGTCAATATTATAGTTCAATTTTGGTGCTAATATAGGATTAAAGCAAATAATCTTACAAACAGTTTGGCACGTAGAAAAACTTTGTAATATATTGGCTTTTGTTATTAATACTACTTGTCACAGTGTGGAAGTATTTGACACTTGGTGGGATCACACTTGATGGTAGGTATGAGCATATTTAAATTCTGATGAACTCAAGTAGTCTAAGTCAGCCTCTTCAAATCTCTTCCAACGCTAATTCTCATTCACTATCTATTATGTTGTCTGGTTTATTTTCTTCATAGAACATATTACCATCTGGTAATATGTTTTACCATCTGGCAATATATAGTTTCTGGTTGAACAATAAAAAAATTAAGTATAGGTAATAATAAATGCATCCTTACAATGTATCAGTCCTTACACATTACTCATTTAAGTCTCATTCTCTTCCTACAAAAAAAGGCAGGAAAATTTGTATATTTTAGAGGTTATTGTGGTATATTCATATGTTAAGTAATCACTTTAAGATCACTTGATTATCAGATGAAAAGGTAAGAATTTAAATCCAAGTTTTTCTTATATGGTAGCTCTCACTATGTTATTCTGCTTTAAATAATATATTTAACATTTTATATTATTCTACTAGTTATATTTTAATTTATTACTTTAGTCCTACTATTGCAATTTTCTGACATTTTCCCACACAAAAAAGAAAAAAGATAACAAGTTTATGATCTTATATAAAGCCAGTATTTATTTTCAATCTTTCATGAAAAAAATATGCTTTTCCTTTTTTGCAAGATGATTGAAATACCCAAGATAGATCTTTCTTATGAAAAAGGGTTGACATTAAACTATTAGAGCAATAAAGCAGAATAACCAGAGGGACTTTAACACTGTGAAACGCAGTTGCAAACTTGTTCTGCTATAACTGGAGTCTCAAAGGGCTCTGAGTGATAGTTACAACACAAAATAACAACTGAAACATGGGAAGAAACAAACTATAAACTATTAGAAATGCAGATTATTTTTATTGCAAAAGTAATATATATTTACTGAGGAAAATTTAAATAACCTTATCCAAAATAGAACAGGAAGAAAAATCTAAAACTCACATGTAATCTCACCAGTTAAGAGATGGTGATTGTAAATATTTGGCTATAAGATTTCAAACTCTTCCTATATTTACATTTATACAAATGGGTTTATATTATACATAATTTTTAGAGTTTTTTCACTTAACAATAGGCTGCAAAGATCTATTCATCACGATCACTTAGTTATCTGTATTATTATACTATTAACTGTGTTTTCATTGTTGAACTCAGGAGAGCTTTTTAGTTGTGTTACTAATTTAAATATGCATGTGAATCAACATTCTTGCAGGTGAAAACATGAGCAGACTCTTGTCACTCCTGTACGATAAGTTCCTAAATGTGAAGTTACTTTACCAAAAGGGACAAACACACACACATATATACATAAATAATACTCATTTGTATTCATTCATTCATTCAATTTGTGCATCCATAGGTTGCTAGTAAACATGGTGATTTTCACCCATATGAATGTGGGTGACAGTTTCAACATCTCTACCATTATTAACTACTCAGACGTCTAAATTATATGTATTAACTAATTATTTTAAAATGCGTCCAGCTTTTCTCATGTGATTAGTTTTTTCCTAGGGTATTTTTCTTTCCTCATAATTTTTACATGCTCTCAATTCATTGAGGATTTAATTTTTTTCTCTACAATATGGTTCAGATAAGCATTTCTGCATCAACCTTTATCATTTAAAGTTGAAGGGTAAATAATAATAGTTACTAAATAGGGTACAACAGGATGGTTTGCAATCAGAAAATCATTAATAAAATATAATATATTGAACATCAAAGGAATTATATGAATGATAATCTCAGGTGATATTAAGTTTCTTTTTAGAAATTATCTTCAACTCCATCTGTCTTCTCTTCCAATTTTGCTGTTAATAAAATAACTATTCCAATCCCTCAATCTGAGCTCTAGATGCCTTCTCTTTTTACTTTCTCATGAACTTTGCTCATTCATTTTATTTCTACTCTCCTATCCTGTAATTACAATTTATCCATATCTATTGACATTAGTATTATATTCACATCAAGTTCTAGGAAAGGCAAAGCTAATCTACAGTGAAGAAAAATACGCACACTGGTTGCAGGATTTTGGGAGAGGTTTGGTCTATAAATCGACTCAAAAATGACATGAGGGAACTAGTAGTACAGCTAAAATCCCATGGGTGATCTTTCAGGCCTGACCATAGGCAATCACAAAGGATTGGCCTGGCAGGCCTCATGGAGCAAAGCTATATACCTCACATTGAATTTAGCATACAGCGAATGCATTGCAGCAAAAACTCAGACCCATATGGTCAGCTGTGCCCTGACAAATATCTGCATTCTTATCCCACGTGCCTTCATTTGGAGGTCCCCTTGTCTGAGGCCTTCCTCAGGCACCTCTGCAAACACTTCGTTATGGGGGTAGAAGAGGGGAGGGGGATCTTGAGGACCCTTCTCTCCACTCTGACTTAGTACTCCACATATTTTTATTCCTAGCTCTTCTGTCTAGCCCTCTCCGACCCCAGGTACAAAAAACTGCAGAAGACTTTTAGAAAATACACTGCAACTAATGCGATGGAAATAAACTGCCACAAAACACACACACACACACACACACACACACACACACACACACAGAAACTGAGGTGCTGCTAACACTAACGGGAAACACACAGGGAAGGCATGGTCCTCTCCCCTTCTCCTCCAGCTTCCCAGTTTCCCTTCTGGTATCTCTTGGAAGAATGTGAGCAGCTGGTGATGTTGAAGTGTGATTTGCAAAGTTCCAAGCCCATTGTTGCCAAACAGAGTGGAAAGTAGAGGGATTGGAGCTGAAAGACAATTATTTAATAAAGGGCATACCATTCAACTATTACCATAACACCTATCACCTCAAGTCTCAATGTCCTCATCTTAAATGCATATGTATATATATATATGTATGTGTGTGTGTGTGTATAATGATTAATATATACACATATTTATATGTGTCCAAATACACACAGATGTAAATACACATGTATGCCCTATATCAGGCCAATAAGATTATTTGATACTAAATGTGGAGAAAAAAATACTCAGGTCACTCTAACCAAGAGAAGAATGTGATTTCTAATATTTATAATAGAATATTGCTATTGGAATCACTGCAGTTTTTGCTTTTACATAATTAAATTTTGTTTTAGGTTTTAATTTTTTTAACAAAGGAATTATTTCAAATTTGTATTGCGTTTGTACTATAAAAGAATGGTAACCATAAGATATAAATTGACAATGAAACATGAATTATGGTCTGATCACACATAATATTCAAATTTGCAACTATCTAGGAAAATCTTGAAGTTTATTATTGTAAAGATATGTTTTGAGCTATGCATTTCTCTTTATTTTATGGAAAATAAGGACCATTCAAATAGTATGTAGGAAGCATTGGTAATCAATCCAGTGGGTGCTGCCCAGAATGATTCTGAAAATTTGCTGATTTCTGTGTGTGTGTGTGTGTGTGTGTGTGTATAAATCTAATGCCTATAACAGTATCTGGAATAGTAGGTTCACAATGAATATTTCTTAAATGCATACGTGAGAAATATTGTATACATACATTTGTATATTAAAAGTGCAATGCAACAATTTACAGACTAAAAGAAAAAAATAAAAGTGCATTGCAGAACCTTTTCTTTAGGGTCTAAAAGGAATTTGGACCCTTTGGTGGACTTAATCTCGAGCCTTACGTCTTTCAGCAGATAGCCTATTAGGGCCATTTATCATGCTTGATATGTGCACTTTATTTTGCTTACTTTGTTGTAATAGATTACATTTATTGTCATTTGTGGGGTATTTGTACTCCTTTAATAAAATACATGAGTTTTTCAGGGTAATTGTTTCATCTGGTAGTCTTCTTTTTGTCTCCTTTATAGCTTTCCTTTTTCTTGACTTGCTCCTTTTTAGTCGCTTCAAGAAATTTTTCTCATGCCTAAATTCAAGGCAAGTGTGATAGAAATTATGTAGCTCCTTATACTGTCAAAGGAGTTTAATATAGCTTAACTGTGTATAGAAGTTAGGACTAGCCATTATTCCATGTAATAGTTCAGAAACTGAAGGGAAGAAAATTATGTGATTTTAACTTTTTTAACAAATGTGAAAGAGTTCAGTTTTAAAATTTCACGGTAGTGAATTTTGTATTTGTTACATGCATAGAGGGAAGACGTCTATATTTATAACTAAATCATTTAGATAGAAAAAGAATCCCACTGACTATATATTCTTACAATTTTGTCTTCCTTTCTGCCTATTTCCTCTTCAAGTTTGGCTCCAGGAACCAAAGTGACTTGTTCTTGTTGCAGCTTGGGTTTGATGACTTTGGTTAGTACCACTACCTTCCCCTTCCCTCCTTATCTCCCTTCATTTTGGAAATAAATTTCTGCATATGTTGAGGGGAAAAAGTGCATTGCAGCAAATAGAAACAATAAATATCCTTCCGATTTCTAAGGCTAAAAGACTTCTACATCTGCTAACATTAAGTGGGCAGTGACTAAATGCCAGTCATTGGGCAAAATACCTATGTACATTTTTCATTAAACTTGTGAAGATCACATGAGCAGGTGGCACAGAGACAGCATTCAAATGTAGATATATTTGCCTCCAAAGATATAGTTCTTTATCATTTATTCTACAATACTTCAGCAGTTTGTCACCTTAGCACATGCTAAATTTGGAACTATGGTATTTAGTCACTAATTTATATGAAGGAATTTTGTTTTTAATTTTGGCACCTTATAATAACGTATGCTGAGCATAAAAGTAGTAAGTGGTTGAGATCCCAAATAGATACATATTAGAGGTCAACAGTGCAGAACATTTCTTCCATAACCCTTCAAAACTATGGCCTTTTGAAAAGTGATATTTTAAAAGACCTAATTCTGGCATGATAGAACATTCATTATGGAAAAGGCATACTCTTGTTTGTTGGTTTCAAATCAAATTACCTATCTAAAACCAAATACAGATATCAATCAGGATACTAAAGTAGGGAAAATGAAAATTATCTAAAAGACAGGCTTCTTCACTCTGGAAAGCAATTTGGAGATTTCTGAAAGAACTTAAAACAGAGCTACCATTAGACCCAGCAATCCCATTACTGGATATATATCCAAAAGAAAACAAATCATTCTATCAAAAAGATGTATGCACTCACATGTTCGTCGCAGCACTACTCAAAATAGCAAAAACAAGGAACCATCCTGATGTCCATCAGTGGTGGACTGGATAAAGAAAATGTGGTACATATATGCCATGGAATATTATACAGCCATAAAAAATGAAATGGTGTCCTTTGCAGCAGCATGGATGCAGCTAGAGGCCATGATCCTAAGCAAATTAATGTAGGAACAGAAAACCAAATATCACATCTTCTCACTTGTAAGTGAAAGCTAAACATTGGGTACTTATGGACATAAATATGGTGACAATCGAAACTGGGGACTACTGGGGCGGGGGAAGTGAGGGGAGAAACAGTTGAAAAACTATTGGGTATATGCTCAGAACCTTGGTTATGGGATTTTTCATATTCCAAACCTCAGCATCACACAATATACCCAGGTAACAAAAATACACATGTATCTCCTGAATCTAAAATAAAAGTTGAAAAAAAGATAGGCTTCTAAATAGCATTTTGCATATATTACAGTGTGATAAATGATATAACACAAGATTCTTTTGCTACACAGGACAGGAAATCTTCATTTTATGCTTCCTTCTTAACACAATGTAGTGAATTCACTAGGCCAAACACCAAACTCTTGCATAGAGCAGGCCAGAACAATGGATTTGTGGTTGTTGTGAAGAACCCTGACTAAAATTCTATTTTTATTCCACTTTAAAACATACAGGTATCAGAGGCACTACCTCAGGAAATACCGGGAAAAATATTATTTTTCATGGCTTGCTTGCTACTTTCTCTCTCTCTCTCCCCCTCTCTCTCTCTCTCTCTCCCTATCTTTCTCTCTCATTGCCTGCTGTCTCTATCTCAACATATTTGTACATGTGCTCACACAAACACATACATACACACCTCAACTTTCTCGTGTATTGCAATTATGTATAGCATATAGTCTTACTCAGCTCAGGCTGCCATAACAAATCACCATAGATCAGGTGTCTTAAGCAAGAGGAATTTATTTTCTCACAGCTCTGGAGGCTAGAAGTTCAAGATCAAGGTGCTGGCATGGTTGGTTTCTGGTGAGGTCTTGCTTCCTTCCTTGTACACAGATGCCTTCTCACTGTGTCCTCACATGCAGAAAGAGAGAAAGAGGAGAAAGAGGGTGAAAGAGAGAGAAAGAGAGTGAGAGAGAGCAAGCATTCTGGTATCTTTTTTTTGTAAGGGTACTAATACCATCATTAAAACCATACCTTCATGAGCTCATCTAAACCTAATTAACTCCCAATCGCCCCTCCAAATATGATCACATTGGCAAACAGGGCTCCAGCGTGAATTTTAAGGGAGCACAATTCAGTCCATACCACATTTGATGCTCTATTTAAAATTGTTTATAAAAACAACTAATGTAACCTTCATTATCCCTTTTATTTATCATTTTCCAATTCAAGTTAATCTTCCACAATTTTTTAACCTCCATTTAATAGAATTCAATTCATCTATGTCCTGTCCAGAATATCTAGCAGATGCTTCACCTGGACTTCACTTAGAGTATACATTTTCAACATTACATATACTTTTAAAACATATATCTTATCTTTTTCTGTTTAGATATTCAATGGACAACAAGAGATGTTACCTAATTCTCTCATAAATCACCAACTCTGGCTTTTTCTAATTTTATATATTCAGGGAAAATGTTGAAGAATCAGAATTAATTCCCAGAGGCATTTTCAAGTGTATAAAATAGGTGAAATATCACAAAAAAAAACAGAAGTTACTTTGTGAAGACTTTATGATTACTGCCTATGCTCCTCCTTCTTTATTTATCACTCTCCTCGAAGAATAGCTGAAATTAAAACAGTTAGTTTTATCACTACTTTTTGTATTATCTCATTTACTTTATTTTAATACATAATGGCCATTATTTTAGTCTCTGTTTTGAACTTTAAATTTTATGCAGAAAGTTAGATATTCTTTTTTATCGTTGAGTTTCATAGAGTAATGAGTTATATGTTATGGGAGTCTCACATGCTTTAAATCTGTTAAATATGTAAATACATATGTATGTGCATTAACACACGTATGTAACACACTAACACACACACATACACACACACAAAAACAATTCCAAGTCATTCATTTAATCTATCTATTTAATCTGTCTATTCATTTAACTATCTAGCTCCAAATAATTGGAGGCAAAACCCAGCATAATGTTACTATGCTCTAGTGTTCATCTATAACATAAGAAAGTCCTGTTTGATGTTACTGAACTGCAGAATTGCTCCCCTGAAAGTCTGATCATTTTATGGAATGCACGAAGAGGCACAACCTTATTCCACATGAGAAGGTTTATCTGAGACGTGGACATTATCAGTGCCAGTTCTCAACCCTTAGATTTGTTGTTTCAGCAAGAGCTGTTCTCCATGCCACCAGGAAATGAACTTAACTTCATCTTGGTGTAGGTGTGTGAATGTGTGCTTTCCATTGAAACAATCAATTTCACAGCAAATCAACCTCTTAATGCCATACTATTTCACAAGTGTCTCTAAAGCACAGAACATTATGGCAAAACATGGCTTTGTTAGGCACAGTTCAGAGCATACCAATGTGTTCATATTTATCTTATGACCATGACCTCAAAGTCATTCTAATCTCATGATCATAACAAAATAGGATAGAAGTACATCATATCTCTGAGAAATTTTCTGTTTACCTCAGCTTCCAGATTTTTTATTGTTTATATTAGGAGTTCTACTTTACCTTATGAATTTGCAGTCATCTTGAATAAGAAATGTTCCATCATAACCCACTTCATTTATCCCACCAGCACATGTTTGAGTTTTTGGGCAATACTCATTCTCATGCTATAGAAGCTGATTTATTACTTTTATTATAATTTCCTTCTTTAGAAGCTATTATCATGAAATCCTTCAAAATTCCTTAATCAAGGGCTATTTTTTCTAAGCTATAAATATGAGCAGAAATAAAAACTGGTTAAGCTTATTATATGATGATTCTTAAATACATGTAAATAACCTTAAGACGTGTGTAATATTTGACTAGTAGTTCATGTCTGAAAACATGTGGATGTCTTAAAAACATATTTAAGCGTGTGAACAAATTTGTCATTAAAATGATGTATGCTATATCATTGTTTATCATATCAAAAATTTAAAGACTACTTGGTGGATAAGCATAGAAATTGGATAAACTGGTAGAGCAACTTTGAAAGACAGTCTGTCAGTTTCTTACAAAGCTAAGCATAATCTTTATATATTATCTAGCAATCATGCCCGTACATATCTATCCATATGAGTTAAAAAGTCATATCTACACAAAAATCTCCATGCAAATATTTATAGCAGCTTTATTCATAATCTTCAAAAACATGAAGCAACTGAATGTTCTTCAAAGGGTGAATGAATAAGCAAACTGTGGCACATCCGTACAATGGAATAGTATTCATTCATAAAAAGAAATGAGCTATTGAATCACAAATAGATGTGGAGGACTATTAAATGCATATTGCTTAGGGAAAGAACTCAGTCTAAAAAAAGTGCATGCTACATGATCTAACCATATGACATCTGTCAAAGTCACGCACATCTCAAAGATGTAGAAACAGTGAACAAGTTCAGTGGTTACCAGGGCTTTGGGAGAAGGAGGAGGGATGAATTGATGGAGCACTGGATAGTCTTTAGGAAGTGAAACTACTCTCTATGATACTGTAATTGTGGAAACATGATATTATGCATTTGTCAAAACTCATAGAATTATATAACACACAGAGTGAACCCTAACGCAAACTGTAAAATTTAGTTCATAATAATGTATCAACATAAGTTTATCAACTACAATATATGTACCACACTAATGCAAGATGTTAATAATAGGGGAGACTGTGAACAGGAAAGAAAGGGAATATTTTGGGAACTCTCTGTACTATTTACTCAATTTTCTGTAAATCTAAATCCATCTTAAAAATAAAGTTGTTTAATTCAAAAGAAATGAAAGTGATTCTCCACTCCTAATATCAAGTACATTTTGAGCCATGTAAATACTTATTTATAATTATTTAGGATGCTAAATATTATCAGAAAGATAGAAAATTTGAGAAAGAGAAACAAAACAAAGCTAATTGATAAACTTATTATGAAACTTAATAATTATTTAAAACTTTTAATCAAATATTTGCTTATTTTTAAAAGTATTTGGGACAAAATAAAAGAATACCCTAAAATTTAAAACAATATGTAGTGAGTCTGTACCAGAGAAAAATGCAAATATGTAAAGAAATAAAAATTATAAAGTAAAAGTAAAAAGGCAAGGAAGGATAGATTCAATATATCTAGCTACTGTGTATTGTGAGCTTTATAAAATGAAAATCTAAATCATGGAAAACGTAGCAAGAAATGAATTGCATTAGTTTGTTGAAAACAGCAGCAAAAGACTTAGCTTAGGTTTTTGACTAAATGATTGCAAATGCTAAGAAAGATAATATGTATTTCAAGAGAACAAGGTGGAGCTACTTAGCGGTTAGAGAAAATTATCCAACCAACATTATGTCAAGGAGATAAGAGAAGATATGGGTATAGAAAGTAGATAATAATGGTTGGATAACATCTGGGCCATAATCAACATGAGTTAGCAAAAGAGAACTCTTTCTACAACTTTAAAAAAGTTTTAAAATACTGCAATAGCTAGATAAAAATAAAGTTCAAAATATATTTTTATAAAATGGGAACAATAAATACATATTATTGGCTAAAGACAAGGCACTAACTGTCCAACAGAGTGAATATACAAAAGAGAAAGGATATGTTCAATGATGAAAGTTCATAAGTTATGTGGTCAAGGAGAACAACAATGGCCCAGATAGGAAAAGAAGGACTAATCGTTTCAACAAATGAGACTAGATAAACAAGACCTATATGCAGATGTTTCTAAGTTTGTGAAAGACACAACAATTTTATGGGAAATTATGGAAGAAAGCAACACATTTTTTTTTTTTGAAAGTGCAGCTAGGATTTCTATTATTGGTCTTTGCATTTGGTATAATGTTTTTTAAAATGGGTGAAGTAGGGTATAGAGGTAAAATAAATGATTGATAAATAGTACTGAGGACATTTTAATTTAAAATTCAGAATTGTTATTGGTGACCAACTAGTTGAATGATTTTCTCCAATTGCACACAGCAATGCAGATGTAGGATTATTATAGTTTTTTAATTTTTTTCCATCTTTCTGTTTATCTTTCTCTTTTCCGGGGAGGATCTTTGTGACTGAAGTAAGGCATGAAAGGGGATTAAGATGCTGGCAAGAAAATATTTAAATGTAAATAATAGGATGCAGAAGGTAAGTTAGCTTAGCTGATGCATAGTCTGAGAAACACTGCCTGTCATGAAAGCATAATTCTATGAGGTCTAGAATTTATGAGGGAGAGTGAGAAAGAGATAAAAAGTTATGAGGCTGTGTCCAAAGACTATAGTATTGAATTTTATTATTTATATGGTGAAGTAACTTTGTGGATTAGAATATCTAGGTCAGTGTTTCCCGAAGTGTAAGCAGGAGCACTACCTGAATCAGAATTGCTTGGGGTTTTTATGATTATGCACATTCTAGAGCCCTGTTCCAGACCCAATTCTCTGAGGGTGATGTGTGGGGATCATTATTGTTAACATAGAACCAGATGATTGTAACAACAGTTGAAAAATCTCTAATAATAATTGCGATCACTAAGGACATGGCAGAAGCTGAAGTGAAGTTAACTGGAGTTTGGGAATTAAAAGATAGTGAGAGTAGAATTTTAAAACAGTGAAACCTTAGACATTGATGAAAAAATGTTGGAATGAAGAGAGTAAATAAAATGAAGTATTATTTCCTTAATTCATCAAATAAGCATATGTTGCCACAAGTATGAGCTTCCTTGCTGATATTTGCTAGTCTGAATCAGGTGACAAGCTGGAGTAAACAATGCACGTATACATAGTGAAAGTTAAGAACCAAAGAATCAGAGATCAATGGTAAAACCTCAAATGCAATGCTGAGTTCTATAGCGCAGCCACTGGTTCTTGCCATATGTCTCAATCAAATAGCTTCGACAAATTTATTATTAATGTCACCAATCTTTGATATATAGGAATGTTGAATATTGCAGAACATTTAAAATACTTTAATTCAGCTTTCTCATGCTATCATCACCACCCATCTTTACCGTCAGGGAGTCAATTGGTAAAACAAAAATTCTGGCATGGTATTTAGCTTTTATTTAGAGGAAGTGAGACAAATATTTAGGAAGAATCACATTGAGACATTTTCACCTCTGGAACATGGCAAGAAACAGGAAAAGCCTGGGAAGAGTTGACATCATGAGCCCATGAAGGACCAGCATCAAGGCATTCTGAATACCACAAGACAAAAGCTAGAGTTATTTCCCTACTTCATTTACTTCTGTGAAGAAGTTCATTATATGATTCCTTTCTTATACATAATTAGATCAGGAACATGTAAAACTGAACCTCAAGAGTTTCATAGCCATGACTTCATCTGGAAGAGTTACAGAAATTCAGGAATTCAGAGGCAGATCCATTTAACTTTTAAATGAAGCGCCCATAGGTATTAGCATGATCTTACATTTTCAGTTGTCTCTTGTGTGGAAGGAAGTGCATCCAATGTGGAAACAGTTTTGCATAAAGGAAACACGAGATGGTTTGACTAATTATGTACAACAGAGGAGAACATGTACTTATAAAGCATTTAACCAAACAGAAAATAATATAAAACACAAACCTAGGGACCACCAAGTCATTGAAAAGTGTGCAATGAAAGGTGTGTTTTAAATAGCAGTGCCAGCTTTGGAGAGCTTTTCTTTCATTCTTCATGTTTTAATTCCTCAGTATTAGAGTTCTCCAGATAGAAAACAAAGAATAGGCTGAAACAATTAGTTAATTGATCTCATTCAAATAGAGTTAAAATTGCAAAGAGGGATTTGAATGAACTGTATTGCAGAATTTCAGACTACACTAGACCCCAATCAAAAGCCTCCTCATATTTTTGCCTCTGTGTGTGTGTGTGTGTGTGTGTGTGTGTGTGTGTGTGTCAGTGAGGAAGAGAGGGAGGGAGAGACAAAGAGGGAAAGAATGTAAGTGTGTAGGTGTGTGTGTGTGTGTGTGTGTGTGTGTCAGTGAGGAAGAGAGGGAGGGAGAGACAAAGAGGGAAAGAATGTAAGTGTGTATGTGTAGAGTATTACATGTGCATAGTCTACAACTCCATGTATTATTGTGTGTTTTGGTAGTAGGCTTACTAAAACATAGAAGGTAAGGCACTGAGAATTAAGTTTGTTCAAGCTGCTTCAGATCTCTGGATATTTTCAGTATATGAAAGATCCCTGACATGTCCCTTTTTTAAGGGAGGAGTGAGATGTGAGATTATAACTGTAAAGTGTTACAGTGGCCTTTTCTATGCACAGAAATGTGGGCTGAAACACAAGCAATGTTTTTAATGACTTTGATAGTTGAATTCACACCTAAATAAAAATGTACTAAGATACTCTTTGATCCAGAAGTAACAGACAGTCAAGTATATGTAGTTAAATTGATTAAAGAGCAAAAGAAAATGCAGAAAAATTGTTACTACCAACTCTGACTACTGTGTCATCGTTAACCTAAGTGCACTCGCTACTAATTTCCTTAATCCAGTCCAACCAATTAAGCAAACAGATCTTGAGTCACAATCATATTTCCTAAAATAGTCAACACAATATTTTGAATGTTGTTAGACATAATCATTGGTTATTTATACTATTAAAATAGTTTGATAGCCATTGAATGTAATACAAGAAAAATCTTCACTAAATCAGTGTTTTTAGTTACCTGGAAAACACTGTATTTTGCTATACTGGTTGTGGGTAGAATTCTGCCACAATCAGCCCACCTGAAAGCTGCTACCACTCAGATGCCCAGCTCGTCCTGGAGAAATCTCTTTGATCCAGCAATTAAATAAGAATTACTGGCCTAACTGGTTTATCTAGGATCCTTCTCTAGCTGTAAGGGCAGCATCTATGCTGAAGAATTCATGCCACACCAATTGTTAAAGATTTTGAACATTGCCTCTGCCATAAACTCATCTGAACTCAGGGACATTCAGTCAAGGTATCTGAAGATGATATAGCCACAGAGGGCAACAAGAGATGAAAACAAAGGAACACATTTTTAAAAATCTATATTGATGCCCAAACCTGCAGTTGGGAGAAGCTGAACTGGACTACAGGCAGCAATGTGATTTTGATAAGCTAATTTGGACTAAACAACTTCACACCAAACCACACACTTAACAATTGCAGGAAAGTATCTTCAATGAGAGCAAGACAACAAAAAAGCCCAGAACTCATCACTTGTCTCACGTGCCTGGGGATGATCTGGCTCAGGTTGCTAGACTACTGCTGGTTAGTCTCCTGCTGGCTGTCAGATGGGAGGAGGGAAAACATAGCAGACAGCTGGGCCTGCACACAGGAAGTGTACCTTGGGGCCCATTATGCTTATACGGCATATGTGCAAGGCAGAAAGGAGAGCTTCCAAAGCATTCCTGGATCTCATCTCATGGACGAGGCTATGGTTTACGGCACCACAGTAGTATGAAAAGGAGAGACAAAGCCACTTCCACACACATCACACTCAGAACACTTTGATCCTGCCAACATGTAAATCACCATCCTGCCATCTATCACTCAGCTTAGTATTAATATCCGAAGTGTTTTGTTTTTTAACAATTTACAGATTTGACCTTATCTACGCCTACAAATGCTATGGATAATAAGCCTAGTGCTCTCATATGTTTCTTATATTTTGTACGTTATACTTTGAAACTCATTTTTGCATAAATGTTGAAGGTGATTGGGTAGAAATTATAAAAAAGGAGAAAGGCTGCTTGCTAAGACAGGGCTTCACAAGTAGAAACAGAATATTAGAATCTAATCTGTAATTTTAAACATACAATCTTTTTTCATGTTTATTTTCCCTAAGTTTTCCAAAAAGAATTATATATGCCAGGCACCGTGGCTCACACTTATTTTATAATCCCAACACTTTGGGAGGCTGAAGTAGGAGGGAGATTGAGCCCAGGAGTTTGAGACCAGCCTAGCCAAAATAGTGGGACTCCATCTCTACAAAAAACAAACAAAATTAGCCATGTGCATTGGACGTCTCAGCAATTTGGGAGTCTGAGGCGGGAGGATCACTAGAGCCCAGGAGTTGGAGGCTGCAGTGAGCTATGATTGTGCCACTGCAATATAGGCTGGATGACAGAATGAGATCCTGTGATGGTTAATGTTGAGTGTCAACTTTATTGTATTGAAGGATGCAAAGTATTGTTCCTGGGTGTGTCTGTGAGGTGTTGCCAAAGGAGATTAACATGTGAGTCAGTGGACTGGAAGAGGCAGACCCATCCTCAATCCGGAAAGGTACAATCTAAACAGCTGCCAGCAAGGCTAGAATAAAAGCAGGCAAAAGAATGTGGAAGAACTAGACTGCCTGAGTTTTCTGGCTTCCATCTTTCTCCCGTGCCGGATGCTTCCTGCTCTTGAACATCGGACTCCAAGTTCTTCAGCTTTTGGACTCTTGGGGACCTACACCAGTGGTTTACCAGGAGCTCTCCAGCCCTTGGCCACAGAATGAAGGCTGCACTATTGGCTTCCCTACTTTCAAGGTTTTGGGAAATGGCTTCCTTGCTCCTTAGCTTGCAGATGGCCTCTTGTGGGACTTCACCATGTGATCATGTGAGTCAATACTCTTTAAAACTCTTTAATAAACTCCCTTTCATCCATACATCTATCCTATTACTCCTGTCCCTCTAGAGAACCTTGGCTAATACAGACCCTAACTTAAAAAAACAAAAACAAAAACAAAACTGATGTATAAACTAGGATTTCTTTTCCTCTACACAGAATCAGAGTGAAGAAAGTTACCTGAAGACCCTTCACAGGAACAAGCTCTGGGACCTATAATTACCATTACTGCTATAAAGACATATTTGCCATGGCAAAACACTCACCTTTGTGTGAGCACAAGGTCCTCTGGAGAGAGCTCAAGACACATCAATAAATAGTTGCTCTAAACAAAAACTCAATTCATTCAACTAATTCTACTATTCATAAAGTTGCATACATTAAACTTCCCTTAATTTTTGCCTAGGTCAAAGATTACTTAGCAGTTGTCTTGATTAGATTTCAGTGTATTGTCAACCACATATTTGCAGAAAATATCTTTGGGTGAATTACTTCTACAAATAATAAATAATATACATTAGGCATTGATTTTTAAGGCTTGTCTGTCAGTTGATCATTTTATAATCAAGCTCTGAAGGAAAGTTACTTTAGCCCTATGTATTTCTTTTTTTCTTTTCTTTTCTTTTTTTTTTTTTTTGAGATGGAGTCTTGCCCTATTGCCCAAGCTGGAGTGCAATGGCATGATCTTGGCTCACTGCAACCTCCACTTCCCGGGGTCAAGCGATTCTCCCACCTCAGCCTCCCAAGTAGCTGAGATTACAGGCACGCGCCTCCACGCCCAGCTAATTTTTGTATTTTTAGTAGAGACGGGGTTTCACCATGTTGGCCAGGCTGGTCTCGAACTCTTGACCTCGTGATCCACCCACCTCGCCCTCCCAAAGTGCTGGGGTTACAAGCGTGAGCTACCACTCCTGGCCAGCCCTGTGTATTTCTAAAGCATTCTTGCATTTAATCCTCACATGTCTTGAGAATAATCTGGGTTTATACTTGACATTGTTGTTTTTGGTGTGTTTGTTCTATGCTGCCCATATTGGCCTACTCACTTGTGTCATATATTTATACCATCCATTATTCTTTCTAGTTGCTCCCACCTATAGAGTTCTTGGCAACATTTTAGTATTAGTTAAAGATTGTATCACCTGACTCTTTGTCATTCTCTTCACTCAAGTTCAGTAATAGATTCTGCAAAGTTAATTAGGCATCCAGACAGACATCCAACATGTAAACTTCTTAATTCCATAATGTTCTCAACATCTGGGACCTTCACTTTGACTCTGTTTCAGCCACTGATTTGCATACTTATCTAAACTCACTGCAATTCTGAACTTTTGAAATCAACTCTCCCACTTTTTCCATCCTAACCTATCCTTGTAGCTTTCACATGTGACTGCCCCCTACACCTGTCTTGCATTCTCACCAAGAACTCTAGGCCTGTTACTTCTGTAATATCCCTTTATTTATTTCATTTTATTTTATTTTTTTGAGACAGAGTCCATCTCTGTCGCCCAGGCTGGAGTGCAGTGGCGCGATCTCGGCTCACTGAAAGCTCCGCCTCCCGGGTTCAGACCATTCTCCTGCCTCAGCCTCCCGAGTAGCTGGGACTACAGGCGCCCGCCACCACGCCCAGCTAATTTTTTTTGTGTTTTTAGTAGAGACGGGGTTTCACCGTGTTCGCCAGGTTGGTCTCGATCTCCTGACTTTGTGATCCGCCCGCCTCAGCCTCCCAAAGTGCTGGGATTACAGTTGTGAGCCACCGTGCGCCCGGCCTGTAATATCTCTTTGTTGATTAGCCTCCTAGCCATATCCCCGCTACTGAATTATCTATCTTCCCCTTTTATCTAAATTCTCTGCTGCATCATTTTAATCATTCTCTTGCCAACATCTCAAATTCTTTTCCTTATTTGCATGCCTATTACATGCTGCCAGTTAAACTGTGATTTTGTAAAAGTCTAAATGTTGGCTTCTCAGCTTTTCCATCTAGCTTTCAAAAGCCACTGGAAAAAAGAACAACTTTAAGTTTTATTGTATTCTTAATTGACAAATAATGATTGCACATATTTATTAAGTAAGACTGGTGGTATTATGCTGCCCATGTATCATTCTGCATTTTCCTCACCATTGTTAAGTATTTATAATAGTCTCTAATTCCCTCAGAATATCTATCTCATCATACCTGCCCCTTATTCAGAGAAACATACAGAGAAATAGAAGCCTCTTCTCATGAAGAGTTGCAAAAAGACACAGTCGTTACTTTGGGCTTGGATTACTGGAACTGGCCATTATGACACTGCCAATTCCTCATGCACCAAGCAGAGTAAGGGAGATAAAATCAGCAACAAAGAAATAAAGGAAATAGCTTTTCTTTTCACATATAATCTAATGCGTAGGTAAATTTATGACTAGACTAGAATTACAGTCCCATTATTCCACTAATTGTTAAGTTTTGAGGGAGAAATTCAATTACTTTAGTTTCCAATTTCCTCACTGATTGAGAACAAGAACCTGTGATTATTAAGTTTCTTTCCTATAACAACTGTGTGTAAGTTATTTTATCTTGAAACCTTTTTCTCCTATTATACCACTTGTATAGAAGGCCTAAAATGATCCCATTTTATGTAGTGTGTCTTTGGTGGGCTTCTTTAGGTAGTAATATAAGTAGTTTTCTCAACATGTAGACAATTAGAAGGATGTGCTTGCAGTTGGTTCTGCTAGGTGAGAAGAAAATAAATGCCTTCAACTTCAGCATAAACACATTAGCTACATGTGAAGATTTAAGCTATTAATTTGCATAATGATCATTTTATGCCACATTATTTGCACCTGGTTTACAAATTTACTGAGCTTTTCACAACAATTATCAATGATTGTATCAAAATGTCAAATATCCCAAAGTGACATTTTGCTAGGCAGTTATCAAAAAGATTTGCTTTCCCTTTGATATTTGTTGACAGTTTAATTTGTGGCAATTTGTTTTGTAAGTAAAACTATTGAAAAAAAGTTTTTTTTTTCTCATTTTTTTATCAAGGAAAGAATGGAGAAGAAAAATCGATGAAACTTAGACCTCTCAAAATTTCAACATTTAATATTGTTTCGGAAACAAATATGTACATCTTTTTAAATATGCAGATTACAAAAATAATTGATGATAAATTTTAAAATGCAGACAAGCAGCCAAAACACATTTTATGACCTAAATCTCACTCCATAAATTGTAGCATTTATTTCCTTTACTTTCAGCACTTTATAATATGCCTCTCTTTTAAATACAGTGAGGTCGAATATATAGTTAGTTTTGTAATCCTTTATCAATATAAATTTTATAACAATAAATAAATCTGCTATAATTATTTATCAGTAAATCATAAACAAATTAATGCAGATAATATTTCTAGTAAATATTTTACTTTTTATATTGCATTTTATTACATTATAATTTATTTAATCAAAGCCCTACATTAGATAGTTATAGTGTCCCTAATTTTTCTATTGTAATGAAAACTGTGATGGAAATCCTGACAGTTCAACTTTACAATAGATCTGTGTATTTCCTTCACATAAGTGTTTTGAAGAAGAGTAGAATTTTTAGGTCATAGTTCAAGATAAACATCTAATACATTTTAGTTAGTATTGCTAAATGACTTTCAATAATTATTGCAATAGAATACTAGATTTAGGAGATGCTTATTATTTATCAGCTGTTGATCATTTCTATTATGTGTATTTTTATTATGTGGCATTCTTAATACATACAGATATGTACTGAGAAGTATTATTGAAACTTTAGTGAAAATAATGCCTTGTATCTACTATTTCTTCTCAGAACCTGCGACCTTAAAAGTGAAGTAACCAGAGCTCTTCCTGTCTCTGAAATATATAAGAAATACACCTTCAGGATATATTTTATTTCCACTAGTTCCATATCCCCAGCTTACATCCTCTCCTACTCAGTTTGTATGTGTGTGTCTGTTTTTGCTTTTTTTTTTCTTTTTTTCGAGACGGAGTCTTGCTCTGTCGCCCAGGCTGGAGTGCCATGGCGTGATCTTGGCTCACTACAACCTCCACCTCCCGGGTTCAAGCGATTCTCCTGCCTCAGCCTCCAGAGTAGCTGGGATTACGGAAGCACACCACCATGCCCAACTAACTTTTCTATTTTTTTAGTAGAGGCAGGGCTTCATCATGTTGTCCAGGCTGGTCTTGAACTCCTGGCCTTGTGATCTTTCCACCTCGGCCTCCCAAAGTGCTAGGATTACAGGTGTGAGCCACCGCGCCTGGCCTGCTTTTCCTTTCTTAAAAGAGAATAGTTATTGCTGTTTTTAACAAAATGATTAAGGATGCCATAGAGCTTTATGTATGCTCTTCTTTCATTTCCCCAGTGACTAAATATTAAGTTACCTGAGGTCTTTCAGAGTATATTAGAAAGGCATAATAGATTATTTGAGATATATTTAATATAGAGTTCCTCTAAAATTTAAGATGAATATTCGTGTAATTACTGTTGATATCAGTTTTTTACCAGCAGTTAAAAATAAATCCAATGAACAACAAATCTCTGGAACTGTTTAGATTAGTTTCTTTAAGCGCAGCTCACGTTTACTGGAATTTTGTTTTGCTCTTTGGCTAAAGTCATAACACTTAGAGTCACATAACCCTTCCAACCTTTTAAGAAATAAGCCCAACATCTGAATTCAGGAGATCAGGATAATATATATACTAAAAAATACATTCTTGGGGATAGAAAAAAAACCAAAAACTTTTAAATAATTGATAGTATTAATGATTACAAGTGATCTTACTAATAACCTTAATGATTGTTTTGTGTGAACATTAATATTTGGACAAAATTCACTTATTTTGTAGCTGATTCAGGGCCTGTGGATTGTGATATTGATCATTCCATTGATTTGCTGTCTGGCACCAAGAGAGGTACTTAATAGCTATCTGCTAATACTTCTTAAAATATGGAGTTGATTGTACTCATAATACTGTTTTGAAAAGTCAGTGGTAAAATGTCAAAACAATTACAAATCAACATATTTTAATAATGTCACTTTCATGTATTGCTAACATGACTGCCAATTTGTTGTCATATTTTAAAAACTGCTTATTTATCTTCAGTCTTCTACAATGCCCATCAATTCACAATTCTTATAGGGTAGAACTTCCCAAAACAGAATGAAAAATATATTTAAGCAAAAATTTAAAAAGTATTTAGGTTAATACTTTAAAACTCTTTATAAATATTTTAGGAGAGTAAATAATAGCCTTGCTGTGAGAAAAGAGTAGGCATTTTCCCTCTGTAAAACCACAGTTTTGAAACTGGGATCTCAGAGAAAATATGCATAAAAATAGAAAACTTTTAAGAATTTAAAGATAAACTATTACCTCAGAAAATTTGGCTTACAGATTGTGCACACATATACATGTGTGCGTGCAAACACACACACACACACACACACACACACACACACTCCCATAATTGAGATTTGGGCTGTAATTTCCAACTGCATTAAATATTTTACATAATGAACTGAGAAAGAAAAAATGAGCTTTTCTGAAGACACTTACAGTAAGCTAAAGCATGGAGCTTTTTTTTTCTCTGCCTTAATACATTACGTGTGAGAGAGGTAAGAAAGTAAGAAACCACAAAAATGCATTTAGCAGCTACTGTGAGTCAAACCTCATTCAATCAGTTTCTACAACCATGTAAAATAGAAAACACTCAGAAAAAACCTTAAGGTGTCTCCAAAGAAATTAGAAAAAAATGGTGTTTGGGCGCAGGGGCGGGCTAAGATGGTTTTCTGACAATTAGACTAATTAATTACACTAATAGTATGTGACAGTAATAAATGATATACACTGATAGCAAAAACTGTAAATTGTCTATAAAGGAAAACATCACAACCATGTTCAGTCAAGATGACATGGGCTAAACTCAGAACTGGAAAATTGTAATACAAAAGAAATTAAATTGAATTTATTGTACTTAATGGAAAATCTTTACTAGGGAAATGTTGATCGTTAACATGAATTAAGAAATGAAGAATAAACAGAGTTTGAGAGTGTTTACTCAGCACTGTCCATATGAATAATTTTGAGACTGGAAAATAATCAGTAATCATTATTGTTGTCACACTGGTGAGGTGTATTTTTTTTTCTGAGAAAAAAGAATTATCTATGAGTCTTCTCCATCGTTTGGATAAAATGGTGTTTGTTATTACTTTCTTTGTTAATGTGTTTTAAACTGCTATTTACCTAGCATACTGGTTCCCAAGTGTTGTTTCAGGATCAGAAGGGTCCATTTATGTTACTGCAATTTAAATTATATTTTTCTGCTTCAGTCTTTCTATCTTCAAAACAGAGGACCTGAACTTGGAACCTCTAGATAGTCTTTGAGTTTGAGGTTTCTTATCCGTAAAATGAAGAAAATTATATCAGTAATGATGCTGATATTGTATAAACCAATTATATTAATATATAAGATTTCTTATTAACATGATAGTATGTTAATGAGATACAGTTCATAATCTTTTTACAAAGGAGGTTTATATTTCTATATAAACACTGTATATATACTGTAATACTGTATTAAAATATACATTTATAAAGGTACATTATTATAAAAATAGAAGAGAAAAAAGCAAAAATCACAATGTCAGCTGTGCCAATTTATATGAAGGTTATATTCTAGAACTATAGATCAGAAGTCTGCACACTAAGAACCACAGACCAAATCCAGCTCACCTTCTGTCTTACTGTAGCCTGTTTTTCTCTGAGCTAAGAAAAGTATTTACATTTTAAGTGATTTAAAAAGGGCAAAAGAAGAATAATATTTTATGATGTATAAATGTTATTTGAAATCCGGATTTCAGCATCCATAAATATAGTTTATTGAAACACAGCCATGCTCATTATTTACATATTGTTTTTGGCTACTTTTATTCTAACTACAGAGTTGAGTAGTTGAGACAGAGACCATATGACTCAGGAAGCCAAAAAGGTTTACCGTCTGACCCTTTATGGAAAAGATTTGTTAATTCCTGCTCTAGGTCATTTCTGTGATTTTATTTTTGTGTTTCTCCTGACTTTTTTCAAATTTTGAAAATCTTAAAAATTAAAATAATTATTTACTAATAATTGTAAATCAGTTTAAAACATCATTATACTCCCTTGAATTTGTATCCAGTTGATTCCTTAAAATATTTATTACTACTCTTACAAAGTAAATACGAAAATATTTTGGTCACTTCATTTCAAAAATATTTCAAATAGTGTTACTTTGATATTTTATTTGTACATTTTAGCATAAAACATGTGTAAGTTTATACATTTCTTTCTTTTTTTTTTTTTTTTGCTTTCTATGATTGAAGTTAAAGCTTCTGTTAATGGTAATATTTGGCCAAGTTTCAAGGTGAAATAATTCAAGTGAGTATAAAGATTATTGTACCTGGCTTGTACCCAGAAAAACTCTCAGGCAGAAGTATCCCAGGAGAATAATCTGTCCAACCTTTCAACTATCAAATGGTTCACTGCAGTTCTAATTACTGCCTCCCTTCAAAAACAACTTCCCATTGAGAACACATTGAAATTAAATAACAAAGTGTATTTGTTCCTGTGAGATAAGATAATTGATTATGGCCTTTAAAGTCACCAATTATAGAAGATTTGTCTTGTGAACCATGAATATATGTGAGTGTACATATATATATGTATATGTGTGTGTATGTATGTATCTGTGTGTATGTATATATATACAATACAGAATATTAGTTTTATAATATGCCCTATGCTACACCACATGCAATACAAAGAAAATTCAAGTTACATGCCCATTTAATTCTTAAATATAGAAAAAAATCAACCTTAAAACCTTATAGCTGAACTCTTTAGGTACATATTGGTTTTGAACATTTATGTTTAAAATAAGAGGTAAAGTATAGGGCTATGCATGCAAAGATGGGAATTTATTATACCAAAAACAGCCAAATAAATAAAATGCTACATGATCTATTATACATCAAGCTCTCCGAGAGAGTAATTTTATAACATCTTTTTGCCCTGTATTCTGCTTCTGTTTGCTAGATTGAGGAATCCAAATATTACACATAATGTGTGCCTTTGCTCATCCCTTTCTAGTGCTCTAGAAAGCATTTATGCATTGCTTTGATGAGCAATGTGTAGTTTAATGATGTTTATTCTAGGAGCGGCTAGTGAAAATTGGATTCTAGGAATTTAATTATAGATCATCTTGGTGCCTCCTTCCAGGAGTCTAATAGAGAGACTAATTTGATTGCTACTTGCAGAGTTTCATTGAAGAAACTTCCCCAAACGGGATTTCGTGCCCACTGCCTTACATTTCTGTTTATGCAGGTTGGTCAATGTTAAGATTATTAAATGTCAAGGACCACAAATTTAAATAATTTGTTCTTATTTTTCATCTGTGTTTATGTTTCTCTGTAGCTGGAATTTAAATTGTTTTAGACATAAAGGATATTTTATTTTAAATTAAAGTTGTTAAGCATCTTTCCCGTGTGAGGCATCAGGTTTTCAGGGAAGATACAAAAATGAAAAAATATACATCACCTAGTAATTTACCCAAGTCATTGCAGATATCATATATGAAAAAAAATGGGGATTTTTTTTTTTTTTTTTTTTACTTGTAGGTAATAGACTGATTTAATGTCAGACTATGAGTCTTTCTTGTGGAGCAATTTTTAAGGTCATGGGATATTCCTAGATTTGGAACAAAGAAGCAGTCCATTACTAAGCAGTGGAAAGGCCGTTGTGAAGTTAAATGGGCTACGGGAATTTCAAGAAAAAGGGAGATATATTTAACTTTCTTTGAGCAGGTGCTTTCTTCAGCGTTGTCCCTGACAAAAGTTGCCTTCTGCACTTAGGGACATTAAAGGATGCCCTTGGCCACTGGATCTGCTAAATTATCAAGGGAAACAAGAATTTCCTGGGAACTTCATGGACCCTGGGACAGCCCGTGGCCAGTGACTGACCTGTGGGTAATACACAACTCATGCCTTTTGTTACTGAGTTGAGTTTATATTCTACAGTTCCGTAAGAGACCAGGCTGAGCCTGGGACATCACCTGTAATTACACACTCATTTGATTTCCTCCCTTTTCCTAGCTTGCTTCCTCCACTCCATTGCCCTGGGAAGAGTTTTCACTAAATCACTTGTATTAAAATACTTGGATCTGCTCCTTAGCGAATCTAACACTAAAACACACACTTACAGTGCATGTAAGACTGTTTTTCTGAAACTTACAAATAATTAGTAAGAATAACGTACGTGTTCACAGTTAGGTACAGAGTTAGTTGAAAGAGATACTTACCATTTAAAGTATGTTTCCAGATTATTCCGGTGAAGCATCCATGGTCAGAGAAGGATAAGTAATTTTCATTTTGCGTATCTATTCATATTAATTAAAAATGGCGGCCTGAAATATTGTATGGGATGATGGATTCAAAAGGATTCTGCTTCTCAACCAAATATTACAGAGCCTGACACATAATAGAAGCTTAATAAAGTATTTTTCAAATCTCTGTTAAATGAAGGAAAGAAAGGAATAAACTGTTTTATAATTGTGGTTTGGTGATACTACCTAATGAGGTTTTAGTATGCTTTGATCTCTTTGTTGTTACAATGACTCTAGGTTGATTTTTTTCTAGAAATTATTTCTAGGGAGGTTTCCACTTATAAATCACTGTAAACAGTACATGAGAACTAAACTTGCCTCTTGAGAAGTACCCATTTATATCACTAGAAGACAAAGCCCAGAATGTTCTCTATGTAGACCTAGGATTGCTCAATTAAAGAACGTTATCAACAGATTCAGCTATTTGGCTAATTTTCATGTAAACTAAAAATAAGTCATGGTAAGAGAAAGAAGCATGTTGAAGAAATTTTCCCACAAGGGAAAATGTTAGAACACCTTATATATAAACAAAAAATCTTGGCTCAGAGAAACTCATTATCTACATTATTTGAGCCAGAAATAAAGAGGCTATAAAATTTTTTAAGATATTTAAATCAGGACCTATAATTAGTGCCTATAGTAAAATAAAAGTCATTTCTTTTTTTTTATCAGAATAGAAAGTCATTGTAAAACTTAACCTTGTAAATGATAATTAATGGTTCACAGTTGGAAATATTGTAAATGTCTAACAAATCCTCAGTTGTGATGGACATTTAAGGTTCAGTATTTACTGTCTCTGAAACTTGCCTGTGTCCTAAAGGGCATCTGCTTTCTAAGTTCTCAGCTATCACTATTACTTTACTGGTAAGGGATAATAGGATGTTTGAAAATTCATAAACTCAGTAATGAAGAGTAAATACTCTGATGTCAAACAGAATCAGAATCTTAATACTTATATCTGTGTGACCTGGGAAAGTTATTTAGTCTCATAAAGCAACAGATTTCTTGTTGGCAAAATGGGATTGAGGTTTGTTAAAAGACGGGACAAGAGGAGGGGAAAGGCAAATTGGAGAAAAAAGAAATGAAAAAATTCCATCCCTTGTTGTAAACTGACAGTCTTTCAGATCTAGGAAACAAATCAAAGGTTACAATATGCAGTATAAAATGATAACTAACCTAAAGCTAAATGAATCAGAAAGAGATAAAGCAAAATGTGCACAAAATAAGTAGGAGTTAAAATACAAATTTGATATTTAAAAAGTTACTGTATGAGAAGAAAAATAAAATATTACCAATATGGTCATTTAAAGAGTGGAACATTTCTAATAAAAATATGCATCATGAATGTTCATAACACAAATATGAACAAAGACATCAATAGGTACTGACAAGGATTCTTTTCCAAATGTTATTTATCCTACTGAACATTTATTTGACTCAGCCCCCCGCTAAGTCAATCTAACAAGAACCTCTCGTTCTCCTTATCTGATCGTCCTCAATACCTAATCAGGTTCTCATCCTTGACCACCCCCAAATGATGTCTGATTAGCCTATCTTCAGCAATAATCCTGTTAGGTGGAATTAGCCAGATTTCCCCTCTCCCTGAGGTTTCCTCTTAGTAATTTACCATCCACACTGACCTCTATCATGTTACTTGCCTACAAATTTTCAATTCCTATGCTGTTTTTAGAACTGAGGCAAATTCTGTGCTAAAATATCTTTTTCCATATTGCAATACTCCTGAATAAAATCAGTTTTTACCACTTTAACTGCTGTCCATCTTTCTAATTTTTCTTTGATAGTATGTACCCACATGCTTTGTAAATGCTACATTTTATTGTATGGTTTTACTGTGATTTATTTACCCACTTTTTTGTATGTTTGACATTTTGGAGATATCTAGTTTTTATTAGTATAAAAACATAATATACTTGGCTGGGTCATTATGATATATTACCAATATATACTTAATAAGGTATATGCATATGTGTGTGTGTACATCTATATGTAAGATGTACACACACACATCTATAATATAAAAACATAATATACTTGGCTGGGTCTTTATGACATATTACCAATATATACTTAATAAGGTATATCCATATGTGTGTGTACATCTCTATGTATAGACGTACACACACAAATCTATAATATAAAATGTATTATACATTATATAGATGAAATATTCCAGCAGATATTTTAAAACTCCATAAACTTATTTATAATTATTATGAGCACATAATAGTTGTATATATAGGGTACATGTAATGTTTTCATAAAGGCATACAATGCATAATAATCAAATAAGGGTAATTAAGGTATCCATCACCTCAAGTCTTTATCACTTCTTTGTGTGAGCAACATTCCAATTCCACACTTAGAGTTATTGTAAAATATTCAATAAATGACTGTTAACTATAGTCACCCTATAGTACTACTGAATACTAGATTTTCTTCATTCTACTAACTATATTTTTGCACCCACTAGCCATCCACAATTTATCCATTCCTCCTCATTACACTTCCCCTCCTCTGGCAAACATTATTTCACATTCGATCTCCATGAGTTAAATTTTCTTTATTAGCTCTCACATGCAATTGACACTATGTGATATTTGTCTTTCTGTGCCTGGCTTATTTCAAACAACATAATGTTTTCCAGCCCATCTATGTTCTTGCAAATGACAGGATTTTATTCTTTTTTTATGGATGAATAATATTCTATTGTTCATACACACAGACACAGACACAGACACACACACACACACACACACATACTTCTTTTTCATCCAATAATCCACTGATGAACACATGGGTTGCTTCCATATTTTGACTACTGTGAATAGTGCTGCAAGAAACATGGGAGTGCAGATAACTCTGATATAATGGTTTTCTTTCTTCTGAATATACACTCAGCAGTGGGATCGATGGATTACATGGTAGTTCTATTTTTAGTTTTTTGAGGAATTTTATAAGGTTATTCATAGTGGCTATACTGATTTACTTTTCCACCAACAGTGTATAAGCGTTCTCCTTTCTCCAAATCCTTATCAGCATTCGTTATTGCATCTCTTTTGGATAAGAGTCGTTTTAACTGGGGTGATATATCTCATTGTGGTTTTGGATTGCATTTTCTGATAATTAATAACATTGAGCAATTTGTAATGTACCTAAGGGTCATTTGTATGTACTCTTTTGAGAAATGTTTATTCAGAGCTTTTGTCTACTTTTCAATCAGATTATCAGTTTTGTTTCTGTTGAGATACTGCGCTCCTTATATATTTTGGTTATTAATCTCTTGTTAAATGGGTTCTTTGCAAATATTCTTAATACATTCACCCACTCTTTGTCTTTGGATTGGGTAATTTAGTTCATTTACTTTCAATGTTATTATTGATAGGTAAGGTCTTACTTCTGCCATTTTGTAATTTGTTTCCTAGTTGTTTCATTGGCCCTTCCTTCCTTCCTTCCTTCCTTCCTTCCTTCCTTCCTTCCTTCCTTCCTTCCCTCCTTCCTTCCTTCCCTCCCTCCTTCCTTCCTTCCTTCCTGTCTTTTGTATAAAAGTGATTTTCTCTTGTACTATATTTTACTTTCTTGCTTTTTGTTTTTTGTGTATTGGTTATAGGTTTTTTGGTTTGTGGCTACCATGAGGCTTGCAAATAACATACTATAGCCAATTATTTTAAACTGATGACAACTCAACTTTTATTATAAGAAAAGAGAAAAGCAAAAAAAGAAAACCTAAGAAACTCTACATTTTAACCTCATTCTCCCCTGCTTTCTGACTTTTTGCTTTCTCTATTTAATTATTTATATGGCCTATCTCCTAAAAATTGTTGGAGTTTTTTTTTCATAGGTTTGTCTTTTTGTCTTCCTACTAATGATATGAGTGGTTTACACCACCACTATTATAGTGTTATTCTATATTTGTCTGTGTACTTACTATTACCACTGAATTTTATACTTTCAAATGATTTCTTGTTGTTAGCATCCTTTTTTTTTTTTTTTTTGGATTGTAGAACTCCCTTTAGCAGTTTTTGTAAGACAAATCTAGTGTTGATGAAATCCCTCAGCTTCTTTTTTTCTGGGAAAGTCTTTATTTCTGTCATAACTGTAGAATAATTTTGCTGTCATAATATTCTAGGTTGGACTTTTATTTTCCTTCAGCACTTTCAATATGTCATTGCACTCTCTTCTCTTGCTGCTTTTAGAGTCCTTTCTTTATCCACGACCTTTGAGAGTTTGATTATTACATGCCTTGAGGTAGTCTTATTTGGGTTGCATCTGCTTGGTGTTTTATGGCCTTCTTTTACCTGGATATTTATATCTTTCTGTAGGTGTTAAAAGTTCTCTATTATTATTTCTTTGATTAAAATGTTTACCCTGATCTATTTTTTATTATTTATTCTCCTCTGATTGTGTATTTTCATATAGTCTGTCTTCAAGCTGACTCATTTTTTCTTCTGCTTTGTCAGTTCTGCTGTTGAGAGACTCTGATGCAATTTTCAGCTTTTCAATTGGATATTTTAGCTCCGGAATTTGTGCTTACTTCTTAAAAATTTTTTCAATCTATTTGTTAAATTTCTCTGACAGAACTCTGCATTCCTTCTCTGTGTTATCTTCAAGTTTGCTGAGCTTTCTTAAGACAGCTATATTGAATTATCTGTCTCAATAGTCACATATCTCCAACACTCTGAGATTTGTGACTGGTGCTGATTTAGTTTTCTCAGCGATGTCATGATTTTCTGAATGTTCTTGATACTTGAGGATGTTTGCTGATGCCTAGGCATCGAAGAGTTAGGTATTTCAGTATTGACTTGTTTGTAGCCATCCTTCTTGAGAAAGCTTTCTAAGTATTCAAAGGGAATTGAGTGTTATGCTCTAAGCCTGTAGTCGCTGCAACCATATTGGCATTGGGGGCACACCAAGCCCAGTAATGCTGCAACTCTTGCTGACTCCTGGGGGTGCCACCTTGGTGGACTCGGGTAAGATAAGTGAGAATTCCCATAGTAACCAGGCAAAGTGTCTCACGCCTTTCCTCTTTTTTTCCGTAACTGAAGGAGTTTCTATGCACTGTGCTGCCTGGAATTAGAGAAGAGGTTATGTTAGCATTCCCACGGATGCTGTAGCTGGCACTGCACTGGGTCATACCTGAAGCCAGCACAGTACTGGGTCTTGCCCAAGGCCCATGGCAACTACTGCCTGACTATCGCTGATGTTTATTCAAAGCCAAGGGGCTTTTTTATATGTGGTGGTGAATTCTGCCAGGTCTACATTCTTTCTTTAAAGGCAATTGATTTTCTTCTGGCCTGGGGTGCATCTGGAAATGCCATCCAGAAGCTAAGGCCTGAAATTGGAGGCTTCAGGAATCTGCTTCATGCCTTATTTTACTTTGGCTGAGCTAGTACACAAGTTGCAATACTAAGTTCCCTGTACTCTTTCCTCTTATTACCGCAAGCACAAGGAGTCTCTCACTGAGCTGCATTGTCTAGAGTTGGAGGAGGAATGATGCAAGCACTCCCTTGGCTACCTCAGCTGGTGTCATGCTAGGTTACACATACCCCAAGTCCACTCTCTTTGAGACCAGAAAAACATTAGAGCTTGTACAATGACTGCAGTTCTTGTGGCCTGACTGCTGCTCAAATTTGTTCCAGATTCCAGGCCACTTTAGTCAGCGACAGTGAAGCCAGCTAAACTCAGATTCCTCCTACAGAGATGGGGAATTCCTTTTTGGCTCAGGGCTAACAAAGATGGTCCCTCTGCAGGCACCAGCAGAATTCAGCCATGTGTCATGATCCCCTGTGACAGAGCAATACTGAGTTCCAATGCAAAGTTCCACACTCACTTCACTGTCCCTCTCCCAGGACACAGATTCTCTCTCCCTACAACACCAGGAATGGGGGAGGGGTAATGTAGGTAATGCAAGAGTCTTCAATGTCTCTTTCCTAGATATTATGTTAGAACCAGGTGCTGTCACTACTCACCTGATTTTTATTTCTGATAAAGATGCTTTTTTGCATGGCTAGTTGGTTCAATTTGGTGTTCCTGCATGGGGACAAATGTTGCAGAGTTCTATTCAGCCATCTTGCTTTGCCTCCTTCCTCTATACACTTATAGTTAATAAATGAATAAGCATAATAAAAGGCCTAGATGAAGGCATTTTGGTTTGCCATATAAATAGGTTAGCATTTATAATTGCTGAAAAAATTGGTTATTCAACAGGTAATGTTTGAAAAAATATACTTACCTCTGTTATTCCCACCAAAGCAGGAAAGAAAGGTCTCCATATCACGTATGAGCCACAAAAAGAACTCTAGTGATTTAAATATTATAAAGACAAACATAAAATCTAAAAAGATTTTTAATATCTTTGTTATTTTCAGTAAGGGAATCATTTAATAATTATTTTTGCAAATGTTCATATGAAAAAATATGGATGGAATATGTTTTTCTTTTAAATGTATGCCATATTTCAACATAAAAGAAGTTTTAAATGTGAACATATTCACCTAACAAACTATTTATATAGGCCAGTAAAAAGAACATAATAATTAAGAACATGGGCTATGATCTGTGTGACCTGGGAAATCTACATTGGTAAATGAATTGAAATACAAATGCTGATAAATGGATAAATTGCTATGATATTTCTGAATGAAAATTTTAATTAAAACATAATTATAAAACGGAAGGAAGGAAGATAGCAGATAGGGGGCAGGGTGTGCAGCTCCCACTTGAATGGACAGAACAGTGTGTGGAGACTCACACGGTGAACTTTTGTCTCAAGAGCCACCGCAGGAACATACCAGGAAAACTAAAAGAATTCACTAATCCTTTGAAAGAAGTGGCACACCACTGCAAATTCCACCAGACAGGTGAAAAATTGCGTGTTCCTGAAATCTGAGAGGGGAAAAACCTACCTTCAAACACATATCCCCACTGGGGAATCTGAAAATCCAGATCACTAGAGAAGGACATAACTTGACCTAGAGCTGGAACAGATTTAGGGAGCCATATGAAATGTAAAAGTAGCAGTGGGAAGACCTTACAGGCACTCCCAGTCTCCAAAGCTCGAGCCCAGGAAAGCCATCCCTGAGTATATCTCACAGAGGCCCTTGGGGAAGGCAGCCACCAGAATTAGGGAGGAGTTACAGGGTATAAGAAACTTCTGAATAAATTTTGTAATAATTTTGACTGGGCACAGGCTTTTTTGAGTAGAATCTGGGGAGCAAACAGGAACTGCTGCAGCGACAAGCATGGGAGCCACCGACGATATTTTGGGGAGACTGGAAGGGGAGAGGCCTGAAAGCCAAGCATGCTTTCTCAGCTGGGAAGTTTATGGCCTGGAACAAGATCAGTGTTCTGCAGGCAGGCTGTCTGGATCTAAACTTCGTGCTATTAGCAGGGCAGGGAGCAAGACCAGCCTCACCAACTGTGTGGGAGCTGGGTGAGATCTTTTGCTACAGGCTATCTCCCACTTCTGTGGTGAGCTATATGGCACAGCAAAGACAGCAATAATCTCCTCTAAGGTGTATAACCTCACTGTCCTGAGAGCCACACCCCGTCTCCCGCAGTGGCTGTGGCAAGCCCCACCCAAGGAGAGTCTGATCACCTAACCCTTTTCCACCTGATGACATTTCTCTACCCTTGCTGGTAGCTGAACACAAAAGACAAAAACTCTTGAGAGCTTTATGGCCCCACGCATCACCTGAGATACCAGAATATCTACCCTGGTCAACTTATGTCAAGCTTATATTCCACTGCTACTGCCACAGCTGATGCTCTATTGAAAGCACCACCTCCTGGCTGGAGGCCAACCAACTCTTGCCATTACAGCAACTCATAACAGAATAACTCTGCTCCCAGGAAGGAAAAAACAACAGCTAATTCTACCGCCTGAAAAATCCTGGCTAACCAGAGGTCCTGGTTACCTTTCTCGAATGCTGGCTATTCTAGCAGTGAAGTTGCTAGCAGTCATGGACAACTTCACTGCTAGCATAGCCAGCATTCAAGAAAGCCAGAGCACTAAACATATCTTCAACCAGGGTTCTCACCAAGTCTACTCTACCCCCCTGCCACGTCCACTAGAGCAGGTGCTGGTATACATGGCTGTCTGGGAGACCTGAAGATGGATCACATCACAAGACTCTTTGCAGATATTCCTCAGCACCAGCATGGAGCACTGCTGGGTGACTAGACCCAGAAAAGCAATAACAATCACTGCAGTCTGGCTCTCAGGAAGCCCCACTAAGGGAAGGAGGAGACCACCACATCAACGTATTGCCCCATGGAATAAGAATCTGAACAGTAGGTCTTGAGTTCCAGATCTTTCCACTCTTGGGTACTTTCTTTCTCACAGCAGAGACACAATTGCAGTGCTAGGTGAAGTAGGGAATGTCTGCCCTTATTCCCCAACAGGCAGGCAGCCCCTATAATCATAAAGGGCCTTGGAGCAGGGGTCCTTGTTCTCCACTGGCATACCACCACAAACACAGCTGGGGCTTCCCCCACAGGAATGCAGCATGGATGCACCTATAGACAGCCTTTCTGGAACAATCCAGGGTGAATACAGCTGCACAGGAGTAGTGAATTCCAGATTTAGCCCTGCACTAGAGGCAGAGTCATAATTCCTCCCTACTTGGAACATCAACATTCCTATATACAAGAAGAGGTGCCTGTATGATCTGAATAACCACAACACTGGGACAAAAGTGAGGCTGTGAGGTGGATGGCTTTTCTGCTGATCTGGCAGGGGAACTGAGGTAGCTCCTAATCTTCACCCTGATAAAACCTCAACACATCTAATAAAAAGCTCCTGCAGCAACTTTCATCAAGGCTGGGACATTGGCCGAACAATGAGGATTACATCTACCCACCTGCCTTAGCCACAACAGGTGCCTACCCAGGATTACCTACCATCAACTCAGTAAATAAAACACCAGGAAAATAATAAATAAATAAATAAATAAACTATACACCACAAGGGAACAAGATAAGTTTCAAGAGATACCTACCATCTCAACTCCATACAGAGAACTCGCCTACACACCAAAAAATACAACTACTACAACAGGCATTGGAGAAAGTCAGCATGCAAAGACTCTGCAACTAAGAAAATTATACAGTCTTCACCCACACAAGCACCAAAATTCAAATTCGGCTAAAATAAATATTAAAGTCTAATCCTTAAGAGGAAAAAACAACAACTAAAAAAAAAAAAAAAAAAAAAGGCCAATCACAAATAAATTCAAGAACAATTTTTTTAAATAGTCTACCCAAATGAGAGGAAACCAGAAAGGTAATTCTGGTAATATGACAAAACAGGGTTCTATAACACCCCCAAAATATCATACCAGCTCCCCAACTATGGATCCAAATCAAAAAGAAATCTCCAAATTACCAGGTAAAAAAATTCAGACAGCTGATTATTAAGCTGTTCAAGAAGGTACCAGAAGAAAGAAATTTTGAAAACAATAGAGAATATGGATGAAAAATTCTACAGAAAAATAAATATCATGAAGAAAAAACAACCACAACTTCTGGAAATCAAAATCACACTTAGAGAAATATTAAATGCACTGGGAAGTGTGAACAATAAACTAGAACACATAGAAAAAAGAACCATGGAGGTTGAAGACAAGGCTTTTAAATAAACCCAATCACACAAAGACAAAGAAAAAAAGAATTTTAAAAAATGAACAAAATCTCCAAGAAATTTGGGATTATGTTAAATTATTAGCCAAACCTAAGAATAATTGATGTTCCTAAGGAAGAAAAGAATCTAAAAGCTTGAAAACTTTATTTGAAGGAATAATTGAAGATAACTTACCTGGCCTTGCTAGAGATCTAGACATCCAAACACAAGAATCTTATAGAACTCCTGGGAAATTCTTCACCAAGAGATCATTATCCAGGCACATAGTCATCAGCTTATCTAAAGTCAAGATAAAGGAAAGAATCTTAAGAGCTGTGAGACAAAAGCATCAGGTAACTTGTAAAGGAAAACCTATCAGATTAACAGCTGATTTCTCAGCAGAAACCTTACATGCCAGAAGAAACTGGGGTCCTATCTTTAGTCTCCTTACACAAAATAATTGTCAGCCAAGAATTTTGTCCAGCAAAACGAAGCTCCATAAATGAAGAATAAAGCGTTTTTTAGACAAATTTAACACTACCAAGCCAGCACTACAAGAAATATTAAAAGGAGTTCTAAGTCTTGAAACAAACCCTCAAAATACATCAAAATAGGACCTCCTTAAAGCAGAAATCTCACAGGCCCAATAAAACAATAAGACAGTGAAAAATAAACATGATATTTAGGCAACAACTAGCATGATGAATAGAACAGTACCTCACATCTCAACACTAACATTGAATTTAAATGGGTTAAATGCTCCACTTAAAAGATACTGAATGGCAGAATGGATAAAAATTTACCAACCAAGTATCTGCTGTCTCCAAGAGTCTCCAAGAGACTCACCTGACACATAAGCACTCACATAAACTTAAGGTAAAAGGGTGGAAAAAGATATTCCATGAAAATGAAAACTAAAAGCCAGCAGGATTTGCTCTTTTTGTATCAGACAAAACAGATTGTAAAACAACAACAGGGTAAAAAAAAACAAAGAAGGACATTATATGATAATAATAAAAGCATTAACTTAACAGGAAAATATCACAATCTTAAATATATATGCACCTACCACTGGAGCTCCCAAATTCATAAAACCATACTACTATGCCTAAGAAATGAGATAGATGGCAACACAATAATGTTGGGTGACTTCAATACTCCACTGACAGGACTAGACAGGTCATCAAGACAGAAAGTCAACAAAGAAATGATGGCTTTTACCTATACCTGAGAGCAAATGGATTTAACAGATATTTACAGAACATTCTACTCAACAACTGCAGAATATACATTGTTTTCATCAGCACGTGGAACATTCTTCAACATAGACCATATGATAGGCCACAAAACAAGTCTCAATAAATTTTTAAAAATCAAAATAATATAAAGTATCCTCTTACACCACAGTGGACTGAAAGCAAAGATTAACTTCAAAAGGAAATTGATTCACAGCTGAATTATATCAGACATTCAAAGATGATTTGTTACCAATCCTGCTGAAAGTATGCTGAAAGATTAAGAAGGAATCCTCCCTACATTTTTCTATGAAGCCACTATCACCCTAATAACAAAATCAGGAAAGGATATAACAACAACAACAACAACAACAACAACAACAAATAACTAGAGACCAATATCCCTGATGAACATAGAAACAAAAATTCTAAACAAAATACCAGCTAACCTAATCCAACAGCATATCAAAAGGATAGTACATCATGATCCAGTGGGTTTCATAGCAGAGATGCACAGATGGTTTAATACATGCAAGTCAATAAATGTGATTCCTTATATAAACAAAATTAAAAACAAAAACCATATGACCAATAGACACAAAAAAAGCATTCAACAAAATCCAGCATCTGTTTATGATTAAAACCCTCAGCAAAATTGGCATAGAAGGGATATACCTTAATGTAATAAAAGCCATCAATTACAAACCCACAGCCAACATAATCCTGAATGGGGAGAAGTTGAAATCATTCCCTTTTAGAACTGGAATAAGACAAGAATGTCCACTTTCACCACTTCTATTTAACATAGTACTGGAAGTCCTAGCCAAAAAAAAAAAAAAAAAAAAAATCACACAAGAAAAAAATAAAAAGGGCATGTAAATCAGTAATCAAACTGTTGTTGTTTGCTGATGATATGACCTTATACATAGAACATCCTAAAGTCTCATCTAAAGAGCTCCTAGTTCTGGTAAATGAATTGAGTAAAGTTTCAAGATACAGAATCAATGTACACAAATCAGTAGCACTGCTCTACACCAACAATGACCAAGCTAAGAATCCAATCAAGAACTCAATCCCTTTCACTACAGCTGTAAAAATAAAATATAATACTTAGAAATATAATTAACCAAATAGTTGAAAGATCTGTACAGGGAAAACTGTAAAACACTGCTGAAAGAAATCAGAGATGACACAAACAAATGGAAACATATTCCATACTCACAGATAGGTAATATTAATATTGTAAAAATGACCAGCCTCACAAAAGCCATCTACAGATTCATTGCAATTTCCATCAAAATACCATCATCATTCTTCACCAAACTAGAAAAACAATCCTAAAATTTATACTGAAACCAAAAAGAGCCCACATAGCCAAAGCAAGACTAAGCAAAAAGAACAAATCTGGAGACATCACATTACCTGACTTCAAACTGTACTACAAGGCTATAGTTACCAAAACAGCATGGAATAAAAATAGGCACATAGATGAATGGAATAGAAGAGAACCCAGAAATAAAGCCAAATACTTATGACCAACTGATCTTTGACAAAGCAGATAAAAACATTAAGTGGTGGAAGATCACCCCATTCAACAAATGGTGCTGGGATAATTGGCAAACCACATGTAGAAGAATGAAACTGGATCCTCTTCTCTCACCTTATACAAAAATCAATTCAAGATGAATCAAAGACTGAAATCTAAGACCTGAAACCATAATAACTCTAAGACATAATATCAAAAAATCTCTTCTAGACATTGCCTTAGACAAAGACTTCATAACCAAGAACCCAAAAGCAAATGCAACAAAAACAAAATAAATAGATGGGATTTAATTAAACTAAAAAGCTTCTGCACAGCAAAAGAAACCGCAGAGTACACAGACAACCCACAGAGTTGGAGAAAATTTTCACAAACTATGCATTTGACAAAAGGCTAATATCCAGAATCTAAAAGGACCTCGAACAAATCAGCAAGAATAAAACAATCTCATCAAACAGTGGCCAAATACATGAATAGACAGTTCTCAATAGAAGATGTATAAATGGCCAAGAAACATATGAAAAATGCTCTACATCATTAATAATCAGGGAAATACAAATTAAAACCACAATGAGACACCATTTTACTCCTGTGTTAATGGCTATAATTTAATAATAAAAAAATAGACATGGGCATGGATGTGGTGGAAAAGCAATACTTTTACACTGCTGATGGGAATGTAAAGTAGAACAACCACTATGGAAAACAGTATGGGGATTCCTTAAAGAACTAAAAATAAGGAGTAGCCAAGATTCTCACCCCAGAGCAGCTAGTGTGTGGCTCACATGGAGAGAAACAGAAAGGGCAAGTAAATACAACACTTTCAACTGAAATATGCAGGTACTTGCATTGGGATTAATCAGGGAAACAATGTGACCCATAGAGAAGAGAGAAAATCAAGACAGGACAATGGCCCACCTGGGAGCGACGTGGAGCCTGGGGATCCTCCCCAGCCCAGAGAAGTGGTGAGTGAATGAGTGACCCCAGGAAACCGCGCTTCTCCCACTGATATTTGCAACCCTCAGGTCAGAAGACTGTTTTGTGGACCCACACCATGAGGGACTTCAGTCTCCCACCAGACAGACAGAACTACACGGAGTGTCAGCAGTACAGCTGCTCAGGCATGCCTATAGACCCTAGAGACTTAGATACTTGGGATTGCCAGAAAAAGTAGCTTCAGCTCCTGCAAAGTGAGAGGGTAGACTCCTGTACATACCCCTAGGAAAGAGGCTGAATCCAGGGGGCTGAGAAGCAACAGCCCACAGGTCTCACTTCCACAGCACCTCACAAAATAAGACCCATTGTCTTGGAATTCCACCCAGCTACCCATTCCTCCTTACTGGGCAGGACCTCCCAACCAGGGCCTCTAGCCAACCCTGCCTGAGCTCTCCAGCCACAAAGATCTGAATTCCCCCGGGACAGCATTCCCAGAAGGAGGAAGTTTGGGTAACTTTGCTGCTTGGCAACAGCCATTCTAGCGTTTGGGCTTCAGAGTGTCTGAGATGACCAGGGGCTGAAGTGGAAACCAAGCACAGGACAGCTACTCTACCAAAATGTGGCCAGATTGCTTTTTTGAGTGAGTCCCGATTCCATTCCTTCTCACTGCGTGGGACCTCTCAACCGGGGTCTCCAGCCACATCCTTTCCAACCACGTCCTACAGGTGCCTTTTGGCTGACACCAGGTCTGTACCTCTCTGGGACAAAACTCCCAGAGGGAGAGACAGGCTGTCATCTTTGCTGTTTCACTGTCTTCACTGATAACACTTCTATGTTCTGGAAAATCCAAGCTGACTAGGGACTGGAGCAGTCCCCAAGCATAGGAGGCCTATGGAAAATTGGCCAGACAGTTGTGTGGGTGCCCATTCCCATATCTTATCACTGGGCAGGTCCTCCAGGCCTGGGCCTGCAGCACCTCTCACACCAGAGCTATTGAGCCGGTACCAACTAGGCAATGCCCCAGACAGAGCATCCAGGGGAAACTGAAAGATTTTCTGCCACTGCCTCTTCCACCCTCGCCACCCTTGGACTAACAAAGGAGAAAAGACCCTAAATGCCTTATTTATACCTCCAACAAGCTGCAATTAACCCAAGAAGAGGAAGCTAGTCCATCTCCCTCAGGTCCCACACACCCGCTCACAGCTCATCACCAGACTGGGGACCCCTGGTTTGGGTCTATAGGACAAACTCTCCATCTTGAGCTGACTGCACTGAGTGACTGCTGCCCTGCATCTCTCTGAGGTGGAGCCCCCAGGAGTCAAGAACATAACCCTTGGCCACAACCACTACTAAAATCTCTTCCTCTGCTGCCTCTAAGCTGGGGAAGAAACATAAAAACTGAGATTGCCCAAAACTGCAGTGGCCAGCCCAGGAGTGCCAAGTCATATATCATGGCCAGCACTCAAGGGGGAAAGGAACACACATTTTCAGAGCACTGAGAGGGAACACAACAGTAATTGTGAGGAAACATAGGGGAGCCACACAACTAAGCAAGAGTCTACTGACTGACCAAGAAGCTTAAGTGTTACCAGCTGGGTTACACCCCAAAGCCTGAACACCAAAAATACCTCACTAACATACTCTTTTCTGAAATCAGAGACAAAAAATCAGCTTTAAAGAAAGAACTTCCACAAATCTTTGGCCTGGTGAAAACATCCAGAAAATAAGTCTATTGACTGTATTCAATCTACAATGCAGTTAAACCAGCACTCACATGCAGAGATGAGAAAGAAGCAACACAAGAACTCCAGTAAATCAAATGGCCAAAGTGTCATATGTCCTTCATATGACTGCACCAGTTCTCCAACAAGAGTTTTAACAAGAATGAACTGGCTGGAATGACAGAAATATTATTTGGATTATAGATAGAAACAAAGATCATCAAGATTCAGGAGGATGGCAAAACCCAATACAAGGAAAATAAGAATCACAATAAAGTGATACAGGAGACGAAGGACTAAATAACTGGTGTAATAAAGAACCTAACGAGTCTGACAGAGCTGAATAGCACAACAAAAGGATTGCACAATACAATCACAAGTATTAACAGCAGAATAAATCACGCTGAGGAATGAATCTCAGAACTTGAAGTCTGGTTCTCTGAAATAAGATAGTCAGATGAAAATGAAGAAAAAAGAATAAATACAAATGAACAAAACCTCCGAGAATTACGGAATTATGTAAAGAGTCCAAATCTGTGAATCACTGGAATCCCTGAAAGGGAAAGAGAGGAAGCAAAGAACTTCGTAAATATATTTCAGGATATTGTCCATAAAAACTTCCCCAACCTTGCTAGAGAGGCCAGCAGTCAAACTCAGAAAATACAGAGAACTCCTGCAAGATTCTACACAAGGTCATCCCCAAGACACATAATCATCAGATCTTCCAAGGTCAAAATAAAATAAATTATGTTAAAGTCAGCTAGAGAGAAAGGGCAGGTCACCTACAAAGGGATCCCCATCAGACTAACAGCAGACTTGTTAGCTAAAACACTAAAGCCTGAATAGACTGGGGACCTATATTCAACATTCTTAAAGAAAAAAATATATTTACCCAAGAATTTTATATCCAGCCAAACTAAGCTCCCTAAATGAAGTAGAAATAAGATTCTTCTCTGATTAGCAAATGTTGAGGGACTTCATTACCACCAGATCTGCCTTACAAGAGATCTTGAAAAGAGCATTAAAATAGAAAAGAAAGACTGCTACTAGCTAAGACCAAAACAAACAAACAAACAAACAAAAAAAAAACAAACACAAAAACATGTGTCACTGTAAGACAGCTCACTTCTATTCAACATATATTGAAAGTAATAACCAGAGCAATCAGGCAAGAGAAGAAAATAAAGGGCACCTAAATAAGAAAAGAGAAAGTCACACTATTTCTGTTTGCAGGCAATGATTCTTTATCTAGAAAACACAATAGTCTTTGGCCAAAAGCTCCTTCAGCTAATAAATTACTTCAGCAAATCTGCAGGATAAAAAAATCAATGTACAAAAATCAAAAGCATTCCTAGACACCAATAAAAGGCAAACCAAGTGCCAAATGAGAAAGCTGTCCCATTCACATTGCCACAAAAAGAATAAAATACCTATGAATACTGCCAAGTAGGAAGGTGAAATATCACTATAATGAGAATTACAAAATATTGTTCAAAAAAATCAGAGAAGACACAAACAAATGGTAAATACTCCATACTCAAGAATAGAAAGAATCAATGTCATAAAAATGACTATACTCCCCAAAGCAATTTATGGATTCAGTGCTATTCCTATCAAACTACCAATGACATTCTTCACAGAACTAGAAAAAATATTTCAAAATTTACATGGAACCAAACTATAGCCCAAATAGGCAAGGCAATTCTAAGCAAAAAGAACAAAGCTGAAAGAATCACATTGCCTGGCTTCAAACTATAGTGCAAGGCTACAGTGACCAAAACAGCATGGTAGTGCTACAAAAACAGGCACATAGGCCAATGTAACAGAATAAAGAGCCAAGATATAATGCTGCACATCTATTACCACCTTATCTTTTACAAAGCTGACAAAAATAAGCAATGGGGAAAAGACTCCCTATTCAATAAATGGTGTGGGATAACTGGCTAGCCATATGCAGAAGATTCACACTGGACCTCTTCTTTACAACATATACAAAAATCAACTCAAGATAGATTAAAGACTTAAATGTAAAACCCAAAACTATAAAAACCCTGAAAGATAACCTATGTAATACCATCCTGGATCTAGGGACAGGCAAAAGTTTTATGACAAGGACACTGAAAGCAATCACAACAAAAGCAAAAATTGACAAGTGGGATCTAATTAAAGAGCTTCCACACAGCAAAATAAACTATCAGCAGAGAAAAAGACAACATACAGAATGGGAGAAAATACTTGCAAACTATGCATCTGACAAAGGTCTAATATCCAGCATCTCTAAGGAACTTAAAGAAATTTACAAGAGAAAAACAAACAACCCCATTAAAAAGTAGGCAAAGAGCATGAATAGACACTTCTCAAAAGAAGATATACATGCAGCCAACAAGCAAATGAGAAAAGCTCAATATCACTGATCATTAGAGAAATGAAAATAAAAAACTATGAGATACTATCTCACACCAGTCAGAATGGCTATTCAAAAGTCAAAAAATAATAGATGCTGGTGAGGTTGAGGAGAAAAGGGAGCACTTATACATTATTGGTGAAAGTGTAAATTAGTTCAAACATTGTGAAAAGCAGTATGGTGATTCCTCAAATACCTAAAAGCAGAACTATCATTCGACCCAGCAATCCCATTACTGGGTATATAATAAGAAATAAAAAACATCTACCCTAAAGACACATGTACATGAATGTTTATTTCAGCACTGTTCACAATAGCAAACACATGGAATAAACCTAAATGTCCATCCATGACAGCCCGGATAAAAATAAATGTGTGGTACATATATACCATGAAATATTATGCAGCCATAAAAAAGAATGAGATCCTGTCTTTTGCAGGAACAGGGATGGAGCTGGAGGCTATCATCCTTAGCAAACTAATGCAGGAACAGAAAACCAAACACCACATATTATTATAAGTGGGAGCTAAATGATAAGAAATTATGAATACAAAAAAAGGAAACTGCAGACACTGGGGTCCATTTGATGAGAGAGAGTGGGAGAAGGGAGAGAAGCAGAAAAGATGACTAGCCAACCTCCTGTTGACTTCTATTTTTATTGTGCTGTGACCTGAGAGTGAGCTTAATACCTTGATGATGTAATAATATGTACAACAAATCCCCATGACCCATGTTTATCTATCTAACAAACCTTCACGTGTACCCCCAACCCTAAAATAAAAATTTAAAAAAAGAACTAAAAGTAGAACTACCCATTCCACCCAGCAATTCCACTACTGGGTATCTCCCCAAAGGAAAATAAATCATTATATGAAAAAAAAACACTTGCACACACATGTTTATAGCAGCAAAATTTGAGGTTGCAAAAATATAAAACCAGCATAAATGCCCATCAACCAACAAGTGGGTAAAGAAAATGTGGTATGCATACACCACGGAATACTCCTCAGCCATAAAAAAGAACAAAATAATGGCATCTGGAGCAACCTGGATGGAGTTGGGAACCATTATTCTATATGAAATAACTTAGGAATGAAAACCCAAATATTGTATGTTCTCACTTACAAACAGGAGCTAAACTATGAGAAGGCAAAGGCACAAGAATGATATAACAGACTTTGGGAGTATTCAGGGGAAAGGGTGAGAGGCGGGTGAGGGATATAAGACTAGCATTGGATACAGTGCACACTGCTTGGGGGATGGGTACACCAAAATCTCAGAAATTACCAGTAAGGAACTTAATCATGTAACAAAAATACACCTGTTCCCCAAAAACAATAGAAAAAAATAAAATTAAATAAAAAATACATGTTGTTGAGATTGCAGTGAAAAAGGAGTCCTTGTACACTGTTGGTGGGAGTGTAAATTAGTTCAACCATTGTGAAAAACAATGTGGCAATTACTTTTTTTTTTTTTTTTTGAGATGGAGTCTTGCTCTGTCATCCAGGCTGGAGTGCAATGGTGCGATCTCAGCTCACGGCAACCTCTGCCTCCCAGGTTCAAGCACTTCTCCTGCCTCAGCCTGCAAAAGTAGCTGCGATTACAGGCACCCACCATCATGCCTGGCTAATTTTTGTATTTTTTGTAGAGACAGGGTTTCACCATGTTGGCCAAGCTGGTCTCAAACTCCTGACCTCAAATGATCCTCCCACCTCGGCCTCCCAAAGTGCTGGGGTTACAGGCATAAGCCAGCACACCTGGCTGACAATTTATCAAAGACCTAAAAAACCCTAAAAAGACCTAAAAGACCTAAGCACAGAACTACGATTTGACCCAGTAATTCCAAAGAAATATAAATCATTCTGTCATAAAGACACATGCATGCGTATGTTCATTGCAGCACTAATCACAATAACAAAGACATGGAATCAACCTACATGCCCATCAATGATAGATTGAATTTTAAAAATGTGGTATATATACACCATAGGAAACTATGCAACCATAACAGAGAATGAGATTATGACCTTTGCAGGCACATGGTTGGAGCTGCAGGCCATTATCCTTAGCAAAGTGATGCAGCAAAAGAAAACCAAATACCACATATTCTTACTTATAAGTGAGAGCTAAATGATAAGAAAACATGGACACATAGAGAGGAACAGACACTGAGGCCTACCACAAAGTAGAGGATGAGAAGATGGAAAGGATCAGGAAAAATAACTAATGGATACTAGGCTTAATACTTGAGTGATGAAATAATCTGTACAACAAATCCCCATGACAAAAGTTTACCTAAATAACAAACTTGCATACGTACCCCTGAACTCAAAATAAAAGTTAAAAAAAAGGAAGAGAGAGAGGAAAAAAACTTAATTATAAGAGCCTTAAAAATATATATAACTGTCCTGAGACTTTCTACTCTAAAAGTGTTTTATTAGTCTGTTCTCATGCTGCTAATAAAGATGTACCTGAGATTGGGTAATTTATAAAGGAAAGAGGTTTAATTGACTCACAGCTCCACATGGCTTGGGAGGCCTCACAGTCATGGCTGAAGGCAAATGGGGAGAAAAGTCATGTCTTACATGGTAGCAGGCAAGAGAGCATGTGCAGGGGAACTCCCCTTTATAAAACCAGCAGATCTCATGAGAATTATTTACTATCGTGAGAACAGTAAGAGAAAAACCTGCCCCTATGATTCAACTACTTCCCACCACATCCCTCCCATGACCCGTGGGGATTATTACAAGTCAAGGTGAGATTTGGGTGGGGATATGGAGCCAAAACGTATCATTCCATCTGTGGCCTCTCCCAAATCTCATGTCCTCACATTTCAAAACCAATCATGCCTTCCAAAAGTCCCCAAAAGTCTTAACTCATTTCAGCATTAACTCAAACATCTAAATCCAAAGTCTCATCTGAGACAAAGTACTTTCTGCCTATGAGCCTGTAAAATCAAAAGCAAATTAGTTACTTTATAGATACAATTGGGGGTAGAGGCATTGGGTCAATTGCTCCCAAATGGAAGAAACTGGCCAAAACAAAGGTGCTACATGCCCCACACAAGTCTGAAATCCAGTGGGGCAGCCAAATCTTAAAGCTCCAAAATGATCTCCTTTGACTACAGGTCTCACATCTAGGTCACATGATGCAAGAGGTGGGCTCCCATGGCCTCGGGCAGCTCCACCCCTGTGGCATTGCAGGGTAAAAGCCCCACTCCCAGCTGCTTTTACAGGTTTTTATTGATTATCTGCAGCTTTTTTAGATGCATGGTGCAAGCTGCTGGTGGGTCTACCATTCTGGGGTCTAGAGGATGGTAGCCCTCTTCTCACAGCTCCACTAGGCAGTGCCCCAATGGGGACTCTTTGTGGGGGCTCCAACCCTGCATTTCCCCCTTGCACTGCTTTAGCAGAGGTTCTCTATGTGGGCTCCACCACTGCAGCAGACTTCTGCCTGGACATCCAGGTATTTCCATACATCCTGTGATATCTAGGTGGAGGTTCCCAAAGCTTAACTCTTTTCTTCTGTGTACCTGCAGGCCCAACACCCACGTGGAAGCCATCAAGGCTTGGGGCTTACACTCTCTGAAGCCATGGCCCGAGCTGTACCTTGGCATCTTTTAGCCATGGCTGGAGCAGCTTGGACACAGAGCACCAAGTCCCTAGGCTGTACACAGCAGGGGGACCCTGGGCTCAGCCCAAGAAATTATTTTTTTTCTTTTAGGCCTCCAGGTCTGTTATGGGAGGGGCTGCCATAAAGATCTTTGACCGTCTCTGGAGACATTTTCCCCATTGTCTTAGTGATTAACATTAGGCTCCTCATTACTTATGCAAATTTCTGCAGCCAGATTGAATTCCTCCTCAGAAAATAGGTCTTTCTTTTTTATCACATCAGCAGGCTGCAAATTTTTTGAACTTCTATGCTCTGCTTCCCTTTTAAGCATAAGTTCCAATTCTAAACCACATCTTTGTGAATACATAAAACTGAATGCTTTTAACAGCACCCAAGTCACTTCTTGAACACTTTGCTGCTTAGAAATTTCTTCTGCCAGATGCCCTAAATCATCTCTTAAGTTCAAAGTTCCACAAGTCTCTCGGGCAGGGGCAAAATGCTGCCAGTCTCTTTGCTAACATATAATAAGAGTCACCTTTGCTCCAGTTCCCAACAAGTTCCCCATCTCTGTCTGAGACCACCTCAGCCTGGAATTTATTCTCCATGTCACTATCAACATTTTGGTCAAAGCCATTCACAAGTCTCTAGGAAGTTCCAAATTTTCCGACATTTTCCTGTCTTCTGAGTCCTCCAAGTCCCTAGGAAGTTCTAAACTTTTCCACATATCCCTGTTTTCTTCTGAGCATTCCAAACTGTTCCAGCTTCTGCTTGTTACCCAATTCCAATGGTGTTTCCACATTTTCAGGTATCTTTACAGCAGCACCCCACTACCTGGTACCAACTTACTGTATTAGCCTGTTCTCACACTGCTAACAAAGATTTACCCAAGACTGGGTAATTTCTAAAGGAAAGAGGTTTAATTGACTCACAGTTCCACATGGCTGGGGAGGCCTCATAATTATGGCAGAAGGTGAAGGAGGAGCAAACTCATGTCTTACATGGTGGCACGCAAGACAGCATGTGCAGGGGAACTCCCTTTTATAAAACCATCAGATCTCACAAGACTTAGTCATTCTCGCGAGAACAGCATGGGAAAAACCTGCTCCCATGATTCAGTTAACTCCCACAGGGTCCCTCCCATGACACATGGGGATTATTACAAGTCAAGGAGAAAGTTGGGTGGGGACACGGAGCCAAACCATGTCAAGTGTCATCTTAGATATAAAAGTTTACATATATTATTTTAGCTTATTGTTTCTTTAATGGTAAGACTGAATATGTAAAACAAAAATAGAAAAAAATACAGAATTAAAAATTTTATTTATGGTTTGTTGCTAAAATGTAATACTATGTGGCTATTAAAGTCAGGTATTCAAATGACATTCAAGAACATGCCACGAGTACTTGAAAAATGATGTTATTGGGAGTAAGAGAAACTCTAACAATACAGTCCTATATTTTAACATATATTTATTACCTATATTTATGTATTTATTTTCATATATTTATCTGAGTTTAACAATTACACCATGTCTGTTTCCTCCTGGTAACACAAGGCTAATAAAAGTAAGTTGGAGAAGAGATGGAAATCCACATTTTCTGAGCACTTAGAACATGCATATGTCACAATGTGCTTTATAAAATCAATCTCATTAAATCTTTATAAGGCTTTTTAGTTATTACTATCAGAACATTTCAAGGGTTCAGAAAAGTTAGAAAAGCTACTAAACCTGGATGAAGTAGTTTTAGAGTTCAAATCTGGAGTTTTCTGGCAGTTATCCCCTTCCTTTTTCATTAGACTAATCCATTATGCAAGTGGTACCCATTATCAACTGGCAGCATGACGTGCAAGATGGGCTGTCACATAAGACTATCTAAATCTAGAAATTGCAGTAGAAGAGCTTAATCCTTCTCAGTACTCCTTGAAGCCTGGTGGGATTCCTTAGAGCCTCCCAACTGTTACTGCTTCCTTCTACTACAGACCCAGACAAATGAAAACAAAATGAAGTGCAAAAGCAAAGAAAGGATAGGCTGAACTATGTGATATTTAGGAAGATTGGACTATTGGGAAAATATTTCTCAAAAAAAGATTATAGATGCCACACAGAGAAACGTCATCTCATTGCTAGAATTAAAGCCCTTTGATTTAGCAGCATTTCTTTTACAGTGCAAATGCTTTATTTACCTTTTTATGACTTAATCACCAGTAATGTAGGTAAGAAGGTCCATTTCAATGATAAATAAGGATCAACTGTGAAGGAAAGGAAGAGTAAAGTTAATGGACTGATGAGTAGAAAGAGATAATTTTAGAATATTGAAGTGAAGGGTTTGAATATGGGAAATTATGAAAGCTACAGACAGAACGGAGAGAGGCAGGGAAGCACAAACTGGGGCATTTTCAATATGTTTGTTCCAGTGCCCAAAGTATCCTGTCTTATTCACAGTACCACGAAGAGTCTAACAGAGCCTGACTGAGTTTGAGGAAGCTCTCTTTAGCATAAAATCTTATTTCTTCTGCAACTTTTTCACATATTCATACTAGTAAGAAAGTTGTCATTTCAGTAGGAAGAATTCAAAGCCAGAAAGAGGGAGATCTTTGTGGTACATTGATAAATAAGTTGGTAATTGGCTATACTGCTGCTTTTTATTTTTTCTTCAGTCCTTTATTTATTCCTTTGTTTGTTTCCTCCTCACTTCTTAAATTTCTTCCTTTCTTCTATTTTTTTTCCTCCTTTGGTCTCTCCTTTCGCAAATATTTACTTCCCTTGTGAAGTATGGTAGATCCTTTACAAGGTGCTGAATATGAAGAAGAAAACGAGACATTGTTCTTATGCCAAAGGAATTCACAGTCTAGTGTTTTTATTACTATAAATAAGTACAAGGAAGAAAAGCCATTTTCACCATACATTAAAAATAAAAGTTCTCAAGTTGGGTCTATTTTAAATTAAGTGAGAAATAAAATTATATGCATTTATTTTGGATTTTAACTTTTTAATGAAGAGTTTAAAGATGGAAATAAAAGTCATCTAATTTTTAACTTTCACTCTGTATCCTTGGACCAGTGTCTCCCATTTCCTCCATCACCCAGCCCCTGCAACCTCCAAAAATTATCTTTAATTAAATAGTACAGATGTTGGTTTCAGGATGTTTTCACTCTTCTTAATCTAATTCTGCTGTGTATTATTGTTTGGACTTATTATTGTTTATCTGCATAATATAATTTATATGCCAATAACACTTGCTACCTGAAGTCATGGAGGGGAGCATACTCTAAGGCAAGGTTCACCAGAATCCTTGGCCTAGATGGAAGGATGGGAGTGGGAGGTGTTGTGGAAGGGAGGATCAAGGGAAATTAAAGGGTTGTAGTAGAAATTTGTGCTGTTTTTATTTGCATTTGCATTTTTTCCTATGGATAATATTTATGTTTTTCTTTAGATCATCAGAAAGGTCTGTGATTTCCCTATTTAAAAACCATAGGTTTAAATTCAAATATAAATTAAATATGCTGCTTTTTGTTTCATTGACCCTTTTACATATTTTTTTCAGATTGTTCCACTAACAGAGAACTTTGGCAAACACACCAAAAACAGAACAAAACAAAACAACTATATTTAAATAAACACTTTTCTTCCCCTTTCAAACACTTGCCTTAGCTTAGTTCTCTGTATAATATAGTTCTCTGTATACATTGTTTTCTAAAAATTAATTTTACATAATATCTGAAATCTACTTTGTACCAATACAATTATAGACATTAACATCTGTGTTTCTTTACAGGAAAATATTACCTTGAATATCTTATCCTACAGAGACATTTGACTTCTTAAGGCTGAGAAAATGAGAATATCACATTGTTTGTTATCACCACCCCAACCCAAACACATTTTTGCCCAAAATGTGCAATTATGTCCACTTTTTAGTTCATGATATTATACCCATATCTACATTATCTAGTAAAAACGACCATGGCAGCAGCAGTAGTAGAAGAAAATTAGCTGGGTTGAAGAGAAATTAATTCTCCATGATTATTTAAATTTATTTCCTTAAAAAAAATTGGCACTTGTTTTTCAGTGTAAGCTTCAGAGCTGTAAGGAAATGCACAGGGCTCATTACTTAGGAATAGAAAAGCTATTTTGGATCTGAAGCTAATAGATTGCAAATAATCCAGATGCTGCTATATGTACTTCAGATAGATTATTGAAGTCCCTAGTGACACTACTTTCCTAGTTAGAGAAATGTTTTATTTTTTTAAACTGGGTAGATACTGCATTTTGAGAATATTCCTTCAATATAATTAAAGAATTATAGGGAAGAAATATCTACTGAGAGATTTTTTTTTTTCAATCTCAGAAATGCTGCTTGAAATTTAAAATCATGTAGAGTCACTTCTGCTCCTTGGAGTCTAAGAATCTGACACTAGGTTTTCATATACATTGTATTGGAATAAGATAATCTCTATATAGTGTGAACTGAGTATTAAAATTGACTCTTACACATAAAATGTTGTTCCTGCTATTTCACCACTACCCTGGTTTCCCACTTCTTAAGGCTTTGTCTTCAAAATATTTAAAGGCATGTTACTTGAGGAGAAACAGCTTTGGAAAATTTGGTGGGTTAATCTATCACTACATTTTTATCTAGAAAAACAAGGCAATTGCCCTACAGAACTAAAAAAAAAAAGAAGAAAAATAAATTTTAATTAAGCCACATGGGAGTATGGCAAAGGTATTAAATTTATTTATTTATTAAATAATTCTTTTTAGTTTCTTTCTTTATTATATTTACCAAGTATATAAAAGTGACAACTTAGTTCAAAACACTGTGCTAAAATTACAAGTGTCCTTAGAATAAAAACAACAGTTTCAGAACTCTTTAAGCATACGTTCTGATTGATGAGACACACAAAATCAATTACCATTCTTTGATTCTAAAAGTAATATATGGTAATTGGGAAAACTACATGTAAGATATTTTTTAAATGTAAAAGCACATGCATACACAAATAAATACATGACACAAATAGTCACACCCATTCCTTAATTCCAATTTCCTAAAGTAATTTTAAAAAATATTTTTGTGCGCTAATTGTAATTATTAACATATCTCCAACAGTCTTCTTCTTTCTCTCTTCTTCATCTCGAACTTGAGCTCTCTATTTCTATATTTCTGACAAGTATTAAGGAAGAGAGCAACGGGGCTCTGTAAGTCCTGGTCAATGGGGAAATCTAACCAATGCAAGAGAATCATGAGTATCTCCCTGGATAAAAAGACATTTCATATGGACTTGAAAATGGAGATTAAGTAACTCAAGCTTGGGAAGGATCATGAAAGTATGGCGGGCCGGGCGCGGCGGCTCACGCCTGTAATCCCAGCACCTTGGGAGGCAGAGGCGGGCAGATCACGAGGTGAGGAGATAGAGACCATCCTGGCTAACACGGTGAAACCCTGTCTCTACTAAAAAATACAAAAAATTAGCCAGGCGTGGTGTCGGGCGCCTGTAGTCCCAGCTATTCAGGAGGCTGAGGCAGGAGAATGGCGTGAACCCGGGTGGCAGAGCTTGCAGTGAGCCGAGATCGCGCCACTGCACTCCAGACTGGGTGACGGAACGAGACTCTGTCTCAAAAAAAAAAAAAAAAGAAAAAAGAAAAGAAAGTATGGCTTTCAAGATTTTTGAGTGCTGGGAGGTGAGAAAGAACTATGTGATTTCTGGTGTAGAAATAAGGCCAATCTAGTTGATATGAAAAGCTAACGTTTCTGGTTTATGATGCAGCTAGGCCAGTAGGCAACAGTTAGCTGGAACAGCTACTTTTGGACAGTTTATGCTAAAGACAGCCTTCTCAGCTATGGAAAGTTACTGAAGGGTTTTAAGCAAGTTCCTAGCATGATCAGATTTGAATTTCTGAATTATAACCCAGGATGCAAATCACAGGAAACCGGTAGTGGAAAAACATGGATGGAAGTAAAATAGTCAGAAAGCTATTACAGCAGTCATAGGGATCAGAGATGGTATTATAGACAAAAGTCACAGCAAAAGAAATGGAGATCTATTGTCGAGGTACAGTCTCAGTAGTTCAGTATGAGGTTCTAGTGAGGATGATGAAGACTTCTAAGTTTTAAATTTTACCTAAAAATAAAATATACCTATACTTAAAAAAAAAAAAACAAACTTGAACATCTATGAAACCAGGAGAAAAAACTTAGTCACCCATAAAGACTAAGGCAGAGGAACCCCCAGAGAGATAGCACTTAAAGTCGAGTTACCTGCTTTTTCTAACTTTGCCAGACCCAGGTAAACCCCATGTGTCATGTGAATAGCACTTTCCACTTTATCCTTCATTAAAGATGTGAGTTATATACATTAAATCTGGGATAAAAGACCTATTTGCCTCTAAAATCTGTGATTCCATTTCTGATTTACCTACAAAACTCAGATAGTGAATTTTTCACCTCTCGCTAAAATACTTAGAAAGGCATAGACATGGATAAAATTTTAAAATAACCCATGAAAAGTGAGAATGACAGCCCCTTGTCAGAACCTGAAAGAACTTTCCAATTAATTAAAAAGTGACAGTTGATTGGTAAATCACTACCCAGTCTTCATCTTAAGCTTATCCCTACTTCACCTTATGAAATAGGGTGCACGCCAACAAAATGATAGTGATCAAACTTCCCACACAGTCTCAGATTGGTTCTCTACCAACCAAAAGAGCAAGCCGCTGTCTACCTTGCATTCAAGTGAGAAATGTGAGAAATGTGAAGGGACCCTGAGACATATCTTTCCCACCCTAGTTTTGTTCAAAATCTGATCTTTATCTATTCAGCAAATATTTATATATTCCTTAATGGCATAGAGCTAGGATCTGAAGATACAGTGGTGAAGGTTCATGATGACCCTGTCTTCCTAGGATTTACAGTTTTTAAGAGTGCAAACTTAACACTAATAGGACAAGATAGTAATTCACAGGTGCACTTTGGGTCTCAGTTCAATGTTACTGAATGGTCTTCCCTGAATCTCTCAACTTACAGGTTGCATTATAGTGGCCTGTATTCTTCTGGAGTCCTTTTCAATCAGGTGTAAGTTTTGTGAGCTCTGTCAACGTGTAGACATTATCAGCATCACTCATCACCTACCACTGTAACTCTGATACTAACAGGAATCAACAAATGTCCTATGTATGGCTTTTGAACTAATAACAGTTTTCACTTTTTCAAAGGGTGGTAGAAAAATTAGAGGAAGAAGAAGTAGGAGGAGGAAGAAAAGGGTGAGGACACCATGGAAAGCAAAATGTGTGTGGTCCACAAAGTCTAAAATATTTACTGTCTGTCCATTTACAGAAAATTTGCTCACCCTCTTAGCACATAGTAAAATCCCAAGTAATATGTGTTAAATAAATGCATAAATGACATTTCAGAGCATTGGGCACTCAAAAGTACAGTGACACAGATAGTACCAGATACTCACATCCACACAAATAATTACCAATAGTACATACTAGGAATTGTGGTTTCTATGAGCTTGATTAGTTCAGAGTAAAAAATAAGAGCTGGAATAAATAAGTTTTACTTATCAAAAGAACAAGTGTTCACAATGAAAGTCCACTGAAATGACACAATTAAACTATAAGATGGCATATTGTCTTAGTATATATCTGAGAAGATTAATTTTATTTGTCAACTTGATGGGGCTAAGAGATGCTCAGTTAACTGGCTAAAAATACTTCTGGGCATGTCATTCTGAAAGAAATTGCCATTTGGATCAGTAAAGAAGATTCACTCTTCCCAATGTGGCCAGGCATTGTCCAATTCACTGGGGCCCTGAATAGAACAAAAAGGGTGAAGAAGGACAAATTATCTGTATCTTTCCTTGAGCTGGGACACACATCTTCCCCTCAGGCAAAGGAAATCCTGGTTCTCAGGCCTTTAGACTCCAGGGCAGAGGAACTTAACAGGAGTTCTCCCCACCCCCGCCATGTTTTCAGGTCTTCAGCCTTGAACTGAATTACATCATTTGGTTTCCTAGTTCACTAATTTTCACTAGTTTCCAGCATCCATATGACAGATTGTGGGACTTGTCAGCCTCTATAATTGTGTGAGTTAGTTTCCATAATAAATCTTCTATATCTATATACTAATAGCTCTGTTTCTTTGGAGAAAACTAATACAATACCAACAAAATAATTCATGACATTCAGAATACACAATTAAAATGAAGTGAAGAAACTTGTCCCTAAAGAGTACTTGCCTGTTAAGAAACATCTCATTTTAATTATGTAGTAATGGAGATGGGGATCACCTTCTTGTTTTGTTTTGAGATGAGTCTCACTATGTTGCCCAGGTTGGACTCAAATTCCTAGGTCAAGAGATCTTCCACCTTGGCCTCCTGAGTGGCTGGGACTACAGGAGATCACCTTTTCAAAGCTGAATATCAAAGTCAGAAAATCAACTAAATGAAAGGCAGGTTTATCTATAAAAATCAAAATGTTATTTATCATAAAATGCCATAAATACCTTTGGATAAAAAGACATTATAAATAATGACTGCCACATTCAATCATTCATGACAAATTTATTCATTCATGTCATATTCAAGTATTTTCAAGATTTAGGCTTTTTTCTATTAAGATGCAATAAAGAACTAAAGCTTGAAAATACATTTCAATCAGGAATGACTACACAATACAATATGTTTCATCTCAAGCAGAGAAGTGCTCAAACATTGAGGTTAATAGTATGAACTCTAACAATAATGATCATGTTCAAATAAACATCAACTCTAAGGGTCCCTGTTGTGAGGACAAAGTTATTTAATCACTCTTTGTGACTATTACCTTATCCACAAATGAACATATTAATAGTACCTACTTCAGAGCTATATAAGAAATAAATGTGTTAATACAGATAAGGAAATTAAATGAATTTAATATAGGTAAAGGCTTAGAACAAAAAAATCGCACATATTCATTATCACTGTATTTCAGTAATGGTGTTACCAATCCGTAAAATAAAATCTAAAACAATGGTGAGTATATCATCTTGTTACACCATTTAGATTTACAAAGATTAAAAAAAAAAAAAGGCCAAACATGGTTGCTCACACCTGTAATCTCAGCACCTTGGGAGGCTGAAGAAGGAGGATCATTTGAGTTCAGCAGCTCAAAATCAACTTCTTCATCTTATTTTCTCTTTGCATTTTAGTTTGAATTTATACTCATGCATCCTCAAGATCACTAATTATTTCCTGAGCCATATCCAGTCAACTGATGAGTCCATTAAAGATTTTTTAATTGTTATTAGCTTTTTATTTCCAGCATTTTCTTCGAATCCTTTTTTAGTTTCCATCTCTCTGCTTACATTACCCACCTATCCTTGAATGTTGTCTAATTCTACCTGTAGAATACTGACTATTATAAATATACATATGTGTGTGTGATAATTTCAATTTATGTGTTACTTCTGAGTCATATTCAGATGCTTGCTTTGTCTCTTCAGACTGTTATTTCCTGAGTTGTTCAATGTCTTACAATTTTTTTGTTGAAAGGTGAGCATATTGTTATCAGATAATAGGAACTGATGCAAACACACTTTTACTGTGAGGCTTTATGTTAATCTGACTGTGAGTTGTATTGTGTTTCATCTTTGTCACAGCTGTAGGTGTCAGTAGTTTCAAATTCTGCTAGCATCTACTTTCTTTCCTCTTTTGCTTTTGTGTTCTCCTATGAACTTCTTAAAGTCTGAGACTTGCAGCTCTTTCAACTGTAATCCACGGTTATTAGGCTGAAACCTTGTTGATTTGGTGGTTTTGTGGGGGAAGGGAAGCTTTCTATAATATTATAATTGAATCAATCTTTTAGTGGCCTTGCATCTCTTGGCTGTGACCTTCACAAGTGTTTCTTTCTCCAGTTGGTGAGACAGAAAGGCCAGAGGATGCTATTGTTAGATAATTGCCCTATTCCTGGATGTGATAATGATCTGATAAGGTCTTTTCTCCTACCTGCCAGCCAGGTTTTTGTTATGGAGAATGCTCTGGGTATATTTCAAGTTGGTTTCTTTACTGCTCCCCAGGCCAGAAGCACCAGGGAATTTCCTGGCTCTTTATCATGAGAGCTTACTGGAGGTGAAACCCATAAACACGCTAGGGACTTCGAAGACTGCAAACCTCAGGAGTTTATTCCTCATGCTATTTCACACTGGACTTCCAGCCATTTGTCAAAATTACTCTTTAGGTGCTTCTACCAGTTCATGGCTTCAGCAGCTTCTGTTCCAGGTTAGCTGATCTCAGTTTTTTGTGAGATCAGTGATTCTGTTTAGGGCAGTGTCTCCACATTTCAGGGTACCAGTTTACTCCACTATCTCAATTCTTTGATTGGTCCTAGAAAATCCATTGATATTTAGGGTGTTCTGGTTTTCTCATTAAAAAAAAAATAGTTAATGACCACTATGCCCTTTACCTATTAGAGCTATAGCTCAAGTCAAATGCTTACAATATAATGTTTGAAGAAAACCATGTTTTATTTTTAAAGAAAGAAAACAGATCAAAATGCAGAATGTACAGAAATTATCTCAACCCTGTTAAATCTATTAACAGTTTAAAATGCTTTTCTTTCAGTGGGTGGGTTACAGTTGGTTGTCTGCTTTTTACCATTCTGTATTTTCTAAATTGTGTTCAGTGACCATATTTTACTTTTATAATTACAAATATATTTGGAAACATTCTAGAACTCAAAGCAGAGACATAGTGTAGTTATCTAATGACTTTGGAGAAAATCTGCTTCGTTTTGATTCTTGGCTTACCTCATATTCTGAGTGATCCTGGGTGACTTTCTTAATTATTCAGTGTCTCAGATTTCTCATCTGTAAGAATACTAGTATTGGTACCCCCCAAAATCATCATCAGAATTAAGAGATTAATATATGTAAGCTGCTTAGTATCTTCAAAAACCTTTATTATTTGAAATAAGCAATTGAGAATTTTTTAATTGTTAAAACAGATGTAATCTATTTTTCATTTCCCTTGACAAAACCATAGTCTGAGTAACTCATCGTCTTCTCAAGTGAGCCAATTAACTATTCCTCACCATCTGTTTGGCCAGTGATCTAGTCCCTTGCTCCCAGTCATATGCAACGGACTTTAAGAGTATAGAGGTCTAAGAATGCTGGAAGGGCACCAGATTGAAGAGTATTTGGCTATGAGAAATCACCAGAGGGGGAAAAAATATATACATACGTGTGTGTGTGGTGTGTGTGTGTGTGTATAAATATTTAGATGGAATAAAATATGCCACTTTAAAAAATTGTTTTTGCAATCTTATCTTGGCTGGCAACTCTGACATCAGTACAATAAACGTGAATATAATGTTTATCCACTTGACAGTCATTCCTCTGTAAAATCAATGTGTCATTTGTGTGAGGGATTTTAGTGGAGTTGGCAGGGATCATATTTGATCTTCCTTGTTTATGATACCTTTTGCTGATATTTGTTTTATTCTTCTTTATAAGAACAAACATATTTCTTTCTGACCCTTAAAAAATGAAATATTTTAGTGGGATTGAATCTATCAGCAGCATGACTTGATGTATTTGATTAACCCATTCTTGAGAAAATGGGTAAACTTTAATTGTTAATGGTGAAAAATAAAATGTATAACAATACTGCATTATAGAAAGGTTCTTAAACTATACCTGTCATCACCTAATATTTTTCATACTTGTCTTTAATCCACATAGAGCTTTAATTGATACTACTATTTTTAACATGAAAGACAGTAGAATTTTTCATTCTGAAACTGTAATTTTAAATATGATTTTGAAAGTAGATTCTAGAAAATTACAAGGAATATTAAAAATGTTGGGCAGTATTCAAAAAGAGTTCTTTCAAAATCCTTATTTACAGTTTATCTTGTATTCAATATAGAAAAGGCAAACAATGCAGAGATACACAATAATTTGAACCTAATATGGAGATATATGAAAACTGTGTTTTTTTCTATGATCGATAAAATATATCTATTAACTTTAAAGAAAAACAAATTTAAAATGCAATGTTAAATGCTGATAAAAATAATTTTTAAGCTCTTGTACACAGTGTTGTATACTTTAAATCTAATATCCCTTTTAATCTTCACAATTGCCAATGAAGTAGATGCTCCTGTCACTATCACTTTATATGTGTAAAGTCCTTGGGACTTTACATTGAATAAAGTCCTTGGGAAATCTAGAAATGTTTTGTTATCAGAGAAATATATGATGATACATAACAGTTTGCAACAATTCTGAACAAAGTCACAGGATCATTAGGTTTCTACAGAAGAAGACCACAATCTTTGCATATATAAGTCATAAAATTTTGATAACTAAAAATGCATATCACAAAAAAAAGAATGAGAAGTGTATTTTGCAGGTGGTATTAATAAAACTTTTTTTTTTTTTTGGAGGCGGGGGATGGAGTCTCGCCCTGTCACCTAGGCTGGAGTGCAGTGGCGCCATCTCGGCTCACTGGAACCTCTGCCTCCCAGGTTCAAGCCATTCTCCTGCCTCAACCTCCTGAGTAGCTGGGACTACAGGCATGCACCACCACGTCAGGCTTTTTTTTTTTTTTTTTTTTTTTTTTTTTTGTATTTTTAGTAGAGACAGGGTTTCACCCTCTTGGCCAGGCCGGTCTTGGACTCCTGACCTCAAATGATCTGCCTGCCTCGGCCTCTCAAAGTACTGGGATTACAGGCATGAGCCAATAAAACATTTTTAAGAATACTTTTCATTTCATACTTCCCCCATAAACTAGAATGACATTCAAATTGAAAAGATAGTTGTAAACAAGCATGTTAAAATCTGTAAATTCAAATGAATTCTATTTGTCCAATACTTGGAGAAGCACTGTTGGTAAATATTTGAAATTGAAAAAATAAGAACAGTGTAACAAATTTGGTTCTGGGCAAAATTTTCAAAGGAGGAGGAGAAATCTGGTAGTAGATGGTATTATACTGACAATAGAAAATTTATTTAAATAGCATTAAAAATAAACCAAATTTAGAAACTTTCATTTCCTGAAGACATGTCATAAAAAATAATAGGCCCCTATTTTTCTCCTTCCTGGAAGTCATGCCTAAAGATAACACAAAAATGAGTTCAAAAATGAAATATCTGAAAACCTAAGACCAGAATTCTGAGAAACCCCTGATGCGAGAGATGGTATTTTGTCTCCAGATGTGAATGGAGAAGTGGTAAGGAGGGAGGAAGAGAAAGGACAATAAACTGTAGGCAAAAAAAATGCTGGTGTTTTCAGAATATCATATAGTTGGAATAATGCAGTATGTAGCATTTTCAAATGGCCTTCTTTCACTTAGTGTTATTCATTTAAGTTTCCTTTATGTCTTTTCATTGGCTTGAGAGTTCACTTCTTTTCAGTACTGAAGAATATTCCATTGTCTGGATGAGCCACAGTTGATTTATTCATTCATCTTGAAGGACATTTTGATTGCTGCAAAGTTTTGGCAATTGTGTACAAAACTGTTATAAACATCTTTGTGCAGAATTTCGTGTGGAAATAAGCTTTTAATTCATTTGGATAAATGCCAAAAAGCACAATTGTTGGATTGTAACAACAGCATGTTTAGGTAAATGCCAACTGTCTTCTCAAGTAGTTGCTATGGACTCAACTTTGTCCCCCCAAAATTCATATACTGAAGGGCTAAACCCCAATATGATGGTATTTAGAGGTGCGGTCTTTGATAGATAATTATGTTTGATGATGGCATAAGGGTAGGACCCTCATGATGGGATTAGTGCCCTTATAAGAAGAGACACAAAAAAATCTTGCTTGCTTTCTGTCCACCATTTAAGAACAAATGGTTCTTAAAACAAGAACCATTCTATATTCCCACCAGCAATGAATGAGAGTTCATGTTGCTCTACATCCTTACCACCATTGGTTGTCGTTAGTGCTTTAGATTGTGCCTGTTCTAATATATGTGTAGTGGATCTCATTCTTGTCTTAAGTTGCATTTCCATGATGACATAGGATGTGGAGCATCTTTTCATATGCTTACTTTCCATCTGTATATATTTTCTGATGAGGTGTCTGTTCAGGTATTTTGTGCATTTTTTATTCATTTGTTTGTGTTCTTATTGTTGCTATTTAAAGTTTCTGTATGTATTTGGTATAACAATCCTTTATCACATATATCTTTTGCAAATATTTTCTTTGAGTTTGTGGCTTGTCTTCTCATTTCCTTGGCAGTATCTTTCACAAAGCAGAAGATTTTAATTTTAATGAATTTCAGCTTATTGATAATTTATTCCATGGATTTTGGTTTTGGAGTTATATCTGAAAAGGCATCAGCATACCCATTCTTCTATGTTACCTTCAAGTGTTTGTAAAATTTTATGTTTTAGAATTAGGTCTATGATTAATTTTGCGTTAATTTTTGAGAAGTGTGTAAGGTCCAGTTTTTTTTTTCCTCTCTCTCCCTCTTTTTTTTTCCTTCCTTCCTTCCTCTCGTTTCTTTCTCTCTCCTTCCTTCCTTCTTTTCTTCTCTTCCCCCTCCCCTCCCCTTCCCTCCTCTCCCCTTCTCTTCCCTTCTGTTTTATTTTCTTTTGCATATGGTTGTTGATTTGTCCCAGGATCATTTGTAAAGAAGAACACCTTTTATCCATTGCATTGCCTTTGTTCCTTGTCAAAGATTGGTTAACTAAATTAACGTTAGTCTATTTCTGGGCTCACTATTACATTCTATTAATATATATGTCTATTATTTCACCAGTACCACACTGTCTTCACTACTACAGTCCTATATTAAGTCTTGAAGACAGGTAATGTCAGTCCTTTAACTTTTCCTTCTCGTTCAATATTATATTGGCTAATTTGGGTCTTTTCCCTTTCCATATAAACCTCACAATTAGTTTGCCAATATCCACAAAATAATTTGCTAAAACTTTGGTTGGAATTTAGTTAAATTTATAGATTAAAATGGGATGAACTAACATCTTGGTTATATTGAATCTTTATTCTTGAACTTGAAATATCTCACTATGCATTTCTTCTTTGATTTCTTTCATCAGAATTTCATAGTGTTCTTTATATAGATCTTGTACATCTTTTGTTAGATTTATAACTATTTTATTTCTTAGGGTGCCAATGTAAATGATATTTTGTTTTTAATTTCAAATTCTACTTGTTTATTACTGGTATAGAGAAAAGAGATTGGCTTTTTTTTAATACATTAACCTTGTATTCTGCAACTTACTATAATTGCTTCATAGTTTCACAATTTTTTTGTCAATCCTTTTAGATTTTCTACATAGATAATCATATCATCTGCAAACAAAGACAGCATTATTTCTTCTTTTTCAATCAGTATTCATTTAATTTCCTTTCTTATCTAATTGTTAGCTAAGACTTTAAGTATATGTTGAGAATAAGTGGTGAGAGAACATCCTTGTCATGTTTCTGAGTTTAGGGAGAAATATTTTAGTTTCTCACCATTAATTATAATGTTAACTGTGGGTTTTTTTTGTAGATGTGCTTATCAACTTGAGGAATTCACCCTCTATTTCTAATTTGCTAATTGTTTTTATCAGAAGTTGGTTTTGAATTTTGTTAAGTGCTTTTTCTGGTTCTGTTGATATGATCATGTGACATTTCTTTTTCACTCTGTTGATGTGACGGATTACATTAATCAAATTTTCAATGTTGAACTAGCCTTAAATGCCTGGAATAAGTCTCATTTGGTAATGGTGTTGAGGCAGGAAATTAAAGAAAGAAAGAAAAATACATTTTTTTTAAAAAAGGAAAACAAGTTTTCTATATTAGGCTGACTCATACCAAAGGCAGTAACAGGCAAAGCCTGGACCCAGGTGACGTCTTGATAACATTATCTAAGAAGCTAAGGCTCAAACGAATGTGCTCTGGAGACTCTCCCAGCACTCCCACAACATAAGGATAAGAAAAAAAATAAAACTTCCTCACTCCTTTAGTAAGTTCCCATTCGAATCCCATCCCCCTCTGTGTGATTGTCCCTTGCTTTGCAAGTTTTATAAGGTTATAGATTCCTGTTTTCTGTAATTAGTAACTCCAAGTATTCTGTTTTTATCTGAGTAGTACAGTGAAGGTTACAAGACATGCCTAAGCAGGCCTGGATTGCAGCCATATAGGTGCCATGGCAAAGGTTATAAGATAAGCCCTTGCAAGGCAGTAGAGCAAGCCTAGATAGCAGCCATCTGGGCCACATAGCAAGAGTCACATGTAATCCTGAGTTATGCACCTTTTACAATTTGACTCTGCCTCTGTATCCTTACTGTCATGCTGCTATGCTTTGTGCCACTGTAAGCTTCTTTCAAGCTAGCCTCCCCCCTTGAGAAGTGTGTATAAAAGTCAAGTGCCGTCTTTGTTCTGGGCCCAGTGTTTGGATGTTAATCTGCTGGATCTGAGTGCACTCAGTGAAGTCCTCCTGTCCTACCTATCGGTCTCTCTGGTCTCCTGATTCCTGCAACAGTGTATAATTCTTTTTCTAAATTGTCGAATTCAATTTGCTAATATCTTGTTACGAATTTTGCATCTTAACAGATACTGAAAGACACTGGTATGTAGTTTTTTTTTGTTTTTCTTTTCTTTTAAGGTCTTTGTCCAGTTTTGTTATTGGGGCAATGCTGGCCTCATAGAATCAGTTAGAAATAATCCCTCTGCTTCTATACTATAAAAGAGATTATAGAGGATTTTTATAATTTCTTCATTAAATGTTTTGTAGGATTCACCAGTGACCCATCTGTTCTGGTGCTTTCTGGTTTAGCAGGTTAATAAATATTGATTTAATTACTCTAATAGATATAGCCCTGTGTTAGTCTGTTTTCACATCGCTATAAAGATACTACTCGAGACTGGGTAATTTATAAACAAAAAAGGCTTAATTGACTCACTGTTCTGCATGGCCAAGGAGGCCTCAGGAAAGTTACAATCATGGCAGAAGGAGAAGCACTCACCTTCTTTACCAGGAGACAGCAGAGTGAGTGCTTGTGAAGGATAAACAGTCAAACACTTATAAAACCATCAGATTTTTTGAGAGCTCACTATAATGAGAATAGCATGAGAGAAACTACCCCTATGATTCAATCTTCACCTCCCACCAGGTCTCTCCCTCAACATGTGGGGATTACAATTCAAAATGAGATTTGGGTGGGAACACAGAGCCAAACCATATCAAGCCCTATTCACATTCTCTATTTCTTACTTTGTATTAGCAGATTGTGTCTTTTAAGAAATGGGTCAATTTCATCAAGGTTATTGAACGTGTAGGCATTAAGTTGTTCATACTATTTCTCTATTTTCCTTTTGATATCCATGGGATCTGTAATGATGTTCCCTCTTTCATTTCTGTTATTAGTAATTGTCTCTTCTCTCTGAGTTAGCTTGGATAGAGGCTTATCTATTTTATTTGTCTTTTCAAAAAACCAGCTTTTGGTTCTTTTGATTTTTCCTACTAATTTTCTGTTTTTGATGTCATTGATTTATGTTCTAATTATTATTATTATTTTATCCTGCTTATTTTGAATGTAATTTGCTTTTCTTTTCCTGGTTTTAAAGGGAGACAATAAGATTATTGAAATTAGACTTTTTTACTTTCAATGCTAAATATTTTTCAGTAAGCACTGCTTTCACTGCATTCCACAAATTTAATGTCATATTTCCGTTTTAACTTACTCTAAAGAACTAAAAAAAAAAATTCTCTTGAGATTTCATCTTTGGTCCATGCATTACTTAGAAGCATGTTGTTTAGTCTCTATGTAGTTTGCAATTTTTCTAGTTTAATTCCATTGGTGTGTAAGAGCATACACTGTATTATTTCTATTCTATAATTATATTTTTACTACATATACTTTATCACATATCTGTCTATTTATCTATACCTCTATATATCCATCAATCATGTTTCTTTTTTTAAATAAAAATGCATTTCAGAGTAACTTTCTGACCATACATTTCTTCCTAAAATATTACTATGCACATTTTTTAATATAATGTTTTCTTACAAAATTTCTTTTGTAGGAAAATTTGCTTATGGGAAAATTTATAAATCTTTATTGCACCACTTGATGAATTTGATAGTACGTACACTTGTGTAAAGGAAACTCATCCAAATAAAGAACTTTATTATCATCCCAGAACATTTCCTTATGCTTATTCTCATTCAAATACTTTTTCTCATACTATAAACAATGTCCTCATTATTTTCCCACCAGAGATTAATGTAACTTCTCCTAAGTATTCATACTAATTGAATCATAATTATGTACTCTTTGTATCTTATTTGTTTTACTCAGGATAAGCATCTTTTTTTGTTTTGTTTTTGTTTTTGAGTCAGGGCCCAACTTTGTCTCCCAGGCTGGAGTGCAGTAGCACAATCATGGCTCACTATAGCCTCAATCTCCTAGGCTCAAGCCCTCCTCCCACCTCAGCCTCTTGAGTACATAGGACTACAGGCATGTGCCACAAAGTCCAGCTAATTTTTTTATTATTATTATTATTTTTAGGAGAGATGAGGTCTTGCTATGTTGCCCAGGCTTGTCTCAAACTCCTGAGCTCAAGGAAGCCTCCCGCCTTGACCACCCAAATGCTGGGATTATAGGCATGAGCCACTGTACTTTGCCCAGGATAAGCATCTTGAAATTAATCCACTTCATATTGCAGATCAGAAATTCACTCCATTATGTTACTAAGAAATATTCCACAGCATGAATTTATCTTACAGTTTGTATATATTCCTTGGGTCATGGACACTTTTTCCAGGTTTAAGATATCACTAATTGAGCTACTATTTCCATTTTATTGGCAGCGTTTTTATTGATCTCGGTGTGACACTGCTATGTTATAGAATAGGTACATGTTTAGCTTTATAAGAAACTGAAAGACTGTCTTTCCTTAGTGCTTGTGGTACTTTACACACATCAAAAGTGTTCTGGTTGCTCCACTCCTCAACGTGAAGTTTCCTGGTGGCTATAGAGTGATATTTCACTCTAGATTTAATTTGCAATTACCTAGTGGCAAATGTCTTTAAGTACTCTCTAATGTGTGTATTGGTCATTCATGTTTTTTCCTGTTAAGTGCCTGTTTAAATCATTACCCCACTCAAAATATGTTTTTTTGGTCTTTTTAATGTTGAGGTATAATTTTTCTTTATTACCAATGTACTAGTGTTTTTCAGATATGTTTGTGAATATTTTCTCCCTCATTATTCCGTGCCTATTTATTTTTGACAAAGTTTTATATAAGCAGAATTTTAATCAGGTAAAATTTATTGATGGCTGTTGCTTTCTGTGTACTGCCTAAATAACTTTAACTAATCTCAGGTCATAAAAATATAGTCCTTATTTTCTTTTGGAAAGCTCTTTAGTTTGGATTTTAAGCTAAGATCAATCTCCAATAGAGGGTCAAGGTATATGTGTGTGTGTGTATGTATATATATATACACATACATATATATATTTGTGTATTTATGTATATACACATATGTTTGTGTATGTATATACATATATGTATATACATATATGTTTGTGTATATGTGTATATATGTATATACATATATGTATATACATATATGTTTGTGTATATGTGTATATATGTATATACATATATGATTGTGTATATATACACATATATGTATATACATATGTGTATGTGTATATATAGAGACATATATGTACGTGTATATATACATATATGTATGTGCGTATATACATATATGTATATATACATATATGTATGTGTATATATACATATATATGTGTGTGCATATATACATATATGTATGTGTGTATATACATATATGTATGTGTATATATACATATATATGTACGTGCATATATACATATGTGTATATATATGCCATGTGGCTCTCCATTTGCTCAATGTTACTTTTGTTTTTTCTATATTTTATCTATCCATATGGCCCCACAGTCCAGTTACTATATATGCTCTGTGTTTTCTCCATATAACTATCCAGTTGTTATAAAATATTTTACGAAAAGACTTTCATCATCCATTGAATTGTTTTGTGCTTTTTGCTTTGATTTTATTTCTTGGATGTATATTCTGTTCTGCTAATTGATTGATCTTTATGGCAGTAACCCACTGTCTTGAATCCTGAAGCTTTTTATAGTTCAACTTGAAGTCAGATAGTGAAAGTGCTTCAAATTTGTACTTTGTTTTTTAGGATTGCTTTGGATACTCTATGTCTTGTACATCTACATTTATATTTCTAATAAAAAATGCTAACTGGGGCTTATGATTGGGATTTTGTTGTATCTACATAATGAAGATAATTGAATCTTAACACTACTGAGGTTTCAACACCATGGACATGACATATCTCTCCAATTATTTAAGCCATTTTTACTTATTTCAGAAAATATTTTACCTTCTGATTGTATGTATTTATGCATTTTATATATCTTTGTTAAATTTCTCATTAATACTATCAATATTATTGATACTTGAAAGTGGTATTATTTGTCAGTAGGCAGAATTACAATTCATTTTTAAGTATTATCTTTTAAAAATTTATTTATTTATTTATTAAGAGACACGGTTTCTCTGTCACCCAGGCTGGAATGCAATGGCGTGATTATAGCTCAATGCATCTTCATCTCCCTGGGCTCAAGCAATCTTCCAAGCTCAGCCTCCCAAGTAGCTGGAACTACAGGTAGGTGCCACAATGTCCAGTTAATGTTTAATTTTTTTTTTTTTTTTTTTTTTTTTGCAGAGATGTGGTCTCACTTTGCTGCCCAGGCTGTCCTGTAACTCCTGGGCTCAAGACTCCTGGGCGCAAACAATCTTTTTACTTTGCCTCTCACAGTGGTGGGATTACAGGCATGGGCAACCATGCCCGGCCAAGTATTGTCTTTTTATAGTGTGGTTTTGCTCAGTTTAATTATTAGTTCAAATAGGTTTTTTGTAGATGCCTCAAGGTTTTCTAACTAAACCCTCATGTCATCTGGAAGTAAAGAAGGTTTTACTCCTTTTCTTTTTTAAGCCATTATGCTTTATTTTATTTTTCTGGCCTTATTATAATAGGTAGATCTTCATTAAAATGTGGGAATGAAATGATGACAGTAAAAACCATGCTTTAGTCGCAAAATTAAGAGGAAAGTATTCAACATGCCATGACTAATGAATTTATTTTCTATTCTTTTTCTAATATATTATTAAACCTGTGTGTTGTATTAAAAAATTCCTTCATTTCACTTGTGTTTTCAGTTTGACTTTTTACTCTATTCTCTATTTAAATTTTAATTTTTTTGAAGTTTTCCATTCTCTTTTTAAACTTTCTTTAATATATTAACCATTGCTCTTTTAAAGTCTCCAACTGATTTTTTCCAATAGATTATTTTTTCTTCTGTTGCTTTTTGTTTGCTTTTAGCTTCTTGTCAATTAACTTTGTTTTCTGTTTGTTTATTTTGATTTGTGTTTTAGGTTTTTTTTTTCCCATGGCTTACTAATATATTTAGATATCGAGAATCAAAGATGGAATTCTGGTTCAAAATGGCTGACTAGAGACATTGGGCACTCTCCCTCTCCAGAAAAGAACCAAAATTATGAATAGATAATAACACTCCAAATAAAATATCTAAGAAAGAATACTAGTCTAACAGAGAAATCACAGGAAACACCTGAGACACAGAGGAGAAGGGAGCAAGATACCAGCTTAGCGGAGGTGGGCCAGGAACCCACCTCCAGGTTTGGCACTGTGGGGATAGAGTAAGTGAAAGAACTTCATTGGCCCACATCCCACCATGGACTGCTGAAATCTGAAATACAAGAGAGCTCCTCTGCCCACGTGAATGCTGACAGAAGTGTGAGCAGAGATCTAGAGACTCTATGAGGGCATCACACCAGACAGGGACATTGGCTGGGTCGCTCACACCCTTAAGACCTAAGCATTGCAGCAGGACATCATTTTAAGAACACTGCCGTTATGAAACTGCATCCTGCCTTGGGAACCACAGCCCCCATATCTCCACATCCCAGGAACCACCCCCACTCCCCACATACCCTTGTGTCTATCTAGAGAGCTACAGCAGCACAGCACTAATTAGAGCCAAAGTACTGTGGGTCCCCAATACTGAAGTCTACTTCCTGAGGAAAGGATGGTGCAGCACACCCAAAAGGTAGCCCAGGGACAAAGGAACCCAAAGGTTGCATTTTTTCCAGAGCTGTAAGAAGCAACCATGCCCCTAGTAGTGGCACAAATTCTGTGTTTGGTCTCCTGAGAAGAAAGTGAGACCTCCTACAAATACTGCTTCAGCAGTTGCTGCCACTGGTGAGCCTGACAACAGACTGTCAGGTTGGGTAGAGTGACCCCATCCCCACCAGTGGAGCAACCTCTGTGCTCAGGCTCACATAAAGATCATAGAGCACAAGACACCTTTCCCCCATCTGCACAGTGCTGCAGCTGTAGCCACTGCTGCTGCCACCAGGGGCTGGGGCAGGTGAGCAGAAGGCTGCCAGTCTGGGGCTGTCAGTAACAACCTTGTCTCCTCTGTCAGCATGATCTCCAACCTCAGGCTCAAGTGTGAAGGGCAAGATCCCTCCCTCCCTTGCATGGTGCTGTTGCACTACTGCCACTAAGGGCTGGTAAGTCTAAATGCTGCCTAGGGTTCTCTGGGGCCGTGGGTAGTGATCCCACATCACAGCCACTGCCAACACCAGCACACACTGCTGAGGACCCAAAGAAATAAAAGGCACCCAAATTGGAAAAGAGGAAGTCAGATTGTTTTTTTCTGCAAACTGACTTGATCTCATGTCCAGAAAAAAAAAAAAAAATCCATCAAAAAACTCTTGGAACTGATAAAAACATTCAGTGAAGTTGCAAGATACAAAATCAACATACAAAATCCAGTAGCTTTTCTATACATCAATAATGAAATGGCTGAGAAAGAAATCAGGAAAGAAGCTCCATTTACAATAGCTACAAAAAATTACCTAGGAATAAATTTAACCAAGGAAGTGAAAGATATCTAGAGGGAAAAGTGCTATACACTAATGAGAGAAATTAAAGAGGACACAAACAAATGGAAAGACATCCCATGCTCATGGATTGGAAGAATCAATATTGTGAAAATGACCATACTGCCCAAAGAAATCTACAGATTCAATGCAATACCTAACAAAATAGCAATGCCATTTTCTCACAGAATTAGAAAAAATAATTCTAAAATTTTTCTGAAAGAAAAAAGAGCCTGAATAGCCAAAGAAATCCTAAGAACAAGAACAAAGCTGTAGGCATCACATTACCTGACTTAAAAACATATTGCAAGGCTATAGTAACCAAAACAGCATGTTATTGGTATAAAAATACACAACTAGACTAATGGAACAGAATGGAGAACCCAGAAATAAATCTACGTGTTTACAGCTAACTGATCTTTCACAAAGCCACCAAGAACATACTTTGGAAAAAGGGTACCCTCGTTAGTAAATGGTGCTGGGAAAACTGAGTAACTGTATGTAGAAGAATGAAAATGGACCCCTATCTCTCACCATATGCAAAAGTCAACTAAAGAGGGATTAAAGAGTTAAACATAATACTCAAAACTATAAAACTACTAGAGGAAAATGTGGAGAAAATTCTTCAAGACATTAATCTTGACAAAGATTATATGGTTAAGATGTCAAAAGCACAGGCAACAAAAACAAAAATAGACAAATGGAGCTGTATTAAACTGTAAAGCTTCTGCACAGAAACAGAAACAATCAACAGAATGAAGAGATAACCTCTTGAATGGGAGAAATTACTTGTGAATTACTACTTTGACAAAGGACTAATATTCAGAATATGCAAGGAACTCAAACAATTCAATAATAAGTAAATAATGACATTAAAAGCAGGCAAAGGACATGAATAGACATTTCTCAAAAGAAGACATATAAATGACCAACAAACATGTGAAAAACTGCTCAACATCACTAATCATAAGTCAAATACAAATCAAAACTACAATGAGATATAATCTCACCCCAGTTAGAATGACTTATTAAAAAGACAAACAATAGCAGATGCTGGTGAGGATACAGAGAAAGGAGAACATTTACACACTGTTGAATTACTTCTATCACTATCATAATCTCAACTGTATATGGCAACTAAATATATATTATAATATAGTACAATATACTACATAGAAATATATTCTACTCATGTCATTTTGAATATTTTGAATATTTTTATTGCATTGATCAAATAAATATGTAACTATAAATTGAAGTCTATTCTTCCTTTATAGTATTATATAAAGGAAGTCCTGTGCATTGGAAAAATATACTGGACTAGAATAAGAAATAACTGAATTTTTTAAACAACTCAACAAATTTTATGATATTTGACAGATAGTCAATTGGTTTTATGTTGTTAGATAAGAAATATAGGTAAAATAAAGTAAGTATGAATGACAAAGGGGACCAATACAGGATAAAGCAAGTTATTTGTTCAACCAAGTCCATTTTAAAAATTAACATAAAACCTAATCCCTATTACCATCATTTTATAAGAGAAAGAATATATTCCAATGAAAATATAAAAATAACACAGTCTTAAGAGTTAAAAGACACATCAATTAATAGAATAAATTTGGTTGTAGGACAAATTCATCAAGCAATCACTTTCCAAAATTAATTTTGCTTTAAGTTGTTGAAAACTTTACCATGAAATTTCATTACAAAAACAAAATAAATAAAGGAAATTTTACCATGAATCTTTACTTAGGATTAGATCAACTGCACTAAACCTATTTTCTCTCCAATTTTCCTTTAGTAAATTAGAAATATTTTAAGTTTTACCAAATAATATCCGAGAGGATTAATAAGTAACAAGGGGAAAATATAAGGCAAAGAAAAAGATTTCAGAAAAGTAAATAGTTTAAATTTTAAGAATATATGAAACTTAAATAATTCCTTCCTGAAAAGCAGTGTGCCCTAAACAATTGAAAAATATTTTGTTTTCTTTCATTTTTATACATTAATAGATTTGCCCATCCACTTTTCCAGTCAGCCACAATGGTTTATATGTAAATTTACTTAGTAATTTTTATCAGTTCTCATGCATTTGGACAGACACAAAAGAGGGGTAGAACTGTTAGACAGGTGGTCAGATATTTAATCTGCCTTGGAATACTTATGTAAATATGCTCTAAAGCAATTTGCATGTACTTATTTACATACATATTTTAGTGAACCCCTCATGATAGAGCATGTGCCACCTAACGTTATGAAGAACTAAGAACATTTAATTGTGTGTAACATGTAAGATTTGTTTTGATCTTTTGCTAAGGACTCTGACAAGTAAATGTTTGTGAATCAATCATCTGGCAGATTAGTGCAGTCAACTTGATGACATAAAAATACGACTTTAAGTAGAGCAGCTCCCAGGAGCAGATGGGAGAGCAGTAAGACTTCAAAATCATCCGTCATTTTTTATGGGTCTTTTTGGGACTACCTACGGGATAGAATATAGTTGGTCAAGCCACACAGACTACATTAACAAAGACTCTTGGATGAAACCTTTTCAGTAAGGTCTAGATTCTTGTCCAAAAGTAGGAGAGACACAGTTCCATATCTGAATGTGCAGGAAAGGTTAATAAAGTATATGTTCAGCTGCATGGATTAATTTACATACAAATGCCTTTGCTTCTAAATGAAACTAGTTTGGTGCTTCTAAAACTAGCCAATATAATGCACAAAATATGCTTGTGTATAAATTATTTTTTTAGCTTTTACTTTTTTCTTTTCTTTTCTTCATATCCTCCTCCTTCCATTACTTCTACCTTACCTCTGAACTGCCTATCACAGATATCAAACATATTGTATGATGCATTAGGTTATAACCAACCCTCATTAGATATGCAGAGCTATTAAGCAAAGAAGAGGTAAACAAAGTCCTAATGCTCCACAAGTTGACTATGTATTAAGAAAATAAATATCTCTACATTTATAAACAATTTGTAGTTTTTAAATAAAAAGATTCAGGGCTTATAATTATGTTTATATGTATAAATATCCCTGCTTTTATATTTCATATTTTTGCTCTTAGGTATATGTGGTATTAAAATTGCCTCTTTGCTATTTTGCTTACATTTTCTCAGAAATATATGTAGTCTGTTTTTTCTTATAATGATTTGAGGCCCTACATCTTTTTATATTGGATTATCCCTTAAAAAATCAACAGATATTAATACTGGAAAAATAAAATTTAGTTCTGGAACCAACAGAAAATATTTTCTTAAGAGACTGAACTCCCTTTATTGTAGCACATAAGATCTGTATAAAACATTTTGATCTAGGCCACTTCAGGATAGAAGTGTCACAGTTCAACTGCTATGCATACTAAATATTGGCAATTATGAAAATTAGAGGAAGCAGAACAAGAAAAGGAAAGAGAGATTAAAGATTTGTGAATAAAAAAGAGAGAATAATACACATGATAACAGGTTTGAGTCTAATTATAAGAGTCAAGCAGTAAATTCTCTTACAGGTCAAATGGCTAACAATTAATTTTAAATTCTTGCTAGAATATGTTTTGTCATTTTTCCCCAATCCTCTTTCTCAAATCTGTTGCATACTATATTGAAGTGATTGTTTGGCGAATGAAAGGGGTAGGATGCTATTCAATAGGTCAGCATTCCTAGAGAAGGGATATCCTATTCAGATCGTAGAACTACAGATATAGTTGACAATTCATTAGTAAGAAAATCTCTGTGTTAGAGGTGCCTAGAAAACTAGGAAAAGCACTTGACACTCATGAATTCCATATACAGATTCTCATTGCATTAAGAGTGGGATTTGAGATATTCATACTAAAAAGTCAGAGTATAGGTTAATCCCTGTGAGATTCCCAGCTAAGATTAAAATAAATATTAATAATTAATAAATAATATTATTAAGCATTAATGTCTCTATAACCTCTCCAGTCATCACCTGTAATGTGAAATTTCCTCTTGTGCATAGCCCCCTTCACTTTCTAGGACTTGTGCAGTAAAATAAAATGTGTTTTCAGATACATTTTTTCATATTATATCTGATTTTTAGAAATCTATAGAATACATAATAATCAAGAATTATTTAGATTTAACTGCTATCCACCTTCCGCTACTGATAATCATTGCCTCTCATAAGTTATACCTTTCTTTATTGAATTCTGCATGCTAGTTTATTTTTCATTTTTGTCTGATAAGTCATTAAATATGAGAACTATTGTCTTACACAACCCAATACTTTCTTAAAATTTAGCTGTGCTCTGCAGACCCAACTTAGTAGAATATTTAATCATAGGAGTCAATCATCACAAGAGCCAGGACACCTGCTTGACACTTTTGGTAAAGATGTACAATTTCTTACAAGAAGGACCAACTCCACTTTGAACTAGGTCCTGTTGAAAAGGCTGTTCATAAACCTTACCAGCCAGTAGCTCCTGTCCTTTCTTGATGGATGCAGAAGATGAAACATCCTGGCTAGAAAACAAAATGGCCATGATTTTGAAGAGATGAAGTTTCAGGACAACTCTGCACTCTGAAACATTCTGAAACAGAAATGGAAGGTGTGTGTGCTGCATCAGAGCAATGAGCTAGAGCAACATTAGAGAATTAGCAACATAGAGAAGTGAGGTGAGGTGTAAAGGAAGGACAGTCATCTTTGATCAGCTGTTCTTGGCCCAAACCTGCCATATCCTAACCTCTGGTTTTCATAAATGTGTGAAGTTTGAAGGCATTTTGGCAAAAATCTCAACTCCCGTAATCACATGAAATGCTGTTTCTTCTCCAAGGGCAGGAAATTCAAAGGCTACATATGTAGGGTTGCCCAGTGGGAATCTGAGACTCTAGAAACTACATCCTGCTTTTGCATATATCAAGATTATTTTGGTGCCAAAAAGTAGGTATTAAATAATAAATTGAGTTAATTGTAAGTAAAACAAAGTTAATTTTGGTGTTTGGCATGACCATTGAACCAAAAAAAAAAAAAAAGCAAGAATGACTGATACCATGTTTATCTTAAAAACTATTTGGGAAATGAAATAAAAGTTTAAATCTTGGAAAAATTATTAATAAGAAAAGTGCTATTTAAAGAGATTTAGGATCAAAAAGCATCACTTAAAATCCTAGCTCTAACATAAATAGCTTTAGTGCTTGACTATGTTACTTAACCTCATTGATCGTCATTTTACTCTTCTGCAAAAGTAATATAATATTGATACACAGCTAAATACTGATCACAATTCCTAATACAAAATAAACACAAATAAAAACAGCTACTGTTACTTTATTATTTCAGTATAGAATAAAATGAGAAAATATGAGAAGTTTTTCTGGCATAGAGTCAGTATTCCATAGTATTAGTAATTATTTTATTATCATTATTATAATTACTAAAGGGCCATAATAAAGAGGCTATCAGGGATAATATACAAAATAAATTTTTTTCTATAAAACAATTATAAATCCATTTCTGATAAATCAAATCCATAGACTGCCTAGGAATAAATTTTGAAAGATATGTGCAAAATTCTTGTGATGGCAAAAGAAATTTTATTAAGTAATATACAAAATGAATAAACAAAGACATAATGACTAGCTTATAGAGAGCTTATTCTATTCAAATCCTTTTAGCCTATGAGTGGAGACAAAAAGTTGCTCATGTGTTAATGTCTTCCTATAATTTCGGTCTGGAATTGCCTATATGTACTGAAATCCTCTCCTTGCTTGTCTGCTCCTTAAGTCTGCAGACTCTGAGGATGGAAAAGGAACAATAAAGAAAAACCAAGTGACTGGCACTTTGAACAAGAAGTTGAGTAAAGAAGCAGAACAGACCCTGCAGGAAAGGCATTTGGTTTAAAAGCTAAAGTAACTATACCCAAGAGAGGGGAAGAAGAGGTCAGAGAAGGGAGACTCTCGGGTCTCTTCTAAGGTGGACCTCTTGTGCTTGGATAAGTGGTTCTAGCAGAAAAGTAAAAAATAATTATGTACCACATCTGACCTCTGTGTGTCAAAATGTAAGATTGCTGGTAATGGACTTTGGCTAAATTAGTTGCATAATAAAGAATATCTATCTAACTATCTATCTATCTATCTATCTATACTTTTTTATATATACATATACATCATTATTGTGATAAAATTATAGTCTTTATTTTCTTGAACAAAGTTGCTGCAAGTAAGAGAGAAAATATAAACAAATTTCTAACTTGTATTTTCAATAAGATTTAAGAGGCTATAACGACTATTGTAAAAAAAATCAGGAAATGATAAACTGGATTAATATCTTAGGAGGCAAGTACATAGTAGATAGAGAAGTATGGGGTAGAACATCATTTCCAGAGGTAAATAGAACATCATTTTCCAGAGGTAAATAAAACCTGAGTCTTCAGATAGCAAGAATTCATTAAAAGTATTAAGTAAAATAACAATAATAATACTGCCATCAAGTTAGAATACCTCAAACCCATAAACATCCTTATGATTTCTCATATTAATTCAGTTATACATATAAAAGTAGAACTTACAAACATAAAAGAGATTACTTGCAGACTTCTTTCCAATAATAAATATTTATTGGTAGTTGGTATAAATTTAATTTTGTTCCCCACCCCAAATTCATATGTTAAAATCAGAACCCCCAGTCCCTCAGAATGTGACCTTATTTGAAAATAAGCTCTTTATAGAGATAATTCAGTTAAAGTCATTGGTGTGGACCCTAATCCAATATGACTGCTACCTTTATAAAAAGGAGACATTGACACAGACAGGCATATAGAGAAAATGCCATATGAACATGAAAGCTGCCATCTGTAAGCCAAGGAAAGAGGCCTGGAACAGATTGTGACCTGATATCCAGCAGAAGGAACAGTGTCAACACCTTCATTTCAGACTTCTAACCTCCAGAAATGAGAGACAATTGTATTTTATTATTTAAGCCATGCAACTTATATAGGTATTTTTTTTAACTGTGCTTCTCTTTATGGCACTTTGCAGATACTGTATTTTTTACAAAATGAAGGTTGTGGCAACCCTGAATCAAACAAGTCTATTGGTGCTATTTTTCCAACAGCATGTGCTCCCTTGGTGTCTTGATGTCACATTTTGGTAATTCTTACAATGTTTCAAACATTTTCATGATTACTATATTTGTTGTGGTGATCAGTGATCTTTATGTTACTATTGTAATGGTTTGGGGACACCACAATCTGCACCCATATAAGAGGGCAAATTTGATCAATAAATGCTATGTGTGTTCTGACTGCTCTACCAGCTGGCCATTTCTCCAAACTATTTCCATCTCTTTAGGCTTCTCTGTTCCCTGAGAAACACGAATATTGACATCAGGTCAGTTGACAACCCTACAATGATCTCTAACTGTTCCCACATCTCTTTAAATCAGAAGCTAGGAATGATTAAGCATAGTGAGGAAGGCATGTTAAAGGCTAAGATAGGCCAAAAGTTAGGCCTCTTGCCCCAAGCTGTTAGCCAACTAGTGAATGCAAGCAAAAAGTTCTTGAAGAGTATTAAAAGTGCTACTTCAATGAAAATATGAGTGATTAAACAAGCAAAACAGACTTACTGCAAATATGAAGAAAGCTTTTGTGGGCTGGATAGAAGACCAAACCGGCCACAACAGTCCCTCAAGCCAAAGCCTAATCCAGAGCGAGACCTCTAACTCTCTTTAATTCTGTGAAGACTGGGAGACGTGAATAAGCTATAGAAGAAAAGTATGAAGCTAGCAGGGGGTTGGTTCATGAGGTTTAAGGAAAGAAGCTGTCTTTGTCATATAAAAGCACAAGGTGAAGCAACAAGTGCTGATATAGAAGCTGCAGCAAGTTATCCAGAAGATCTAAACAAGATAATGGATGAAGATGGCTACACTACACAATGGATTTTCAATGCAGACAAAACATCTGTTTATGGACAAAGATGCCACCTAGGACTTTCATAGCTAGAGAGAAATCAATGACTAGCTTCCAAGCTTCAAAGGGCGGGCTGAATCTCCTGTTAGGGGCTAATACCGCTGGTCATTTTAAGTTGAAGCCAATGCTCATTTATCTTTCTCAAAATCCTAGGGCCCTTAATAATTATGCTAAATCTATTCTGCCTGTGTTCTATAAATGGAAAAACAAAACCTGAATGACAGCCTGTCTGTTTACAGCATGGGTTACTGACTATTTTCAGCCCATTATTGAGATCTGCTCAAAAATATTCTTTTCAAAATATTACTGCTCATTAACAATGCACCTAGTCACCCAAGAACTCCAATAAAGATGTGCAAGAAGTTTAATTTTGTTTCCATACCTGATAACACAACATCTATTCTGCATCCCATGGGTCATAAGTAATTTTGACTTTCAGGTCTTAAAATTTAAGAAATACCTTTTGTAAGGATATGGCTGCCATAGATAGTGACTCTTCTGATGGATCTGAGCAACGTAAATTTAAAGCCTTATGGAAAAGATTCATTATTCTAGATGTCATTAAGGACATTCATGATTCATGGGAGGAGGTCAAAATATCAACATGTACAGGGGTTTGAAGGAAGTTGATTCCAATCCACATGGGTGACTTTGAATGTTTAGAGACTTCAGTGAAGGGAAGAACTACAGATGTGGTAGAAATAGCAAGAGAACTATAATGGAATTGGAGCCTTAACAGGTGACTGAATTGCTGCAATTTTATGATAAAACGTGAATGAACAAGGAGTTGCTTCTTATGGATGAGCAAAGAAAGTGGTTTCTTGAGATGGAATCTTATCCTGGTGAAGAAGCTGTGAAAAAATTTTTAAACAACAACACAGAATTTAGAATAGTACAAAAACTTGTTGATATATCAGCAGCAGAATTTAAGATTTATTTTAATTTTCAAAGAGGTTCTATTGTGTGTAAAATGTTATCAACAGCATCACATGGTATAGATAAATCATTTATGAGAGGAAGAGTCAAATGATGTGGCAAACACCATTGCTGTCTTATTTTAAGATATTGTCACAGCCACTCCAACCTTCCACAACCACCACCCTGATCAGTCAGAAGCCATTAACACAGAAGCAAGAACCTCCACCAGCAAAAAGATTACTACCTGTGTAAGGCTCAGCTAATTGTTAACATTTTTGGCCTTTTATCTTGGGCCAATTCTCCCAGAGAGCAACAATTTAGACACTTATGTACAAAGGCTGCAAGCCTACTAGCCTGTTTAGAGCCAAGTAGAAGAAGGGAGCTGAGATGCCACTCTTCACAATGTAGACTTTACTTAATTTTCTTAATATCACCATGAGACCTTTATGATACATTTTCCATCAGCTACATCTAGTGTCACAAGACCAGATTTTCTCTGGTCCACCATTGCAAGGAAGTAGACCTCTATTACTGTGCCTAAGAGATTGGGTCAATAATTAAGGTGTACAACCTAGGGCATGAAATAGAGGACAGGCTTTAAAAAGTACTTCTGAGTTCCAGTTCAATTACATCACCACCTTCATGGGCACCTAGTTTCACAGATCTGAGCCCTTCTGAGGTGCTATGGTGTTACTGAGTTTACTTCTTGGTTTGGCTTTCGGCTCTTTTAGCCCTACTAATTTAGTTACCGTACATTCATGTGTTTTCCAGCTCCTAACCCTGTTTTAACCTCCTAACTTCTTTTTGTCATGGCCTCCTCTCTTCTTGTATGCTTGTAGTTTTGTGTCATGTTAATTTGTTATCGCATTGTAGTAACTTTTCAGAATAAAGTGGTGAGAAATAAGTAAGTAATAAATAAATAAGAAATAAGTATGTTTAATCCACCAGTTTCCTTTATACAATTTAAAAATACTTTTTTCCTGAATGTCATAAGTAAAGCTATCTTATTATTTTCACTTCTGCATCATTTACTTAGCAATTTTTCAATTGTCTCTGAAAAACCATTATTTCTTTGTGTCCTCACACTCAATACAAACATACTTTATTGCTTAGACTTTGGTAAGATGATTTTGGCTTAGATATAGACATTTATCTTCCACTATATTTTTTTCTACTTGGGAGAATCATCTAAAAATACAAATGGTATCCTCTAGTTGTTAAGACTGTGAACTCTAGCACTAGACTCCCTAAATTAAAACCCAAGCCTTACCATCTTGTAATTGCGGACCACTAGCAAATTACTTGATCATCCCACAGGTTAGTTCAACATCATATGAATTGATTCCATGTATTACAGCAATGCAAATACATAGTAAGCACTAAAGTAGTTATTAAGATAAAATGATAAAATCTGATGTACCAATGCCATTGCCAAGCTATGTGTATTTTTCCATCGGATGAGAGGCAAACAAGAAGAGGAGACTCCTAATGTTCATCACTAAGAAACATCAAAGTCTCCAAGCTTAGTCCAAAACACTTTTGTCCATATTTAGTAAGAAAAACAAATTAAGGCAATAAGTAAAGTACTTTGTTAAGGTTTTATTCCTCCCAAAAGGCCAGCTTCTGTTTGAGCCTAATGCTTACTTGCTATCTGGCTTGTTAGATGACAATGTTACAAAAAGTTAGCAAAGCTTAAAATACAGCATATCAAAGAAAATAATTTTTTCTTTGGATATTTCCACAAGCCCCGTGTTTTGCCCTTTGTGAAAAAAGTAAGTGGGAATCACCGCTTCTCCTCATTTTCCTTTTTCAAACAATCTTCTGGCCTCGCTTGCTTATAAAAATAGAGCTATAAGTCACAGGGAAAACTTTTATTGGAATGGAAGGACTTCTCTTCCAGAATGATTATAAGGGGTTCCTTTGATTGTAGAAGCCCAACTTAAAGGGCAAAAAGCTATATCAGAAACATCTGAATAAAAACAAGTCTTGTGATTAATTAGGGATATGGAGAGAATAAATATGTAGATTGTTTTATGTATTTTAGTATTCTCCAATTTCTGTTTTATGCTGTTCAGAATATCAAAGCCTAGATTTGCCTAGAGAGCAGACTTTCCTAAGTTTTGACATATTCGACTTTTATTTTGTATTTTTTCTTTATATTTTTCACATTCACTGTCAGTATTTTGGTTATATTTACAAAACTGTAACATTTTATTTTAAAAAACTACGTTCAAATCTCTTTTCAACAGTTTTATGCCTCAGTCCCTATTGCAAGCTATGTTCCCCTTTGGCGAGTTCTTCTCATCAGCTTCTTTGTTTATTTCTTAGACTGAAAAAATGTATGCTTTTAAGTACTTATTTTTAAGAAGTTTTTTCAAGTTTTATTTTTCAACCCTTGTTACTGATAATGATGAACATTGAATTGAGCTATTTCTGTGTTCCTCATACTTCCTAACATTCTTAGATCCACATCTTAATTAATCTGCTCATTAAACCTCCAAGGTAGATATTATAATGAAGAAGCTCAGATAAATAGATTGCCAAAGATACAAAGATAGAAGATGAGAGAGCTCAGTTTCAAACCTAAGTCTGAAGCCTAGAAAACCCAAGCTATTAAACACAGCGCTATACAACTGTATGCAAATTAATAACTGTGAATGTCTTTGTTTTTCCCTCACAGAGGCTACTTAGTTAGATAAAAATGGTGAGTGTTAGTGATGAGGGAAAGAGACTGAGGATTTCTTTTTTTATTGGTTTACGTTTATATGTGGAGATATGCTCATTAATGTAACATTCTTATACTGTCTCCACTTTCTCACTTATATTTCTCATATGTGATGTAGTGGAGTGATGTAATAGAGTAACATCTTGGGGTTGAAATACAATCAGGGTAGCTGAGCCTCTTCCTTCTCTTTTCTCTTTAGAGTCAGACAGTTCTGAAAAGTGTGCAATTCTTGCCTACTTTTTGGTAATTAAATGTGCAGGGTCAGACACCCACTGAGGAAGGCTTGCAATTGGTTCAGCCCTTCTTGGGTTTGGATTAGTAAATCCAATTTTTAGATTCACTTTCAAGAAACCCATTTTTCCTGCATATCTAAGGACTGTGCCCAAACTCAAGCTTTTATCGGTATAAAGGTAACATTTTGTATCTGTATACCTGAATAAATTGTCTATTTCTCCATTTTTTTCTAAATTCAAATCTGTGTTTAACTTATGGCTCTTTAATTAAAGCTCTCAAAAGATGTTGCAGTCCTTTTACCTTAAAAATATCTAAAATAGAATTTATATCCATTCCCTTTTGTCTTATTTTCATTGTTACAGTCAGTGACTCTATGTCTGTTTTCTTTGTAGGTAGCCTATTTTATGGGTTAACATTTAATAATTTTTTAAGGTTTCAGAAAATTTGCTATTAGTTATATTAGTATTCTAAGTTTCATTGATTTGACCCTACAGCAGATACTACTATTGAAATGCTCATGAAAGTCTCTAGCTCAGGAAAGATATTTATTACAACTTTATTATTACTTCTATTTATAATTAATACTTCAAAAATACCATTTATACATTAGTTGAAAGTATTATATTGTATTTTTCTATCCTCTTGTCATATTATCTCTCACAGACTCATTTTGTTATCACTTCATAATTTTCTGTGAATTCTAGAAAAGATTATTTCTATTTCATCCTAAATGTTTACTGACTCCAACGCAAATTGTATTTTTTCTGAAGTGCTTTTAGTTTCTTTTAAGTACTTATATTACATTTTTTCATTTTTCTGCTTTTTTGAGATCATCATGTTCCTTTTGTTCCCATTTTATTGTTTTTTTCTCTTGTTCTTATTTTAATTTTGTCAAACATGTATGTGCATACTTTAGAAAAATTTATTTCTACAAGGTTTGTCACTATAATATATCTTGTGCAGCCCAATTCACCTACAACTTCATAGTCTCCAGGTAATGTAGATAATTATTTAGGCATTTAATTCTATTTCTAGGAAAACATGGCATATTTTTATATTTATAACTACTTTCACTTTTACTTATGCCTGTTCCTATCATTGCTATTATTATAATTACAATGATTAAGTTTCAGGCATTTTAAAAGGTAAGATTTTCACTTTCTTTCTTTCTCTTTCCTTTCGGCCACTCGACCTTTTTTTTCCTGTCTGCAATTTTATATAATAGTCCCTTCTTAGTCACAGAGGATATGTTCCAAGATGGCCAGTAGATGCCTGAGACCATGGATAGTATCAAGCCCTATATATACTGTTTTATTCTATATGTACATACCTAAGATAAAGTTTAATTTATAAATTAGGCATAGTAAGAGATTACAAACAATAACTAATAATAGAATAATTATAACAATATGCCAGCATCACTACTCTTGTTCTTTGGGACCATTGTTAGGTAACATAGGGTTACTTGAACACAACTACTGCAATACTGTGACAGTTGATCTGATAATGGAGTTGGCTACTAAGTAACTAAAAGGTAGGTATTGGCAAGAAGAGATTGAGGATTTCTTTTCCTATTGATTTATGTTTGTATCCAGAGATATGCTCATTAATATAAAACTCTTATCCTATCACCACTTTCCCACTCATGTTTCTCATGGTTGGTGGGGTGATGTAATATTCCAGGTGGGATAATTAATATATTAATTATATAATAAATATTAATTATATATTACTATGTATTAAATATTAATAAATTTAAACCTTTAATATTGAGTGAAGCATTATTATATAACTATATAATACAGTTATATAATGTAGTTATATAAGTATATAATACAGTTATATAATATAGTTATATAAGTATATAATACAGTTATATAATATAGTTATATAACTGTATAATACAGTTATATAATATAGTTATATAACTATATAATACACTTATATAATATAGTTATATAACTATATAATACAGTTATATAATATAGTTATATAACTATATAATACAGTTATATAATATAATTTTATAACTATATAATACAGTTATATAGTATAGTTTTATAACTATATAATACAGTTATATAGTATAGTTATATAACTATATAATACAGTTATATAGTATAGCTTTATAACTATATAATACAGTTATATAGTATAGTTTTATAACTATATAATACAGTTATATAGTATAGTTTTATAACTATATAATACAGTTATATAGTATAATTTTATAATTATATAATACAGTTATATAGTAGTTTTATAACTATATAATACAGTTATATAATATAGTTTTATAACTATATAATACAGTTATATAATATATAACTATATAATACAGTTATATAATATAGTTATATAATATATAACTATATAATACAGTTATATAATATAGTTATATAATATATAACTATATAATACAGTTATATAATATAGTTATATAATATATAACTATATAACACAGTTATATAATATAGTTATATAACTATATAATACAGTTATATAATAGTTATATAACTATATAATACAGTTATATAATAGTTATATAACTATATAATACAGTTATATAATAGTTATATAACTATATAATATAGTATATATAGTATAACTATATAATATAGTATATATAGTTATTATAACTATATTATATAATAATTATATAACTATATTATATTAATATTAAGTTTCAGGCATTTTAAAAGGTAAGATTTTCACTTTATTTCTTTCTCTTTCCTTTTGGCCACTCAGTCTTTTTTTATATTATATTAATATAGTTATACAGTTATTATATAATATAGTTATATAGCAATGTTTCACTCAATATTAAAGGTTTAAATAATAATGTTTCACTCAATATTAAAGGTTTAAAAAGAACTATGTATGATAATCAGAGATAAGCTACATAACAAATTATAACTACTTCTATCCTATTTGCACAAATATCAGTTTTCCATAGACTCAAAATTAAGATTTTTAGTTTTTAGCCTTTTTTGGCATAGATTTTGGGCACTTGTCTGTAATTTTATAATTTGCCACAATCTGAAGTGTTTGCATTTTATGAATACCGTTCAACTGTCTCTTTGGGAATTCTCTTTATATAGGGCTTGATACTATCTGTGGTTTCAGGAATCTCTTTTGTTTGGCACCTCCTGTTTCCTTTTTAGTTTCTCCCTCATTCGACTGAGAAACATGTCTAATGGGCTCTTGAAAAAAGGCATAGGGAAAATAAATTTATTGAACCATTCCACGTCTGAAAATATCTTCATTCTGTGCTCACCCTTAAGTGATGATTTTGTTGGACAGAGAATTATAGTCTGGTACAGTTTTGCTTCATAATTGAAAAGGTATATTTAATTGTTTAGACCATTCAGCATTTAATTAGAAATTTAAATGAATAATAATTTCTCATTGTTTGTATGTGAATGATTTTATCTCTTTTATGAAATTTCACAAGTGACTTGAATGAGTGTATTATCAACTACTTTGCTCAATATTCTTTGCAGGCTTTTCATTTGTGTTGTTTTTTTGAAGGAGGAAACTTTACTATTTTTTAAATTTTTTATTATTATTGAAATTTTAAAAAATAATTTAAATATTTTAATATTTTTAAACTTTTATTATTTTTTAAATTTTTTTCTACTTTTTTTCCTTCTGTAATAGTTCTGAACCTCCTTTTTTATTTGTAAAAACCTCTTGGACTGGTCATCTAATTTTTAAAAGCCTGTTTTCAGTAAACTTTGTGTTTTTCATATTTTCTCAGAAAATTCTTCAACTCTGTCTTATAAAATTTATATTAAATTTTTAATATCTTTTTTATTTTTTATACTTATAGATTCCAAGAGCGCTTTTCATTTTCTAAAAAAGCTCATTTTAAAAAAGGTTATTCAGGGAGCACATCAGCAAGATGGCAGAATAGGAGTTTCAAGTTTCCAAAAACTTGGAAATAAGCCTGAGATACCTCTGTGAAACATAGAACTGAATAAAACCTGCTTTATATGGATAGGAGACCATTCCTCTCACTTTGAACACACAGTCCCTTCCCATCCCCCAAGTTTGCACAGTGTCACACAGAGAGGATTCATTTTGAGGCCCTTAGTTCCTATAGATGAAAAATAAAACCAGAGATGGACATCTATTTCCCGAGCATTCCAAGACACTTCTCAGGAAGTCTAATTTGGATTCACCTCATAGGGAGTACAGAGGGTAACAGCGTTGCTAGACCACCTGGGTGAGACAGAAACAAAGGAAGGAAGCATTTCTCATAGAAACCAGGATCTTGATTGTAGTTCTCTGTTACTACTGCCCATGAAGTACCCAATAAGAGGCACCGGTGACATTACTCACCAGTAAAGCCAAATTGGTCACTTCTAGAAGCCTCCTGGAAATTTAATGTGGCTTAAGTCCTGAGACAGCTAACCTCCAAACCCAACCTTAGACACCATCCCAAGGCCTGTAAGGGAGATACCTGTGAGGGAGATACTTTTATTTCAGAAAAGCACAGGTGCTATACTTGTGCCACCAGACATTCAAATAGCAGATCAACCTTAAAGCCAATCTGAAGACCTGACTTAGAGAGAGAGATGTCCATCAAAGTATCTTTCAGCAAGACACAGAGTCTAGATGTACACCACCTGGGAGTTCAAAGAGTGGCTAAGCTCAACGTCAAAGCTCACCTCAAGAGCTCACTCAAAGAGAAAGTCACCCACCACAGTGCATTTGGCAAAGTACAGAGGCTAGACTTCAGCCACCTGATCATTCAAACAGCATATTGACTCAATCTCAAAGCCCACTCAACACCTTTCCCAAGGAAGGAAATACCCACCACAGCACCTTTTGGCAAAGCGCAGGGACTGGGCTTGAGCCAATTGGCTTTCTGACAGTGCCTCAATTCAGCCTCAAACCCTACCCCTATGCTTCACCAAGGCAGGAGGCTAAGCATCAACCATGTATTTCTACTAAGCATAGTACCTGGTTCCAAGCATCCTGAGCAAGGACTTTATCTAACCCCAGGACCCAATATGCAATACCGTTCAATTCCAGAATTCAAGTAATGGTACCTTCTGTGAAGGTCTATCACTGTCAAAGAATACCTGTAAAGATGAAAAAAGTGGCTGTGTTCTTAAATGCACAGACACCAATGTACAGACACAAGGATTATGAAGAATTATGACACCTCCAAAAGAAACTAATAAAGCTCTAACAATGGACTTAAAGAAATAGAGATCTGACAAAGAATTCAGAATAGCCCTCTTAAAGAAGTTCAGTGAACTACAAGAATGTATGAAAGAAAATTAAATGAAATTGAAAAATAATACATGAAGTCATTGAGAAATTTGACCAAGAAATAGAAATAATAAAAAATAGAAATCCTAGAGATCAAGAACACAATGATTTAACTAAAAAATTCAGTAGAGAGCTTCAGAAGCAGAGTGGATCAAGCAAAAGAAAGAATGAGCTTGAAAACAAAACATGAAATTATTTAGTCAGAAATGAAAAAAGTAAAACAATTAAAAAGGAAGAAAGCCTTCAGGTATTATCAGACATCATCAAGATAACTAATATTCACAGAATAGGAGTTTCTGGAAAAAAAAAAAAAAAAAGATGGGGGCTGGGGAAAGAGCCAGGAAGTATATGTAAAGAAATAATGGCTGGAAACTTCCCAAATCTGAGGAAAGATGCCAACATCCAGATAAAAGATGTGCACAGATCTACTATTATATTCAACCTGAAGTTAATTCACCAAGACACATAACAGTGAAACTATTAAAAATAAAAGACAAAGAACTGTGAAAGCCACAAAAGTTTAAAACATATCATGTGTGTGGGAGTTCTAAAACAATTATTAAAGATTTATTAGCAAGAGCTCTGCAGGCCGGGAAAATGTAGGATCATATATTTAAAGTTCTGAAGGGAAAAAAATGTCAATCAATATTACTTTACCCAGCAAAGCTGTGTTTCAGAAATAAGGGAGCAATAAAATCATTCTTAGACAAACAAGAGCTAAGGAAGTTCATCACCACTAGGCTTGCGTTAGAGAAATTACTAAAGGGAGTTATTGAAGCTAAAACCAAAGGCCACTAATTAATAACATTAAGACACATTCACAGTGCATTGTCAAATATTAAGCAATAAATTACAAAGAGACTTGATATGGTGAAGTGTGAATTATTTGCATCATCTTTATAATTTCCTTTAACATTTGGTAGTAGATGACTAAAGAGTTAATCATACTCTCCAAGTAAATAAATGGGTGTATCAATTGTGAGCTTTCCTGGCCATTTGTTGGAGGAGGCCTTATGTCATCGCCTTTTGATCTTTCCCCTCAAACTGTTTTTCACATTTCCTAAAGAAACCATTTTAAATTTCTTACCAAGAGATTGAAGACCTGGCTCCAGCCCTCACCTGTGCCTGGTTTCCTCTAGTCAGGAGGACTGGAAGGAGTTCTTTCCAATGTGTCTGGAAAAGGAGAGTGAATTAGTTGTTGAGAACATAAGGTGCAGAGGGGAATTTATGGATCTAACTGTTTCTAAACAGCTTATATTAGTCTATTATATGAGCTTATAATAGTTCATAGTATTTTAGGTCTTCTTCCCACTGTCACCCTAATTTTGAGGTACATGGCACCGCCAAAATCTAAGTCATTTGATAATTCTATGGAGTAAGTTGAGTTGTTTCTTGGATTTTCCTTCTGTTCAAATAGTATTTGGCTTTCTTAGTGCTGTTATGTAAATTATTACTATTCCATCTGAATTCCCTCATTATGTTGCTGTTGCTTCTTTTTTTATTTTCATTACACTCATGAAATTTATGCCTATTTAGGAGATAATTGCTTTACTATAGCATTAGTGGGAGTTTATGAAGAGCAAAATTGGATCAGAAACCATCTTCACCTGGAATTCACCTAGTGTTCTTGGTCTCAAATTGTTTTTCACCTTATAATATTTCTTTTCTCTTTCTAAAAGGCTATATTTGCTTCTAATATATTTGAAGGTGCTAATCAATTTTCTGCTATTTACAACAGTGTTATAACTCCTGAGATTCCCAAATGCTCTTCCTCTTTCCCCATTCTACATTTCCTCTCTATTGGCTTCATGTTATCATTCTCTTTGCATTTCCGCTAATGTATTCATTTTTTGAACAAAATGATATTTGTCTAGAGCCAGCGTTTTCCATTTTTTAAAGTCCTTATATAATAGTATTTCACCAACTTAAAAAAATCTATAACACAGAAAGGGGCAGATGCCCTGTGTCATGTTTACTAATGTCCTAGCGAAAAAAAAAAAAAAAAAAGGTAGATAGGTGGGTCTCAGGCATCATCTCTTTAATAAAGCTCACTTGCAATATTAAAAAAAAAACCCACTGGGCCAGTCATAATGGCCCATGACTGTAATCCCAGCTTTGAAAAGTTAAACTGACAGATTGCCTGAACTCAGGAGTTCTAGAGAAGCCTAGGCAACATGGAGAAACCCTGTCTCTACAAAAAAATACAAAAATTAGCTGAGCATGGTGGCATGTGCCTGTAGTCTCAGCAACTTGGAGGTCTAAGTTGGGAGGATCGCTTGGGCCCATGAGGTTGAGGCTGCAGTGAGCCATGCTCACACCACTGTACTCCATCCTGGATGGCAAAGCGAGACCCCGTCTCAATTAAAAAAAAGAAAGACCTAAAAACCAGCAAGTTTGCTTATTAATCTGACTCCTTCTACATTAAAATTATTGTTAATACTTCCCAGATGTTGCCTTTTTCATGGTTAGTTTTTTTTTATGTTTACTTCTCTATTTTTGTGTATTCATTAATTATTTTCCTGCGAACTTCTGAAAGGCTGCTTTGAAGGCTACTGATACTGTTTTTTGTTGGAGTTTTTTTTGTTTTTGTTTTTGTTTTTGTTTTTTGAGGCAGAGTCTCAATCTGTCGCCAGGCTGGAGTGCAGTGGTGTGATCTTGCTCACTGCAAGCTCTGCCTCTAGAGTTCAAGTGATTCTCCTGCCTCAGCCTCCCAATTAGCTAGGATTACAGGCACGCATCACTCCACCCTGCTAATTTTTGTATTTTTTTTAGTAGAGACAGGGTTTTCCCATGTTGGCCGTGCTGGTCTCGAACTCCTGACCTCAGGTGATCCACCTGCCTTGGCCTCCAAAAGTGCTGGGATTACATGTGTGAGCCACCACGCCTGGCCGCAGATATATTTTTTAAATTTTATGTGTATTAATATATCCGGCACTAGCTTAGAGCTTTGAAATTCATTTCTGTTTTATTTCTTCTCCAAGACACCCCTCAAACCAAAAATTCACAGTAAATCCTTTTGAGGCCTGTGATCATTTTTACGATAATATTATCAGCAACCTCAAAAACCAACAGGGAAATGACAATCTTTATTTTCTAGCTGTAAATAATGATAGGAAAAAAATCTGAGCAAATTTTTATCTTACATTCTGGCTTTCCCATAACCACATTGGCAAAGTTCTGTTTATTTATAAAAGAAAAGATGCATGTTTAGTATTCACTAAAAATTATAGCAACTTAGCAATTTTATGAGACAATACAGAGTTTTGTTTTGCTTTATTTATGTTTTAAACCAATGTTTTATAAAATGATTCATTTCTATATAAAATGGAATTTGACCTAAATTACACTGTCTTGTTTTCATTTAACTTTGAGAAACCACAGTAGTCATAATTCTCTGAATTACATTTTTGAGAAGTCATAAATTCTGATTTTGTTTTTACATCTCAAATGATTGTATTTGATTGAGTCATTTTACTCTTAGATGGTTCAGATTACACTGACACAGCGTAAAATAGCTAGTTGACAACACAAACTCGCTGTAATCAACATCCCTTTACCTGCCTCCAATCTTCTTTCAATAGTGAAAAACTCACTGAAAACTCAGAGTATAATACTGTGTAAACTTAAGTAAAAATTTCATGGAAGGCATAAAAAATAAGTGTTATCTCGAAATTTCTAAATCTTTACAAATTTGGGTTACAAAAAAGTATCAAGTAACAATATTTTAGGCTAAAATATTACTCAAAGACACAGCATACATAATTTGTCTTTTTGATTTTTAGAGACGGAGTTTGGCTGTGTTGCCCAGGCTGGAGTGTAGTGGTGTGAGCTCTGCTTACTGTAAACTCTGCGCCTAACCCCAGGTTCAAGCAATTCTCTTGCCTTAGCCTCTCAAGTAGCTGGGATTACAGGTATGTGCCACCATGCCCAGCTAATTTTTGTATTTTAAGTAGAGATGGGGTTTTATCATATTGGCCAGACTGGTCTTGAACTCTTGGCCTCAAGCGATCAGCCTAACTTGGCCTCTCATAATGTTGGGATTACAAACGTGAGCTACTGTGCCCAGTGAAATTTGCCTTTGTATAAAAAGACTAGACCCAAATATGGAATGAAATCATTCAGTATAGGTATTCATTTTTCTTTTAGCACAGGATCTCCTCTTCTGAGAATAAACAGATATTTTAGCTTACAGAATCTGTGTGTTATTGAGTGAGTTTGTGGAGGTCCTATCATATGATTAAGCAACAATAGCACACACAAACATATCTTTTAATTATTTCATCTTCTTAAATATTAATGACCTGATAATTAAGTGCCACTAATAGTTCCAAGAGTCAACGATTTAATTACTTTCAGGTAAATAGTCACAATAAAAAATGTTGATGTGTCCACTCTTTAACTATTTTATGATAGTTGTTAGAGTTGTCAAAAGTTATGAAGATACTTTTTAAATAATCTATATTCAATAATATTTAAAATTATTTTAATTGATCTTTAACACAGAGAGTTATTTAATTTTTTTCTTTATGGGAAAACTTCTCTCTTTACTATACTGAGAAAGTGTATGTAGGTATGTGTGGTTGGGAGGGAAAGAAAAAGGCATCAGCCTACCTAGTGAATGCTGACTAATCAAGACAAATAATGATGGCAAGACATCTGCAACCAAATGACCCTCACAACCTGTTGGTGTAAATTGATATGTTTAATTGACTGTTATCTTCAAATAAATAGTAAATTCTGTAAATTGTTGATAGAATGTGGTTTACATAGAAGTATGAAGTATCTACTATATACTGAGATATTAATGTATCAAATTATTTTGAAATAATTTGTAGTACAGTTTAGTTTCTCACATTAAAACTGATGAGCTCTCTTCATTTATTTCAGATATATATACTATCACATATTTAATATAATCATTATTCTCAATCATAATCATAATTCTCTATTATTTTGATTTGTGTTTGGAATTCAATGCCTTCTGTGTTCTTTCCACAGTTTTTACATTTACTAAAAAATGGACATCATATTAAACACTATCTTTCTTTTTTTTGATACGTGTAAATTAGTCTGTTTTCTTTGAAATTCTTCCATATACCCATTTGAGAAAATAACTCACTCTGTTTGGTTTCTTTTTTTTATTGTTTTAATAAAGTCAGAATCAATAATACCTTGGTCTAAGAAGACAAATAGAACAGCAGATTCACCTCATCTCTTCAAATCGTGATAAAATTGTCTATTCATAAACTACCAAAAAAAGTTTTCAAGTGATTATTTTTTAGAAAAATGATTACATTAGTTTTTCTTACCAAATTGTGATGAGAACCAGTTTTAAACAGGAGTAAAAAACTTTGTAAAAGTTTATATAGATAGAGTTTTTTTTTTTTCATTTTTGCTTTCTTTTTTAGAAAGTATTCCCTGGTTCAGATGTTCTTATACTATTTTTAAGGCATACATTTTGTAGACATTTCCTCTGATTTTTAGTACCAAAAGTTAGGGCAAACAATGAATTAAAATTATAATTATCTGCAGTTAATAAAAGGAATGAATAACTTACTATATAATATGCTATCTTCAATGAAAACATTAATTCGAGTTGTAGATAAAATGTTTTTCTAATATTTGTGATATGACAGAAAAATAAATTGAAAATAGAATGTCTGAAGTCAAAAATGAATATGACTTACTCAATTTTGCAGCTGGTAATTGGGCCCTGGAGGATTTATCACACAGCGTTACTCTCTTTACCTGTGGTACCTGTCTCTTCCATCTTTTTCTCTTAGCAGTCTCATAGTCAGGTTTTTTGACAGGAACCCTGAGGACAAACACCTAAAAAAAGAAAATAAAGCTAGCTTTTGGGGTCAAATTAAAAGGATCTGGGCTTCATTCAGTTAAGCTATCCTCTCAGGAAGTGAATCATACATAATATGAAAGAAATTACTATTTTGGTCTGAAGGGGAAAAGTCAAATTTGAACTTAGGCAGTCATCTTCTGTAACTGCAGTACCATGTTTTGTTTAGAGAACAGTTTAATACTTTCTCTTAATATTCTACTGAAATTATACCATGCCTTTTAACCTGACTGCTATCTTCAGGAATTTATTGTGGTTTGGAATATATTCACTGAAATTAGAATGGTTTTGAGCATTATATTTAAGGACATAGAGCCTGGTGGTTAACAGCTGGATTTCTAAAACCATGAGACACCCCCAAGAATGACTAAAATTAAAAAGACTGAAAACACGAAAATTGGAGGAAAATGTGGGACAATCATAACTCACTTATTGCTAATGGGAGTGTGCAATGGTATAACCATTTGCAGAACTGTTTGCCAGTTTCTTGAAAAGTTGGCATCTACCTTCTGACTCAGCAATTCTACTCCAAGTTATTTACTTTCTAAAGAGAAACATAGGTCCACAAAAAGAGACCTGTAAAAGAATAGTTAGAGTTTTATGAATTATCCTCCTTCCCCCAAAGTAGAAACTACTCACATGTTTATCAGTACAAGACTGGATGAGGAGTCTGTGGCATATTATACAAGGGAATACTAGTTCACAATAAAAAAAATAGGCAATTAAATAGGCAACAATATAGATAAAACTTTAAAACTTTATGTTGCGTGAAAGATGCCAAGACAAAATATTATGTACCATCTTTTCATTTATGTGAAATTCAAGAATAGGCAAAGCTAGGTAAGAACATTGGTTATTTTCTCAGGAATAGGGATTGACTGTGGAAAGCCTCTGAGCTGTTAAGAGCTGTTCTATAATGTGGATGGAGCAGTGTTTACCCTAGTGTATATAACTGTCAAAGCTCATTGAACAGTTCGGATCTGTACATTTTAATGTTTGCAGTTATGTTCCAATTTGAAAATTCTTCTTTAAGCTAGAAATCTACCACCTGAAAGGATTAGAATGCATGCTCCTCATCTTGATAGCTGTATCTCTGTGGTAAGTTTACTTAACTTGCCTGTGCTTCTGTAAAGGAAGTGTCAGGATTATAGTACCTCTATCGGGAAGAAACCAGTAGTGACATATGGTGAACTCAATATATTTTAGCTATTATCATGTTTTCATGGCCTATTTTTGGTATTTTTTTTCAATTACAACCACTTTAATAATAACTATAATTATATTTTATTGGCCAAAATTTAGTGTATATTTGATTTTAATATATCATTTTGTCTTTTATCACATGAACTATTTTTGTGTGTGTATGTATATGTACAGAGAAAATTTAATATATTCAGAATTAAATGTACACACCTATGGATAAAGAAACAATATTCAATGTGTTTAAATTACTTGCCAACAATCACAAAGCTAGATTTGACAAAAGATATTAACTCAGATCTCTCTTCTCTCTGATTTCTTCACTTAGGATCTTTCACAGGAATTCTCAAAAGGAAAATAATGCATAGGATAGGACTTCTAAGTTGACTAATTGGTTGGTTGATTCATTTGAAAATTTATTCAATTTTTGTGCTGTGTATGTAATTATTATTCCCTAACCAGGAATTAAGGAAATTTTGCACTCTCTGATTGCATGACTTCTTCAGAGTAAATGTTTATTTTATTTTATTAATTGCTATAATATGGCCTCATTTTGTATTTAAATTGGCCTCTCAACTTTGAATTTTGTTTCTTTAAACATGTCTTATTAAAAACCATTTGATGAATGTATCTAATCAAATCATGTCTACATCAATTATAGTATCATTACTAATATAATTATTATATTAAAAGTTATACCATATAATTTAAAAATTCATTTAACATAACTTGTTCATCATCTCTATTTTTGCCTAGTTCAACATGGCTGCCATAAACTGGATATTGATATCTATGAGTAAGTTATCGACATTTCCTTAGAACCCTATCTACTTTGTATTTTTCTTGCATGTCTAATTTATGCCTATGTAATATAGATATCAAGTAATGAAACCATATCATTCATTCTATAAATATGCTTTTTCCTTATCAATTTCTGTTTTCCTTGGGATTTTAATTACAATTATGTTGAATCTGTATATTCAATTGAGAAAATTCTATACCTTACAATATTGAGTATTTCTTTAAATCATTCATTAAGAAATCACTTTGTCCCAGCAATATTTGCTTGTTTTAATTTATAGGTTTTTATATATTTTTGTTACATAGTTAATGTATTGAGAGTTAATGTAATGATTTCCATTAATAATGCTACTGTTGTTTTACCTTAGTTTTTATTTTCTGTTGTTGCTGACTTGTAAATATACATTTTATTTTTTAACAAGTGGGGACTCGTTAGGTTGGTGCAAAAGTAGTTGCGTTTTTTGCCATTAAAGTAATAGCAAAGACCACAATTACTTTTGCACTAACCTAATATGTTGCCTAGGCTGGTCTCGAACTCCTGGGCTCAAGCAATCCACCGACCTTTGGCCTGCCAAAGTGCTGAAATTATAGGTGTGATCCACTGCACCTAGCCTACAATTATTTTTTCTAAATATTAAACTTGAACCCAGCAATGATAATTTCCTATTGATTTTAGTAGTTTGCCTATAAATTATTCTGGATTTTCTACATATATGAATATTTTGACATTTCACTATTTTTCTGTAATAGCCTTAGAACAAATACTGCTACCTAAGGCTTGTTTATTGTTGTTATTATTGGAAATATAATTTTAAAAGAATGTATTTCTTAAATTCACAGTTTTTTATCTTGGTTTATATTGTCGATTCTTTTGAAAGACCCATGTTATTTATATCCTGAGAGAGAATAGTTCTAACATTTTTTCCATATATATATATATATATATATATATATATATATGCACACACATACATACACACACGTTTACATGTTATATATTTTTAAGTGTATGTAAATGTATTAGATATTTGTTATATGTATGTGGTTTTCCCAGCATTAAAGAAATATAACAATCACACTGAGGAATTTTGAAAGGCTGAGATGAGACCCAGATGCACGTTATATTACCTTCTTTCTAAACCTCTTCTCAGATTTCTACTTTTCCAATATGTATTTCTCTTGGTCAATGTTTGTAGATTTTATTTTGAGACTAATATAGGAAATTTTAATTTTGATTGATGCCAAGATCGTGAGAACATGGAGGGAAATAGAACACTGACATGGATCTATTTCCTATTAGGAACCTGACTTTAATTGAGTTGAATGAGTAGTGGAGAAAGGACCAGAAACCAATACATTTATAAATCTGTTTCACAAGTAGCTTGATAAAAATTTGATCAAATTGTGCTCATTAGTGGTTAAAATATATGTTAAAATAAGACTTTGTGACAATTGAGGAAAAAGAAAGGCTTCTTAGGAATCCAGGTGAAAAAGTTTCATATAGATTTTGGGAGGAGCAGTTATTACCATGTATGTCTATAACGCAGCAATGCTCTGGCATCATGAATGTTGGAAGCAATATGGGCATTCAGAAACTGCACCCTTTCCATGTCAGAGGTATTTTCATAGCAGCTAGTAGCAGAAGTATGGTTTCTCTGAGTTGTTCTCTAGGCAGTGAATCCAATGGACAAGTTGAAGGTAGAACAGATAGAAAGGACAGGGTGACGTCAATGCATTTGTATACATAATGGCAGGTATTTAGCTATGCCTCAAGTAATAGGAGAGAATTTCATCACTGCAAAGCATTCAAATATTCAATAATGTTACTATATCTAAAATAATACAAGGGCTCCAGATTCATTCATTAATGTACCAAATGGTATTAAGAGTCCAGTTGCATATCCATGTGCTTAGTGTTTGATTCATATAGTAGTTAAAATTGGGAACAGAAATCATTTAACAATACAATAATTTTATGACAACAGATTAATGATTAATTTTAAAGAACTAAATCTCTATCAAAATAATTATAAAATATGATTCAGCAGGTTTATATGATTTTAAAAAATAAAATCATAGAAGTAGAAACACAAATATTTTTCTAAACAAGGTAAAAGCTCCACGTAGTTATTTTTCCATATACTATATGATAATGTATTCAGATATTCTTGTGAAATATTTTAAACTATGGAAATATGTTTAGTAAAATATAAATATCTCCATTTGTATTCACCCTAGAAGTTATCATTGTCAAAACTTTCTTTGCAAATTTTGTCACCTTTTATGTAGTTATAGATCTGTATCTATATTTAAACATATTTATATATAGACACATTCACAAGCATAAACATACACACATAAAATAGACATAAAACATAAAAATAGACATATTTTATCCTTTGTATATACTGTGGATAGTACTATTTGTATTTTTAATTTTTTTCTTAATAAGCTTCAATGTATTTATAAGCTATATTGAAAACACTTACACATGTGCATAAAATATAAAACTTCTACATTAAAATGATAAAAAGCCAACTCTGGTTTCATCAGTAACAAAATAATAGATCAGTTGATGATACTGTTATGAGAAAAGTAATTTCCTCATTTGGAATGGAATGGAGTATCAGCCAGAGTTAGAGTAGCAATGAGCATATTTAATTCTACCCTTGGGAAAGCTTAGAATAAAACTAATTAATATACAGTAAGGTTGAGATGAATAGGAGTTTTAATGAATTTGCTTAGATACAATATTTTTATACTGAATCTATGTTTCTTGGAAATTTTGTAGGTCTTAAAGTCATAATGAATTCCCAGGTTGCAAAGTACAGTTTCTGTAAATGATGAAATAAAGATTTATGAATTCATATAGAATCAGTTATCTGTCTAATGGCATTATTGAATGGAAGCAATCCCCACTGTAATAATAAAAACACAAAACAAAATAGGTAAGCAAGTTAACAATGCCTAGTTTAATGTTTCATTTTTTTACAAGGTGATTGATGATCACTATGGTAAGTGGAATTCTCCCATCTGTATTGGATAGTCAAAAATCAATCAATTATTTAATCAATGAAGGCTCTATTACATTTTTTATACTGTTAGCTCTGCAGCAGGAGTTAAGAGCAATCTAGAATAAATGAAAAATATGACCTTCACCAGCAAGGAGGGAATATGAAATTGAAAATTTAAGATCAGTACACTATAAATATTTACATCATCTAAATCACAATATTTGCAATACATTTATCATAAAATATATGTCAGTAATTTGAAGAATAATTCTAGTTAGTTCAATAGTATTATCAAGGAAAAGGAAGTTTACTGTGTATTTTATTAGAAATAGAAGAATTCCTAAGGGTGTATGAGTGGAATATTGGGTAACATTTGTATAAACAAACAGGAAACAGAGATCATTCCAACAAAATAAATACACATGAAGACAGTATTAAGAATGATATGATCGGGAGGCCAAGGCGGATGGAGCACCTGAGGTCAGGAGTTTGAGACCAACCTGACCAAAATGTTCCCCGTCTCTACTAAAAATACAAAAATTAGCCGAGTTTGGTGACACATACCTGTAATCCCAGCTACTCGGGAGGCTGAGGCAGGAGAATTGCTTGAACCCAGGAGGTGGAGGTTGCAGTGAGCCGAGACTGTGCCATTGTACTCCAGCCTGAGCCACAAGAGTGAAACTCCATCTCAAAAAACAAAGAAAAAAACAAAAAACACAAAGAATGATATGTTCATGGGTGTTTAAGAAGATTTGGTGGACTAATGGGCTACCCAATCTTAATGAGTCAAACCGAAAGATAACGCGAGTGAGCAAAATCAGCCTCATCTCCTGCACACCCTTCTTATATCACCATTTGCAGGGGGTTGTTATTCATCATTAAGTGAGGGAAAAAGGGATATTCTGCTTGAGTGTAAAAGTTGACTTATGTAAATTAAATCATGCTTCCTAAGTGAAAATAATTCTATACCCATTTTTAAATTTAGGCTTCAAATGGGAAAGTGAAATGATGCAATCATAGTATTTAATGACAGTAGGATTAAAAATGATATACCTTTGGTACGTGTCATAATTTTGTAAAAATCTATTTATTATTGATTTTAAAAATTAGCATCCAACATTGTACAGATGATAAGGATAATTGCCTACATTTTATCATCCAGGTAGTTTTATAAGTATATTTTTCTCACTTATGGTTACAGAGCAATTTGTTTGGTTGTCTAGTTTGGTAAGTTTCATGGGAGGATATAGAATATAACTCAAAATAAAAACAGCTTGCTCATTTTTGATCTATTCCTGGTAAGCAGCCAGTTTATGGACACAACAGAATATAAGAATAAAGATGAAAATGTTACTTCAAAGGTGGAAATACCTACTAGTGCATGGTTAGATTGTAGTGATTCCCGGAAGGGAATGCCACAGCCTTACACAATCTTGAATGATATTGTTCCTGAAATAAATCATGGGTGTCACGGGACTTTGAATAAAAATGTCCTCACAAATAAAGAATGTGGTAATAAAAGAAAAGGAAAATAAAAAGTATGAAAGCTAGCCTGGGAAATTTTCATGGGCCAGACTTTGGAAGAAGATAGTGAGTGGAGTATGTAAAAATTATTACAGGCCAGGATTCATCACTTTTTTCCACACAATATTGGCGTATTGTTTCCCTAAATAGAAAGAATCCTGGAAAATATAGTGGAGCTTTGTGACTAGGATAGGATGGAGACAGAATTTGGTAACATAAAGCAGTCTTTAATTATCCTTCCTGAGATCAAAAAGTAGCTTAAGATAATGTCAGAAATGAGTAATACAAATAGAATATGTCTTATTCCAGTTTGTTTGGATAAAATCACAAAGCTATGTGTCTTAATATAATGGACACAATACATAAAGTATCCAGGGCTTGAGAATAATTCACTATGAAATGCAGCCATTTACCATCAACCATATGTTTATATGATAAAACCTTTCGCATAAAGCAAATATACATTTTCAACAATTTTATTTACATATCAAATCTTCAAAAGTAGTCATTTGGTTCACTTTTAAATGAACTTCATTAAAATTAAGGTATAATTTATTATTAATCTTAAAATCTATGACAGGAGTATATTTCCTCCAGGAGGTTGCATATAAATGTAAAATTCAAAGGATTCACTCTCCTGTGAGAAGAAAACTTTAAGTATCCAATCTTAAACCAGGTAAATCAAGGATCAATTGTTTGTATTAAGAAAGTCTCATGGTAGGCATCCTTTAATGATGACTCTTCCAACTTAGATTTTAATTGTGAATTATTTATAACATGCAACTTAAATAATTTACATTTGGACTTTTGAACATTCTTATGAAAAAATGAGACTTGCCACCACAGATTTAATTATTGAAGCATTAATTTTCTCATATTTATCATCATATAAATAAACACAAAACAAAACTAAATAGACACAGTAAAAGAATGTAAAACTGTAATCAAAATTGTCCTGTAAAAATAAATTCTAAAATACTAAATAAAATATTAGCACATTGAATCAAGCATTATATATATATATATATATATGCATAAAGTTGGATTTTTCAAGAATACAAGGTGGTTTACTTGTATAAACTAAATCAACATAGTTCCTTACATTAATAGATTACAGGAATATAGGGAAAAATATTGATCAATATAGAATTTCCAGAGAATACATGTGAAAAAATTCAATACTATTTCTGATTTTAAAACACTCTTGACAAACGGTGCATAGAAAGGAACTTCCTTATCCTAATAAAGAGCATCTGGAAAAATCAAAAAGTAAATATCAGTATCATTAATACTGAAATGTAAAAAATTTATTTTTAAAATCAGAAGCAACATTAAAATAGGCGCTATGACTACTTCCATTCATCATTATATGGGAGGTCCTAAAGTGCTTAGGAAGAATTAAAATCAAATGTAACACTTGTAAGAATCAGAAAGGAATAAACCAAGGTATTAAAGTTAAATAAAATAACAAATAGAGACAAAAAGGTCAGTATACAAACATTCAAATATCAATTATGTCTCTATGCTTAGAGACAAAGCATTAAAAAATGGAATAAAAGAATAAAATTTTTAACCACATAAATAAGAACTCAAGGAATTCATCAAATAAAACACTTGCAACCTATCAGAGGAAAATATTTAACTGTAGGAATACATTACATAGCCCATAGGTAAACAGAAATATAATTTCTTCATAAATATAAAAACCTAATATTTTAACAAAGTAAAAAACATCAAAATGACACACAGGTTTATGCTATATCATTGAATTCTGGTGGAGTTTTGAATGGAATTCAACATAAAATTTGTGTGGCAGGAAAAAAGGCCAATAATCCTGAAGACCGTTGTGAAAGAAGATTGAGTAAATGTAAATTTCAGACCTAGACAAATTGACCAGTGGCACTCAGTAGGGAGCCTAGACGCACACTCATACATGTGGAACTTTAATGATCATAAAGGTACCATCTGAGAAGATGAAAAGAAATGATGGTTCAATATAAATATATTTTTCATATCTAAAAAATGTTTTAAAAATTGACTCATACCCAATGCCACAAAAATAATTCTAAGACAATGAAATATTTGAAGTCAAAATAATTATTTACAAGAAAATGTAGAAAGCTATTGTGTAATTCAGGATAGAAAATAATTTCTTAACTAAAAAAATAGGATAACCATAAATAAAATGATGCATTATAATTATAAAATGTTCAAATGCAACAGACACTGTGGCCTACTTAAGGGGGCCCCCTTAAGAATGGAGGGTGGGAGGAGGGAGAGAATCAGAAAAAAGAACTATTGGGTACTAGGCTTAGTTCCTGGGTGACAAAATAATCTGTACAATAAATCCCTGTGACAGGATAAAGAACAAACCTGCACATGTACCCCTGATCCTAAAATAAAGGTTAAATGAATAAATAAATAAAATTTTCTATAATGCAAATAAAATAAAATAAAAATAAAATGTTCTAATGTTTCAAATATTCCATAAGAAAACACCAAATAATGCCATTGGCAGTTTACACCTGCCACACGTATAATTACCAAAGTGTTATTATTTAAAACATGCAGACATATAACTACATACTTACATGCATATAATCTCCTACAAATAAAAAATAATACAATGTACAAATTTGTAGGCAAAAGAAATAAACAGGCATTTCAGAAGATATGAACCACCCATAATGAATAAATGTGAAATGATTAGTAATGTTAGTGAAAATTTAACTGACATTAAATAATTAAGTAAATAAAAAAACACAAAAATACAATTCACACCCATTAAGATGGCAAATTTAACTCTGAAAACTTAATTTTTGAATTATTTAAAAAACAAAAGAAGCTCATATTGTTGGGAGTAAAAGTTGAAAAAAACTGATTTGAGGAAAAATTGTCATATTCTTGTAAATGTGTACAGACCCTAAATCCCAACAATCTGTCTCCTAAATTACCTTTAACCTTCCCTTGCCTGCATTCAGTATGCACCAGAAGGAAGACACGAGTATCCACTGTTGGATACAAGTGTCCACTATTTGGAGAACAGATAAATGGAGTATCCACTTGTATTGGATAACAGTGTCCACTCTTTGGATAACAGATAAATGGAGTAGTGTCTAAGTATCTTAATGGGCACATAAAAAGTAGAATTAATAAGATCTACTATTTGATAGCACAACAGGGTGACTATAGTCAATAATAACTTAATTACACATTTTAAAATAACTTAAAAAGTATAATTGGATTCTTTGTAACTCAAAGGATAAATACTTGAGGGGATGGATACCTGATTTTCCATGATGTGCTTATTTCACATTGCATGTCTTTATCAAAACATCTTCTATACCGGATTAATATATACACCTACGATGTACCCACAAAAAATTAAAATTAAAATAAAAAATAATAAAAATGCAACTAAAATCTAGTGTATATATATATATATATACTATATAAACCTATATACATAGTATATATATAAACCAATACCTATATATAGTGTGTGTGAATAGTTTTATACAAGAAAATGAATCAAACCTAAAAACAAAAGTTTACATTAAAAAGAAAGATTCAGAGGAAAATACACAGACAGAAAACATGCACAAATGTAAAAAAGTAACAAAACATATATAATATAGTTTTATAGATACATGCATGTATCTATTACATGTTTAATAATGTTCAAGACATTATTAAAAAACAAACAGAGTAATAATTTTGAAAATGTCAGTATACCTGTTTAGTGAAGAGGAAGAAGTGAATAGGATCAGAAAGACAAGCACTTTAGGGAATCAAATAACAATGAACAAGTTATATTTACTTTTTAAAAAGATTGTTCCTAATGAGAACACTTGGACACAGGATGGGGAACACCACACACCGGGGCCTGTCGTGGGGTGAGGGGAGGGCGGAGGGATAGCTTTAGGAGATATACCTAATGTAAATGACGAGTTAATGGGTGCAGCACACCAACATGGCACAGGTATACATATGTAACAAACCTGCACGTTATGCACATGTACCCTAGAACTTAAAGTATAATAATAATAAAAAAAATAAAAAAGAATGTTCCTAAATTTCAATTAGGCAGGGAATTGTCCATTTTTTTAAAGTTTTATCTTATTTATTTAGTTTTATAATGATATTACAATTTCAACATTTTGAGGTTTGTGGAAATTTATTTTGTGACTTATTACATGGTTATTTTTTGTCATTGCTCTTTGTGTGTTTAAAACACGTGTCTTGCAAGGAGTACAAATTGTTAGAGAAGGTTGCGAATTCAGTCTAAAAATCCCCTGTATGCTTTGTTAGTTTTTTCTAAGTCATCTGAAGTTTTGAGAGATTTGTTGTTGTTGTTCTTATTGAATTCTCTCATCTGCATTACAAGGTTTTAAATTTCCAGACATTTGTATGTCTTTCATATATGTCTTCATAATTTGAATAGGATTTATTTATTATTTATTTATTTTTATTTATTTTTTGAAGCAACAAAAGCAGATATTTATTGAAAATGAAAGCACACTCCACTGGGTGTGAGCAAGCCTGAGCAAGCAGCTCAAGAGCGTGGTTAAAGAATTTTCTGGGGTTTAAATACCCTCTAGAGGTTTCCATTGGTTACTTGGTGTATGCCCTATGTAAATGAAGAGGATATTTCCTGTCATAGCTGACGTGTTAACATTTGATTGAGTTCTAGGAAGTCCTTAGGTTTTCTGCCTCCAGGTCCTATTCTCCTACCTCACTAAGTCTCTCTTTTCAGGGTTCTCCTCTGTCCCAGGACAGGTCCAGAAATGTCATCAAGGAGCGAAGACGCCAGTGTGGCTGAGCTGTTAACCCAAGCTCAAGAGAAAGTTTCCTTTACTCTTCTCTCTCCTTTGCCCAAGTGGAAGGGGTCTCTTCCCATAGGCACCGCAGCTGGCTATGTGCTGGTTCACACTTGAAGTCAGCATGGTTTTGAGTGTCACCCAAGGCCCACAGTGAATACTGCCCAGCTACCATTGCTGCTTGTTGAGGGTCCAAGGGCACTTTAGTTAGCTCATGATGAATTCTGCAAAAATTGGGTCCTTTCCTTGAAGGCAGTGAGTTCCATTCTGGCCCAGGATGTATTTCAAAATGTCCTCCAGGATTTATTTTTAGAGCAGTTTTAGGTTTACAGCAAAAGTGAGCAGAAGGTTCAGGGATTTGCAGTATAGCCCCCGCCTGTCCCACACGTGCATGCACGGCCTCTCCCACCACCTACATCCAGTGCCACAGTGGTACATTTATTACATTGACAATACATCATCATCACCAAATACCATAGTTTACATTAGGCTTCACTCTTGACGTTGTACATTCTATGTGTTTGGAATGACATGTATCCACCATCATAGTATCATACAGAATAGTTCCACTGTCCTAAAAATCTCTGTAATCCACCAAGTCAGCCTTCCCTTTCCATTAACACTAGGCAACCATTGATCTGTATATGGTCTCCATAGTTTTGCCTTTTTCAGAATGACCCTATAGTTGAAATCATATATTATGTAGCTTTTTCAGGTTGGCTTTTTTCACTTAATAATATATATTTAAGGATTGTTTGTCTTTTCATGGATTGATAGGGCATTTCTATTTAATGCTGAAAAAATATTCTGTAGTTTAAAGGTACGACAATTTATTTTACTATTCACTTACTGAAGGACGTCTTGGCTGCTTCCAAGTTTTGACAACCATGAATAAAGCTGCTATAAACATCAATGTACAGGTTTTTGTGTGAACATAAGTTTTGAACTCATTTAGGTAAATTCCAAGAGGTACAATTCATGGGCCATATGCTAAGAGTATCTTCAGCTTTCGAAGAAACTGCCGAACTGTCTTCCGAAGTGGCTACACAATTTGCATTTCCACCAACATTGTGTAATAGTTCTTGTTCCACATCCTTGCCAGCATTTGGTGTTTCCAGTGTTTTGCATTTTGGTGATCCTAACAGGTACATTGTAGAGGTACCTCATTGTTTTAATTTGCATTTCCCTAATGACACATGATGTGAGATTTTCTTATGCTTATTTGCCAAATGTATATCTTCTTTGGTGAGATATATGTTTGGGTGTTTTGCACATTTTTTTAATCAACTTATTTTTTTATTGTTGCTTTTGAACAAATTTTTGTTTATTTTGGATAACAGTTTTTATCAGACATATATTTTGCAAATATATTCTCTCAGTGTCTGGTCTTCTTATTCCTTTGACAGTGTCTTTCATAAAGCAGAAAAATTTAATTTTAATAAAGTACAGCTTATCGATTATTTCTTTCCTGGATCATATCTTGGTGTTGTATTAAAAATCTCACCAAATCTAGATTTTCTCCTATGTTATATTCTATGATTTTGTAGTTCCGTGTTTTACATTTAAGTGTATGATCCATTTTGAGTTAATTTTTGTGAAGTAGCATTTGTTAACCATTATATATTTTGAAACCTGATTTTTAGGATATAACAGGTTCATGGTTATTACATAATCTTAGTTTAAAGTAACTTTTTTCATCATCAAATTAAACACAAGTTTCAAGATTTGTCTAATATTTCAGAGTAATAAACGAAGAGAGACTGGATAATCTATTAAATAATAGGAAAATATTTTCTGGAAATGAAGCAAATAAACATACCTGTAACAAAAAGCAGAAAAACAAAAAGAACATCTTGTTGATATGTTGCAATAAATTTACAATGTCAAAGATATACCAATAATTAATAAAAACAGAAAAATAGCTCCTAACAACAAATAAACAGATTTTTATTAGCTAACATATTGGCAAAACGGGGTTTAAGAGGACTACAGAGCAAAATCTTTTTTTTTTTTGCAGAAAAAAAATCATTTTGAATTTCAAATCTACAAACGGTCAAAATATCATCCAAACAGGAAAAAATAAAATTATGCTCAATGATTTAAATACTGAAGAATTTTAACACTTGTAGAACACATCTGAAAGAAAACAAAATAAAATCAGTCAGCAAAATAAAACTAAATCCACAAAGTAATATGTAGGATACAAGAAAGGAGTCATAAAAAAGAATTCAATAATATATATAGGTAAGTTTAAATTGAGTCTATTTTTATATTAAATGCAATGTGTTTAATTTCCCTACAAAAGACATAAATTCTCAGATTAGATTTTGGGGAAAAACAGCTCTAGGGCATTTGCAATAAGAACACTTAAAAATATTACCAAAATTATTGAAAATGAAAACATGGAAAATACCAGAAAGAAATAGTTATTACTACAAAAAGTAGTAGTGTCAGTTATAATTTTAAGCAACATAAACAAGTAAGAATAAATATTTTAGAAGTGCGATGTTATATTTCTTGGTTTAAGTGGTAGATTGATATATGTTTTCTATCATACTAATAAACAACTTGTAAATATCAAATGCTTCATAATTTAGAAATGTAAAACATGATAATCAAATCCAAAAGTAATCTAACACATTTAAAAACTAAACATATTTAGGCCAGGTGCAGTGGCTCAAGCCTGTAATCCCAGCCCTTTGGGAGACCAAGGCAGGTGGATCACCTGAGGTCAGGAGTTCGAGACCAGTCTGACCAACATGGAGAAACCCTGTCTCTACTAAAACTACAAAATTAGCCAGGCGTGGTCGCTCATGCCTGTAATCCCAGCTACTCGGGAGGCTGAGACAGGAGAATCACTTGAACCTGGGAGGTGGAGGTTGTGGTGAGCCAAGATTGTACTATTGCACTCCAGCCTGGGCAACAAGAGTGAAACTCCATCTCAAAAAAAAAACAACAACCAAAAAACTAAACATATTTACATATATAGTTCCCAGGTTTGCATATATATGTGTATGCACACGCTTTTGTTTTAGAATCAAATTGTGCTTCATAAATGTGTTCTGTGAACTTTAGACATGTTGAGAATTCCCCATATTCCCTATATTGATAATTCCCTATAGATGTAAATATTTTTAATAAAATTATTAATAACAAAGTAACTTTCCTTATATTTGAGAAAGCTATAAGTAATGTTATTACCTAACTACCTTGAGGCCATTGCATTATTTTTAATGATTTATACCTGACTTTTTTATTAGAACTGTCTCTTTTATTGTACTTTTTATTGAAATATCACAGTTGTACATATTTCGGGTGTACCTGTGGTATCTTGGTATATTCATAGAATGGACTTCAAGTTCCATTCATGTTGCTGCCACTGACAGGATTTCATTCTTCTTTATAGCTGAATAATATTTCATTGTGTATATATACCACATTTTATTTACCCATTCATTCATTGATGGATGCTTAAGGTGATTTCATACCATGGCTAGCGTGAATAGTGCTGCTGCAACAGTGCAAATATCTCTTTGATATACCGATTTCCTTTCTTTTGTTTGTATATCCAGCAGTGGGATTGCTACATCAAACGGTAGTTCTATTTTTAGTTTTTTTAGGAATCTACATACTTTTTTCCATAATGGCTGTACTGCTTTACATTTCCATCAACAGTGTACAACACAACAGTGTTCTCCACATTCTTGACACAGTTGTCTATTTTTTTGTCTTCTAACTGGGATGAGATGATATCTCATTGTAGTTTTGATTTGCATTTCCCTGATGATTAATTATTTTGCGTATTTTTTATATACCCATTAGCCACTTACATATCTTCTTTGGAGAAATGACTCTTCAGATGATTTGCACATTTTTTAATCAGATTATTTGTGGTTTTGCTATTGAGTTACTGATTCATTCTGTTGGGTATTATTGCCTTCTCAGATGGAGAGTTTGCAAGTATTTTCTTTAATTCCATAGGTTCTCTCTTCACTCTGTCGATTGTTTCCTTTGTTGTGCACAAGTTTTTAGATGTATATAATCTCACTTACCAATTATACTTTTGCTGTCTGTGCTTTTGAGGTGTTACACAATAGGTCTTTGTCTAGACCCACGTTCTGAAGCATTTCTCCAATGTTTTCTTCCTGTAGTTTCAAGGTTTCAGATCTTACATGCAAGTTTTTAATAGATTTTATTTGATTTTTTTATATGATGAGAGATAGTAGTCTAGTTTTATTCTTCTGCATATGGATATTTAGTCTATCCAGCACCATTTATTGAACACACTATCATATACCCAGTGTTACATTCTTGGTAACTTTGTCAAAAATGAGTTGGCTGTAAATATTTCAATTTATTTTTGAGTTCTCCTTTCAATTCTGTTGGTCTATGTGTCTGTTTGGATGCCAGTACCATGTTGTTTTGGTAATCATAGCTTTGTAGTATATTTTGAATTCAGGTAGTATAATGCTTCCAGCTTTATTCTTTTTAAAATATTTTTTAACTTTTATTTTAGGTTCAGGGAACATGTGTAGGTTTGTTATACAGGTAAACTGCATGTCTCGGGGGTTTGGTGTTCAGATTATCTCATCACCTAGGTAATAAGCATAGCACTCAACAGATAGATTTTTGATCCTCTCTCTTTTCCCACCCTCCACACTCAAGTAAATCCCCGGTATCTATTGACCCCCTCTTTGAGTCCATGTGTTCTCGTTGTTCAGCTCCCACTTATAAGTGAGAAATTTCAGTATTTGTTTTCCTGTTTCTACATGAGTTTGCTTTTTATATTATCATTTAGCTTCATTCATGTTGCTGCAAAGGACATTCTCTTTCTTTTATATTGCTGCATTGCATTCCATGATGTATATGTACCATATTTTCTTTATCCAGTCTGTCACTGATGGGCATTTAGGTTGATTTCATGCATTTGCTATTGTGAATAGTGCTGTAATAAACACACATATGCATGTGTTTTTATAGTAGAATGATTTATATTCCTTTAGGTATATACCCAATAATAGGATTGCTGAGTTAAATGGTAATTCTGTTTTAACTTCTTTAAGGAATAATCACATTGCTTTCCACAATGGCTGAGCTATCTCACATTTCCATTAGCAGTGTATAAGAGTTCTTTTTTACCAGTAACCTTGCTAGCACATGTTATTTTTTGACTTCTTAGTAGTAGCCATTCTGACTGGTATGAATAGTAGCCATTCTGATTGTGATAATATCTCATTGTGGTTTTGATTTGCATTTCTCTAATGATTAGTGATTTTGAGCATTTTTTTCATATGCTTGTTGGGCATGTGTCTGTCTTCTTTTGAAAAGTATCTGTTCATGTTCTTTGTCCACATTTTAATGTAATTGTTTGGTTTTTGCTTGTTAATTTGTTTAAATTCCTTCTAGCTTCTAGACATTAGACCTTTATTGGATGCATAGTTTACAAATATTTTCTCCCATTTGGTAGTTTGTCTGTTTACTCTGTTGGTAGTTTCTTTTGTCGTGCAGAAGCTCTTTAGTTTAATTAGGTCCCATTCATCAATTTTTATTTTTGTTGCAATTGCTGTTGGCATTTTTGTCATGAAATTTTTGCCAGGTCTTTTGTCCAGAATAATATTGCCTAATTTGTCTTCCAGAGTTTTTATAGCTTTAGGTTTTACATTTAATTCTTTAAATCCTTCTTCAGTTGATTTTTGTATATGTTATAAGGAAAGGGACCAGTTTCAATCTTCAGCATATGGCTAGACAGATAGCAAAGGACCATTTACTGAATAGGGATTCCTTTCCTCATTGCTTCTTTTTTAAAACTTTGTCAAAGCCAGTTGGTTGTAGTATGTGGCATTATTTCTGAGCTCTGTATTCTGCTTCGTTGGTCTATGTGTCTGTTTTTGTGCCAAAACCATGCTGTTTTGGTTACTGTAGCCTTGCAGTTAGTTTGAAGTCAGGTAATGTGATGCCTCTAGCTTTGTTCTCTTTGTTTAGGTTTGCCTTGGCTATTTAGGCTCTTCTTTGTTTTCATATGAATTTTAAAACAGTTGTTTCTAAGTCTGTGAAGAATATTATAGGTAGTTTGACAGGAATACCATTGAATCTGTAAATTGCTTTTGGATGTATGACCATTTTAACAATATAGATTCAGCTGGTCATGGTTGCTCACACCTGTAATCCCAGCACTTTTGGAGGCCAAGGCAGGTGGATCACTTGAGCTCAGGAGTTTGAGACCAGCCTGGGCAACATGGCGAAACCCTGTCTCTATAAATAATACAAAATATTAGCTGGGCATGGTGATGCATATTTGTGGTCCCAGCTACTGTGGAGGCTACAGTGGCAGGATGACTTGAGCCCAGGAGTTTGAGACTGCAGTGAGTTGAAATTGCAACACTGCGCTCCAGCATAAACAACAGAGTGAGACCCTGTTTCACAATTTAAAGAAAGGAAACTCACACACATAAAATAGTTTTTTTTTAATCCATGACATGGAATATTTTTCCATATGTTGTGTGTCATCTCCAATTTATTTGAGCAGTGTTTTGTAATTCTTGTTGTAGAGATCTTTCAACTCTGATTAGCTGTATTTCTATGTATTTCATTCTTCTGGTGTTAATTGTGAATGAAATTACATTCTTGATTTGGCTCATAGCTTGGATATTCTTGGTGTAGAGGAATGCTACTGATTTTTGTCCATTTATTTTGTACCTTGAAACTTTGCTGAAGTTTTTTAGTTGTTGTTGTTGTTGTTTTGCTTGTTTGTTTGTTTGGTTTTTGTTTTTTTTTATTGGGTCAAGGAGCTCTGGGGCAGAGATCATGGGGTTTTCTAGGTATAAAATCATATCATCTGTGAACAGGGATAGTTTGACTTTCTCTCTTCTTATTTAAATGCTTTTTATTTATTTATTTTGCCTGATTTCTCTGGCCAGGATTTCAATTACTGTGTTGAATAGTAGTGGTGAGAGAAGACACCCTTGTCTTGCTCTGGTTTTCAAAGGGAATGCTTCCACCTTTTGCCCATTTAGTATAATGTTGGCTGTGATTTTGTCATAGATAGCTCTTATTATTTTGAAGAATGTTCCTTCAATGCCTAGTTTGTTGAGGGTTTTTAACATGAAGGAATGTTGAATTTTATCAGAAACCTTTTCTGCGTCTATTGAGATAATCATGTGGTTTCTGTTTTTAGTTCTGTTTGAGGATGAATCATTTTTTACTAATTTGCATATGTTCAACCAGCCTTGCATTCAATGGATGAAGCCTACTTGATTGTATTGAGTTAGCTTTCTGATGTGCTGCTCGATTTGGTTTGCTAGTATTTTCTTGAGGATTTGTGCATCTGCGTTCATCAAGGATGTTGGCCTGAAGTTTTCTTTTGTTGAGTCTCTTCCGGTTTTTAGTAACAAGATGATGCTGGTCTCATAGAATGAGTTAGGAAGGAGTCCCTCTTCCTCAAACTTTTGGAATAGTTTCTGTGAGAATGGTACCCACTCTTCTTTATATATCTCATAGAAATTGGCTGTGAATCCATCAGGTCCTAGACTTTTTTTTCTGGTTGTTAGGCCTTTATTTTTTTTTTTTAACCAATTTAACTTCAGAACTTGTAATTGGTCTGTTCAGGGATTCAATTTATTCCTGGTTCAATCCTGGGAGTTTAAATGTGTCCAGGAAGTCACCTGTTTCTCCTGGGTTTCTAGTTTGTGTGCACAGAGGTATTTGTAGTTAGCTCTGAGGTGGTTTTTTTACCCCACCCCTGTGGGGTCAGCGATAACATCCTCTTTGTCATTTCTGATTGTGTTTATTTAAACCATCTCTCAGTTTTTCTTTATAAGTCTTGGTAGTGGTCTTTTGGTCTTTTTATTTTTTTCAAAATACCATCTCCTACATTCATTCTTTTTATGTTTTTTAATCTCAATTTTCTTCAGTTCAGCTTGATTTTGGTTATTTCTTATTTTCTGCTAGCTTTGGGCTTTTTTTGTTCTTGTTTCTCTAGTTTCTGTGACTGCAGTTTTAGATTGTTAATTGAGATGTTTCTACCTTTTTAATCTGGACATTCAGTGATATAAAATTCCCTCTAAACACTGCCTTAGCTGTGTTCTAAAAATTCTAGTATTTTGTATCTTTGTTCTCACTAATTTCAAAGAATTTCTTGATTTCAGCTTTAATTTTATTAGTTACCTAATAGTAATTCAGAAACAGGTTAATTTCCACGTAATTGTGTAGTTCTGAGTGATTTTCTTAGTATCAATTTCTATTTGTATTTCTCTGTGATCTGAGAGTGTGATTGGTATGATTTTGCTTTTTTTAATTCACTGAGGATTGTTTTATTTCCAATTGTATGATCAATTTTAGAGTACATGCCATTTGCAGATGAGAAGAATGTATATTCTATTGTTTTGGGGTGGAGTATTCTGTAGATATCTATTAGATCAATTTAGTCAAGTGTGGATTTCAGGTCCTGAATCTTTTTCTTAGTTTTCTGTCTCAGTGATCTGTCTAATACTGTTAGTGGGGTGTATAAATTTTCCACTGTTATTGTGTAATTATCTAAGTGTCTTCATGGGTCTTTAAGAACTCGCTGTATGAATCTGAGTGCTCTTGTGTTGGGTGAGTATATGTTTAGGATAGTTAAATCTGCTTGTTTAATCAAGCTGTTTACCATCATGTAATACCCTTCTTTGTCTTTTATGATCTTTGTTGGTTTGAAGTCCATTTTGTCTAAAATTAGGATAGCAACTCCTGCTTTTTTTTGTGTTTTACCATTTGCTTGGTAGATTGTTCTCCATCCCTTTACTTTAGCCTATGTGTGAGATAGGTCTCTTGTAAACAGCATACCATTGCTTCTTTCTTCTTTATCCAACTTGAAACTTTGTGCCTTTTAATTGGGGCATTTAGCTCATTTACAATAGAAGTTAATATTGATATGTACAGGTTTGTTCCTGTTTTCATGTTGTTAGCTGGTTATTATGCAGACTCGTTTGTACAATTACTTTATAGTGTCGCTGGTCTTTGTACTTAAGTGTGTTTTTGTAGTTGCTGGTCACTATCTTTCCTTTCCATGGTTAGCACTTCCTTCAGAACCTCTTGTATGCCAAATCCGGTGGTAACAAAATCCCTTAGCATTTGCTTGTCTGAAAATGATATTATTTTTCCTTCACTTATGAAGCTTAGTTTGGGTGAATATGAAACTCTTGGTTAGAATTTTTTTTTTTTGTTTTAAGAATGCTGAATATAGGCCCCAATTTTTTTCTGGCATTTAGGGTCTCTCCTGAAATATCCACTGTTTACTTGATGAGGTCCTCTTTGTGGGTGACCTGCCCCTTTTCACTAGATGCCTTTAACATTGCTTCTTTCATTTCAGCCTTGGAGAGTTTTTGCCTATGTGGCTTGGAGATGGTCTTCTTGTGTAATTTTTACAGAGGTTCTCTGCATTTCCTGAAATTGAATGGTGGCCTCTCTAGTCAGTTTGGGGAAATTTTCATACACAGTATTCTCAAACATGTTTTCCAAGTTCCTTACTTTCTCCTCATCTTTTTCAGTGATGACAGTGAGTTGTAAACTCAGTCTCTTTACATAATTGCATATTTCTCAGAGGATTTTTTCCATTCTTTCTTCTCTTTTTTTTTTAAATCTGAGTGTGTTAATTCAGAGAACCAGATCAGAGGTTCTTTTCTCAGCTTGGTCTATTCTGCTATTAATACTTGTGACTGAATTATAAAACTCTTGTAGTGTGTTTTACAGCTTAGCCTATTAGTTTCCTTTTTTTTTTTTTTTTTTTTTTTGAGACAGAGTCTCACTCTGTCACCCAAACTGGAGTGCAATGGCATGATCTTGGCTCACTGCAACCTCTGGCTCCTGGGATCTCCCACCTTAGCCTTCTGAATAGCTGGGATTACAGGTGCATGCCACCACACCTGGCTTATTTTTTTGTATTTTTAGTAGAGACGGGGTTTTATCATGTTGGACAGGCTGGTCTTGAACTCCTGACTTAAGTGATCCACCTGCCTCAGCCTCCCAAAGTGCTGGGATTATAGGCATGAGCCACTGCACCCAGCCGCTTCTTTCTTATAATGGCAATTTTGTCTATCAGTTCCTGTATCACTTTATTGTAATCCTTAAATGCCTTGCATTGGTTTTCAGCTTTCTCCTGAATCTCAATGATCTTCATTCCTTTCCATATTCTGAATTGTATTTCTTTCATTTCAGCCATTTCAGCCTGCTTAAGAACCCTTTCTGGCTGTACGCAGTGGCTCACACCTGTAATCCTAGCACTGTGGGAGGCTGAGGCCAAGTCATGTGGTTTTCTTGAGCCAAGGAGTTCAAGACTGGTCTGGGCAACATGTCAAAACCCTGTCTATACAAAATATACAAAAATTAGCCAGGTATGGTGGCACACACCTTTAGTCTCAGCTACTTGGGAGGCTGAGGTGGGAAGATCACCTGAGCCCAGGGAGGCTGAGGCAGCAGTGAGCTGTGACTGTGACATTGCATTCCTGCTTGAGCGACAGAGTGAAACCCTGTCTTGAAAAAAAAAACAAAAAACACAAACAAAAAAACCCTTGCTGGGGCACTACTGCCATCGTTTAGACAGAAAAGAAGACATTCTGGCTGTTTGGGTTGCCAGTATTCTTGTGCTGGTTCTTTCTCATCTCTGTGAGCTGATGCTTCTTTACCTGCTGTGTAATTTGAGTAGTCAGTAGTCTGTCTTCTGGATGTTTTCAGAGGGCCTAGGCTTTGTGCAGGGCTTTTATTTTTAACTGAATTATTGTCTTTAATTTCATAGGTGGGTGTATTAGGAAAGTATTTTTGGTGTTGAAGTTTGGGCAGTGATCCAGTAGATGGCACTTAAGTATAATGGCCTGTAAGTAGGCTCTCGTTCAACCTCATGGCTCCTCTGTATTTCTTCATGATTTCAGTCGTGCACCTTCTCAGTACTATGAAAGTGTGGGTTCCTTTTTTGCTAATGTGCTGTCTGCAGGTCTCAGCTTGACAGTCCTGGGCTGCAGTGTGCAGCTCTGAGATAAACTCAGGCTTCATATTTCCTACCCAACTTAGAGGCAGCAGGGGAAGGGACATTATCAGTGGTTGCATCACAGGGCCTTTCACTGGTCTCCTGGGGCTCCACCCCAGAGATATGCAGAACCGCTACTAATCAGTGTGATTGGCCTGGGGTGGAGCTGTACACTCTGCACCCAAGTCAGGGGTGGGGCATCCTTGGTTATGAGTGGGAGGTGAGGAGTTTACAGGGGAGACATATTGGTCTCTTCTCTGTAGGGCAACTGCAGCATGCTGGAGTTGTGTTTAAAGTGCTCAGAGTCTTTGTTCCTTTCCCAGTTCCTGGGCAACAAGGACAGTACCTCTGCTATGGCAGTGGCAGAGGGGCTTTTGGTTGCTTCTGAGAACTCTACCTCAGAGAAACTCAGATCCTCTGCTACTGGAAATGCTCAGCCAGGGGGTGGGGTGTCTGTGCTGCTGGCCCAAGCTTGACGAAGAACAGGGGTTGGAGGGCTCAGAGGGGAAAAGACTGGGCAACTCTCCATATGGTGACTGTGGCATGCTACAGTCATGAGTGTGAGTGAAGCCTTCAGGCTCTTTGTTTCTTCCCCAGCCTGCTCAGACCACCATGGTAGTGGCCAAAGGGCTGCTCTGTAGCCACGACCAGTGAATATCCTCAGCCAGAGGTGGGGCAGCTGCTGTGTGGTCCCAAGCAGTGGCCCCTGCCTGGTGAACAGTAGAGATCAAGGGCTTACAGGAAACAGAGATTGGGTTCCTCTCTGTGTGGTGGCTGTAGTTTGCTGGAGATGTCAGCATAGCGACCAGGCCCTTTTTTGCTTCCTCAGCCCAAGGGCGGTCAGGGTGATTCCACTGAAGCTGCAATGGCAGAGGGGTCTACAGGCTGTTCCTGGGATTTTCAAAAAAATGCAGAGCGACCTCTGACTGAAGTGTTCAGGCAGGGGCAGCGTAGTTGTGGTGGAGTCCTAGGTTGGGATGTCCCACTCAGTAAGGAAAAACAGGAACAGGAGCCCATGTGGAGAACGGTCTGGCTCCTTTTCCTTGAGACAGCTTCTCTACGCTAGGGGTCTGCCAAAGTCCCTAATCACTGTGATCCCTCCAGAGCCTGAGGACAACAGCTGTGAGGACTGGGGTAGCAAAAATGGGGGCCTGCCTCTCCCACTAGGAGCTCTGTTCCAAAGAAGTACAGAGCTGCTGCTGGCCAAAGAGCCCAGGTATGGCTGGTGTGGCTACACTAGGGTCCTAGGCCACTTGCAAGGTGCAGTGGAGGCTAGGCCTGCATTTGCTACTGTGCAGCCCTCTGGATTCATCCCCTTTCCTGGGGACATGCAAGAGAGCCTGACCTCCTCCATTGCTGGAGCTGTAGTTGCTGATGCCAGGATGCCCAGCATTATGATATACAAGGCTCCTGGGACTTCATGTATGCCTGAGTGATGGCTCTGCCCAGACTCTATGTAGCTCTTCATGTTAGTCTGGAGGCTCCAGTAGGGAGTGGGGAGCAAATGGAGGAATCTCCTGGGCCCAGAGTTGCAAAGGTCTGTGGCAGACATGTGGTTCTCCTCAGACTTTCACGCACCATTTCCCCATGGTGGGGGAGCCTCCCTGGGCTCCATGTCATGCTCCTTTCTGTTATCTGTGAATCAAGTTGTTTCCTTGATGAATTCTAATGTGTGTGCTTGAATGTTCCAGTGGAAAAACTGGTATTTACTCACTGTTCTTTCTTCTCTAAGTGTGGCACACACCAGCTGCTTCTATTCAGCTATCTTGGTTCCTCCACTGTCATTAACATTTTGATTGGGATTGCATTGAATCTGTAAGTTGCTGTGGGTAGTATAGACGTTCATTAGTAATTATTCTAATCCATGAGCAAGAGATACTTTTTTATTTTCTTGTGCCTCCTTTAATTTCTTTGCCAGTGTTTTACAGTTAGTTTTCTTTGTAGAGATCTTTCACTTCTTTGTTAAATTTATTCTTATTTTTTTTTGTGTGTGGCTATTGTATATGAAATTGCTTTCTTGATTTCTATTTTAGATTGTCCATTGTTGATATATAAAAATGCTACTGATTATTGTATGTTAATTTCATATCCTGAAACTTTGTTCAATTTTCTTATTGTTCTCAGAGTTTCTTGGAATCTTTAGATTTTTCAAAATTTGAGATCATGTCATCTACAAATAAGGATAATTTGACTTCTTCCTTTCCAATTTGGATGCCCTTTATTTCTTTTTCTTGCCTAATTGCTCTAACTAGAATTTCTAGTACTATATGGTCTAAAAGTAATGAAAGTGGATATCTTTGGTTTGCTTCAGATCTTAGTTTTCAATTTTTATTTTCCATTCAGTATATTAACTGTGGGATTGTCATATATGCCCTTTATTGTGTGATGTGTCTTCATTTGATGAAGAAAACAAACTCTGACAATTATTTAGAGAGTTTTATACTGAGTCAACTATGAGTGACCAGGGCCCAAATCACATTCTCAGGAGGTCCTGAGAACATGTATCGAAGGTGTTTGGGTTACAACTTTGTTTCATATATTTTAGGGAGACGTAAGACATCAATCAATTCATATAAATTATACATTAATTTGGTTCAGAAAGATAGGACAACTCAAAGCAAGGGTTACATGTCATAAGTGGATTCAAAGATTTTCTGATTGGCAATTTGTAGGAAGAGTTGTTACCCAACACCTGGAATCAACAGAAAGGTGGGTCTAGGTTAAGACAAGTGGTTGTAGAAACCAACTTTCTTATTATGTAGATGAAGTCTCAGAGTTGGCTGCCCTTAGAGACTATAGATGGCAAATGTTTCCTATTTAGATTTCTCCAAGGTGCTAGATTCTCAGTTAACATCTTTAGAATTGGGAGGGCTTCAAAGGAGAAAGAGCTATGTTAACAGACATTCTTTGCAGATGTAAATTTTTCTCCACTAAAGACAACTTTTCAGGGCCATTTCAAAATATGGCAAAGAAACATGTTTTGGTGTAAAATATTTTGATTTCTTTTTTTTATCTATCGTGATATTATACTAGAATCAGGTTATAATTTGGTAAGTGATTGTTACAAAGAGTCTGTTTGGTCAGCCTTAACATCTTTGTTTTAATGTTAATGCTGGTAATTTGTGTTTGAACCTAAAGAAAGTAGAGAATGATAGGGCATGTCTGATCCTCCACTTCCCTGTCATGGCCTGAACTATATTTCCAGGTTTCTTTGGGTTCCCTAGGCAAAGAGGAGTTTTTATTCAGTCAGCTGGAGGGCTTAGAATTTAATTTTGGTTTAAAGTTCCTTCTATACCCAATTTGTTGAAATTTTTTATTATGAAGGCAGGTTGAAATTTATTGAATGACATTTTTATGCTTTATTGAAATGATAATATGGTTTTTGACCTTGATTCTGTTGCTGTGATGTATAAAATGTATTAATCTGTGCATGCATAACCATTATTGCATCCCTGTGATGAATGCCACTTGATCATAGTGAATGATCCTTTTACTGTGTTCTTGAATTTGGTTTGCTAGTTCTTTTTTTTTTAGAGAAATTTTGCATCTATGTTCATCAGGGATATTGGTCAATAGTTTTCTTAGCTGTATCTTTGTCTAGTTGTGGTAAAAGGTAATGTTCGCCTTATAGAATGATTTAGAACAATTATTTTAAGCTGTCTTTTTATATTTGAAAATATTTGAACTTCTATAATTATTTCTTAAAATATTTTAGTGAATAAAATATGATATTAAACTTCAAAAACAGAACACACACCCAAAATCAAATGAAAAGTTTAATTTTTGGTATAGAGACTTTCAGAAATACATTGTAGCGACCAAAGGAAAACTTCCCTTTCATCCTCTGAAAGTTTGCTGAAAAATTAACTCACAAAAGACAGATTAATTAGCAAAAAGGCATACAAATTGTATTAATATGTACATGGGAAGCATCACTAAATGATTACTCAACCCACTAATGGGACACAGAAACTTGCAAAACCATCTTGAGGTTACAGAAAGAATAGGGATTTGGATCATGTCAGACTAGGTTACAGAAGGGAGAGAAGATGTGGCCTTGCTAGCAAAAACATTCTTGTTATGTAAATAAAACCTCACAGGTAGCAGCTTTCAGAGAAAATAGATGCTAAATATTTCTTTCAGACCTTTATATGTATCAGACTCTCACTTATTATTTTTAGATTCAGAAAATCGAAGGACTGGCTGCATCAATGCAAGAATATCTACAGATGCAAATTTCCCCCACAAAAGACAGCTTTGCAGAGTCACTTAAGTTGGCTGGTCCTGTTTCAGCCATCTCAAAATATGTCAAATATATATATTTTGGGGTAGAATATTGTAATTTCCTTCAATATCATTAAGAATACTAAAAATTGCAAATCACACAATTTTTTAAAAATGGGTGTTAAATATTCAAGAAGTAGTTAGTAACTGTTTTCCTCCTTTCTTTTTTGCTTCTCACTGCTTGTACCTAAAATGGCACAGGTTCAACTCAACTAAGTTATTGGGCAATTCTCTTCATGAAGTTCTGAAGTATAAACCAAAAAGTATCTGAAGCAAGTCTCAATCAATTTATAAAGTTTATCATGCCAAGGTTAAGAACATATCTGTGACACAGCCTCAGGAGGTCCTCATGAAGTGTGCCCAAGGAGGTCAGGGTACAGCTTGCTTTTATACAGTTTAGGGAGACATAATACATCAGTCAATACATGTCACATTTACACTGGTTCTATCTGGAAGTGTAGGGCAACTTGAAGTCGGGGAGCTTTGAGGTCATAGGTAGATTTAAACATATTCTGATCGGTACACAGTTATTATCTATGGAAAGGAATGTCTGGGTTATGATAAAGGGTTGAGGAGATTTAGCTTTTATTATGCAGATGAAGCCTCCAAGTAGCAGGCTTTAGAAAGAATAGACTGTAAATGTTTCTAGTAAGACTTAAAATGTGTGTTGATGGTAATCCTGGAGGGGTGTAATGAGGAATGTCCAATACCCACTTCCTGTCATGGCCTGAACCAGTTTTTCAGGTTAAATTTTGGGGTGCCCTGGCTGAGGAGGAAGTCCATTAAGATGGTTTTGGGGAGGCCTTCAAATTTTGGTTAACACACGCAATTTCTATAGGCAGTAAATTTTTTTCGATGATTTTATTTCTAGAAATGTATTTTGTTACCATTTTCTCATTAACAATAATGTGGCCAGAAATAGACAAACAGTTTTACATTTGGGGCGATTTATTTTTGCTTCATCATTGTGAAAGCATCATTTCTTAAGCAGATCTCTTGTCATTGCGAGGCAGGAGAATAGGGTCTGGAGGCAGGAAACATAAGGCCAACATGTGTTGACTTCCCAGAACTGAATCAAAAGGAAAACTCCACCTCTCCACACCCAAATAACAAAAGGATCAAAGGCTACTCCCTTTGTAATCCCACCTTTTCCATGGCTTCACAGATGAAAAATGGAAAGTACCTCTGATTTTTCACCTCCTGCAACTGATCAGACTGGTTGCCAGCCAGGTCTTGATTTACATAGGGTGTAACTAAGTCACCAATGGGAAACTTCTAGAGGGTATTTAATCGCCCCAAAAAATCTGTTACCAGTGCTCTTCAGTTGCTTGCTCAAGCCCAATCCCACTCCATGGAGTGTACTTTTTTTGTTTGAGATAGAGTCTCACTCTCTTGCCCAGGATGGAGTGCAATGGTGCAATCTCTGCTCACTGCAACCACCGCCTCTCTGGTTCATGCAATTCTGCCTCAGCCTCATGAGTAGCTGGGATTATAGGCATGTGCTACCACACCCAGCTACATTTTTGTATTTTTAGTAGAGATGGAGTTTCACCATGTTGGCCAGACTGGTCTGAACTCCTGACCCCAAATGATCTGCCTACGTTGACCTCCCAAAGTGTGTGGAGTGTACTTTTGTTTCAATAGATCTGTACTTTCGTTCTTTCATTCTTTAATTGCTTTGTTTATATGTTTTGTCCAATTCTCTGTTCAAAACACCAAGAACTTGGATGGCTGGTAGTCAAGACCCTCCACTGGTAATAATTATTGCTTCAATTTTTATGCCAAATTTATCTAGGCAAAATATATACATATATATATGCCTTGCTTTCTGGCAAAATCATTTTTCTCTATACATTTAAGTTTTATTTTTTTCTCTACTGTTGTACTATTTTGATTATGAATTTAGGCATTTCCTTAATTGACAAAAAGTTATTTTCTTTTTTGTAATAAATTTTATATATTTTATTACAATCCTAATTATCCTTATTTATTCTTTCTTAAGTGCTCTGGCAAAGTTTGAAAATTTTACCTCATAATATTTTCATACAAACTATTATTTTCTTTAACATCTCCATTTCAATTCTTTGTTTTTCTCTCTCTTATATATTTTTATATTTTTACTTCAAAAACTTACCATTGATAATAAAATAGCCTATTAAGCCCTTTTGATACAAATATAAAAATTTAAATATTTTTCTTCTCAACCTCTTACTGTATCTATTATTTTAATAGCAATATAAATATCAATATATATTTATAATTACAAATAAATTATGCTGAAAATTTTACTTTCAAAAATTGTTCTCATCATTAGCATTTCTTTTAAAATAATACTTTAAAAATAATTGGTTCTTATTTTCCTTATCTGTGGATTTAATATTCATTATTGTAGTTTTCATACAATATCCTATTTTTTTACATTTTTTACATTTTTATTTTAATTTATGTATTGTAGTAGTTTTTTAAGAGAGATATATAATTGCTATATTTTAAAATTCCTTGAGAATTTAAGCATGATATTGCTTTGATTACACACATAAATTTTCTGGTGATAAAATTATAAAATTATAAGTTCTTCTCTCTTTCATGCGCGTCCGTGTGAAGAGACCACCAAACAGGCTTTGTGTGAGCAGTAAAGCTGTTTATTTCACCTGGGTGCAGGTTGGGCTGAGTCTGAAAAGAGAGTCAGCGAAGGGAGATGGATTATCATTAGTTCTTACAGGTTTTGGGATAGGCGGTGAAATTAAGAGCAATGTTTTGTGGGCAGGGGTGGATCTCACAAAGTACATTCTCAAGGGTGGGGAGAATTACAAAGAACCTTCTTAAGAGTGGGGGAGATTACAAAGTACATTGATCAGTTAGGGTGGGGCAGGAACAAATCACAATGGTGGAAAATCATCAGTTAAGACTATTTTTACATCTTTTGTGGATCTTCAGTTACTTCAGGCCATCTGGATGTATATGTGCAAGTCACAGGGGATGCGATGGCTTGGCTTGAGCTCAGAGGCCTGACATTCCTGTCTTCTTATATTAATAAGAAAAATAAAACAAAATAGTGTTGAAGTGTTGGGGTGGTGAAAATTTTGGGGGGATGGTATGGAGAGAGAATGGGCGATGTTTCTCAGGGCTGCTTCAAGCGGGATTAGGGTCGGCGTGGGAAACTAGAGTGGGAGAGATTAAGCTGAAGGGAGATCTTGTGGTAAGGGATGATATTGTGGGGATGTTAGAAGAAACATTTGTCGTATAGAATGATTGGTGATGGCCTGGATACGGTTTTGAATGAACCGAGAAACTAAACGGAAGATACAAGGTCCGAATAAAAGGAGAAAAATGGGTATTAAAGGACTAAGAATTGGGAGGACCCGGGACATCTGATTAGAGAGTGCCTAAGGAGATTCAGCATAGTCCTGCCAGCAAAGATTATTTATTTACTTCAAGAGTTAAGAGTGGCAGTTTGGGGATAGCACCAGGAGATATCAGCTGTCATGGCTTGGAGAAACAGTGTAAACCGGCAGTGTAAACAAGAGCAGGGCATGTATGAATAGTTGAGAATGGTGAATAGGAGTATGACTAGACAGAAGATAGTGGGGATGACAAGTTTTTTTGGGGGGCGCACAGTCTAAGTTGGTCTGGTGTCTGGAATGAGACTGGGGCCTAATAAAAGGAGTGTCTATACAGGAGCTTAAATGGGCTGTACCTTGTAGCATTCTGAGGACAGGTCTGACTTCTGAGAAGGGAAAGTGGTAAAAGTATTGTCCAGTCCTTCTTAGGTTGGTGGCTGAGCTTGGTGAGGTGTGTTTTTAAAAGACCTTTAGTCCATTCTACTTTTCTTGAAGACGGAGGATCGTAAGGGATATAAAGGTTTCACTGAATACTAAGAGCCTGAAAAACTGCTTGGCTGATTTGACTAATAAAGGCTCATCTGTTATCAGACTGTATTGAGGGTGGGAAGGCTAAACTGAGGAATTATGTCTGACAGAAGGGAAGAAATGACTGTGGTGGCCTTCTCAGACCCTGTAGGAAAGGCCTGTACCTATCCAGTGAAAGTATCTACCTAGACTAAGAGGTATTTTAGTTTTCTGACTGGGGGCATGTTGAGTAAAGCTAATTTGCCAGTCCTGGGTGGGGCAAATCCTCGAGCTTGATGTGTAGGGAAGGGAGGGGGCCTGAATAATCCCTGAGGAGTAGTAGAATAGCAGATGGAACACTGAGAAGTTATTTCCTTGAGGATAGATTTCCACCATGGAAAGGAAATGAGAGGTTCTAAGAGGCGGGCTAGTGGCTTGTACTATAGCATAACCTGCCTTTGCTGGTGTGTGGCAATTAGGCCTGGTGGAACCGCCATCAATAAATCAAGTGTGATCAGGGTGAGGAACAGGAAAGAAGGAAATTTGGGGAAATGGGGTGAATGTCAGGTGGATCACAGAGATACAGTCATGGGGGTCAGGTGTGGTATCAGGAATAATGTGGGAGGCCGGATTGAAGTCTGGGCCAGGAACAATGGTAATTGTGGGACTTAACAAAGAGTGAGTACAGCTGAAGGAGCCGGGAAGCAGAAAGTGTATGTGTCAGGTATGAGGAAGAAAATAGATTTTGGAAGTTATGAGAACTGTAGAGAGTGAGTTGAGCATAGTTTGTGATTTTGAGGGCCTTTAAAAGTATTAAAGCAGTGGCAGCCGCTGCATGCAGACATGAGGGCTGGGCTAAAACAGTAAGGTCAAGTTGTTTGGACAGAAAGGCTACAGGGTGTTGTCCTGGCTCTTGTGTAAGAATTCTGACCGCGCTAACCATGCCTACGAAGGAAAGGAGTTGTTGTTTTATAGAAGGTGCTTGGGTTTGAGAGATCAGTCGGACACGATTGGCAGGGAGAGCACGTGTGTTTTTATGAGAATTATGCCAAGATAGGTAACAGATGAGGAAGAAATTTGGGCTTGATTGAAGTAATGGGGGCTGTCTGTGAAGCTTTGCGGCAGTACAGCCTAGGTAATTTGCTGAGCTTGATCGGTGTCAGGGTCAGTCCAAGTGAAAGCGAAGAGAGGCTGGGATTAAGGGTGCAAAGGAATAGTAAAGAAAGCATGTTTGAGATCTAGAACAGAATAATGGGTTGTAGAGGCAGGTATTGAGGATAGGAGAGTATATGGGTTTGGCACGACGGGGTGGATAGGCAAAACAATTTGGTTGATAAGGCGCAGATCCTGAACTAAATTGTAAGGCTTGTCTGGTTTTAGGACTGGTAAAATGGGGGAATTGTAAGGAGAGTTTATAGGTTTTAAAAGGCCATGCTGTAGCAGGCGAGTGATAACAGGCTTTAATCTTTTTAAAGTGTGCTTCGGGATGGGATATTGGCGTTGAGTGGGGTAAGGGTGATTAGGTTTTAATGAGATGGTAAGGGGTGCATGATCAGTCACCAAGGAGGGAGTAGAGGTATCTTATACTTGTGGGTTAAGGTGGGGGGATACAAGAGGAGGATGCAAAGGAGGCTCTTGATTGGGAAGAAGGGCGGCAATGATATATAGCTGTAGTCCAGGAATAGTCAGGGAAGCAGATAATTTAGTTAACATGTCTCAGCCTAATAAGGGAACTGGGCAGGTGGGGATAACTAAAAAGGAGTGCTTATAAGAGTACTGTCTCAGTTGGCACCAGAGTTGGGGAGTTTTAAGAGGTTTAGAAGCCTGGCCGTCAATACCCACAACAGTTCTGGAGGCAAGGGAAACAGGCCCTTGAAAAGAAGGTAATGTGGAGTGGGTAGCCTCCGTATTGATTAAGAAGGGGACGGGCTTACCTTCCACTGTGAGAGTTACCTGAAGCTCGGCGTCCGTGATGGTCTAGGGGGCTTCCGAGGCGATCAGGCAGCGTCAGTCTTCAGCTGCTAAGCCGAGAAGGAGTCAGTCAGAGCGCCTTGGGCCAGAGTTCCAGGGGCTCTGGGAGTGGCTGCCAGGTGAGTTGAACAGTCCGATTTCCAGTGGGGTCCCGCACAGATGGGACATGGCTTAGGAGGAATCCTGGGCTTCAGGCATTCCTTTGCTTGGTGGTCAGATTTCTGGCACTTGTAGCAAGCTCCTGGGGGAGGAGGTTCTGGAGGAACGCCTGGCTGCTGCGGTTCAGGCATTTGGAAGTTCTTGTGTGCTGGAGATGTGGCTGGGGTTTGTCTCACAGTGGAGGCAAGGAATTGCAACTTTTTTCTATTATTGTACACCTTGAAGGCGAGGTTAATTAAATCCTGTTGTGGGGTTTGAGGGTCGGAATTTAATTTTTGGAGTTTTATTTAATGTCGGGAGCAGATTGGGTAATAAAATGTATTTTGAGAATAAGACAGCCTTTTGACCTTTTAGGGCCTAGGGCTGTAAAGTGTCTCAGGGTTGCTGTCAAACGAGTCATGAACTGGGCTGAATTTTTATATTTGATGAAAAAGAGCCTAAACGCTCTCTGATTTGGGATAAAGAAAAAGGAGCATTAACCTTGACTATGCCTTTAGCTCCAGCCACCTTTTTAAGAGTAAATTGCTGGGCAGGTGGGAGAGGGCTAGTCACTGAATAAAAACTGTAAGTTGGACCAGGTGTGAGGAGGGGAGGTGATAAAAAGATTACAGGGTGGAGGAGCGGAGGCTGAGGAAGAATTGGGACCTGGCTCAGCCTGGCGAGGAGGGGAGAGGTCAGATGGGTCTGTATAAAAGGAAGATTAGAAAGACCCAGCGACACTTGGGGTTGGGACTGAGGGGACAGGAGGGAGGGAAAGAAGGAAGATTTGGGACGAGTTGCATTGGGCACAGAGACTAGGAAGGGACTGATGCGTGAAAGAATGCCTGGATGTCAGGCACCTCAGACCATTTGCCCATTTTATGACAAGAATTATTTAGATCTTGTAGGATGGAAAAATTGAAAGTGCCATTTCCTGGCTATTTGGAACTACTGTCGAGTTTGTATTGGGGTCAAGCAGCATTGCAGAAGAAAATAAGTCATTTAAGTTTTAGGTCAGGTGTGAGTTGAAGAGGTTTTAAGTTTTTGAGAACACAGGCTAAGGGAGAAGAAGGAGGAATGGAAGGTGGAAGCTTACCCATAGTGAAGGAGGCAAGCCCAGAGAAAAGAGTAGAGACACGGAGAAGGGGTGGGGGGTTCTTGCCCTCCAGAAAAGCAGAGAAGGGGTTGGGGCATGGAAATAAGGGATTGGGGCACAGAGATAAGAGGTCAGGGTGTGGATGTAAGGGATTGGGGCTCAGAGATAAGAGGTTGGGATGGGGAAATAAGCGACTGGGGGGTTCTTGCCCCCTAGGAAAGCGGGACTTGCCGCTAAGGGTGAAGGAGAAGGGGTTGAGGGGTACTTGCCCCTGCCCCAGGAAAGCGGGACTTGCCACTAAGGGTGAAGGAGAAGGGGTTGAGGGTTTCTTGCCCCTCCCCCAGGAAAGCGGGACTTGCCGCTAAGGGTGAAGGACCAAGGCAGGCGTCCCTGTATGGTGTGACAGCTTTGAAACGTGGGTGAACAATCAGAGAGGCATCCCTGCAAAGATTAAACACCAAGGGAAGGCTGCCTTCCCAGTCCGTGACCGGTGCAGGAGTTTTGGGTCCACAGATAAAACGTGTCTCCTTTGTCTCTACCAAAGGAATTGAAAGGAATTGAAATTAAGAGAAGGGAGAGATTGAAGTGTGGCGCCAAGATTGAAAGGAGAAAGAGGTGGAGGGATAGTGAGGGAGCTTGGAGAAGAGAGTAAAAAGAGGCCGCTTACCAGATTTGAAATTGGTGACATGTTTCTTGGGCTGGTTGGTCTGAGGACCTGAGGTCATAGGTGGATCTTTCTCATGGAGCAAAGAACAAGAGGAAGGGATTGATCTCCCAAGGGAGGTCCCCCGATCTCAGTCAGGGCACCAAATTTCATGTGCGTCCATGTGAAGAGACCACCAAACAGGCTTTGTGTGAGCAGTAAAGCTGTTTATTTCACCTGGGTGCAGGTGGGCTGAGTCCGAAAAGAGAGTCAGCGAAGGGAGATGGATTATCATTAGTTCTTACAGGTTTTGGGATAGGCGGTGAAGTTAAGAGCAATGTTTTGTGGGCAGGGGTGGATCTCACAAAGTACATTCTCAAGGGTGGAGAGAATTACAAAGAACCTTCTTAAGGGTAGGGGAGATTACAAAGTACATTGATCAGTTAGGGTGGGGCAGGAACAAATCACAATGGTGGAATGTCATCAGTTAAGGATATTTTTACATCTTCTGTGGATCTTCAGTTACTTCAGACCATCTGGATGTATATGTGCAAGTCACAGGGGATGTGATGGCTTGGCTTGGTCTCAGAGGCCTGACACTCAAAATGTTGTAGCTATTTTTCCAACAATTTTTGACTTGTAAGTTTTTTATGGAAAAAGACTAAGATTATGCTTTTTTCTATAAAAATACTCCTATTATTGTTTTCCCTTGTCAGCTTGCTTGTCAACTTTTAAATTCATAGTTTTGATATAGTTATAAATTCATATATGTAGATATGTATACACTTTACATTAAAATTGGGCTTTAAACATGGTGAAATAAGGATTATGACTTTTATTTCATTTATGGTAGTTGAAGGTGATGTAAACTATATCTGTAAAGTTCGTTAGTCACCACAGAGAAATCTATCACTAATAAAGATGAAGCTGAGTTTATATTAGGATTGTTAGCAATTTTATTTCAATACAGAATGGGAAATATGTGCTAAATAACTAGAAATTTCAGATATTATAACAGTATGACTAGAGCATATCTATTTTCTTTTACAAATGACAAAGTTTTTAAAAAAATTAATTTTAATGTTTTAGGTTCTTTGTGTAAAAAAAGAGAAAGCAAAATCTTTTAGATATATTTTAATTATTAACTCCACTTCCTGTCTCCTTGATGAATTAATTCAGAACAAATATCCTAGTTTTTTCTCATTTAGACTTGTACTTTTCATTTTAAGCACAGTGACTGGAATTCAGTTTTAAAAGCCCTTGCTTTTATTTCCAGTGCCACTGTCAATCTCTCAACAATTCACTTGACCTTTCTTTTCAATTGGTAATAGCAGTGGAAATAATGACTTTGTCCTGTAATAATAATCATAAGAGAACAAATAATTTTTATAATGACAGTCTACACTTAGTGAAGAAATATCCTTTAAAAGAAAGATTTATCATTATTATATAATTTTCTTGTGTGTAAGGCAATTATAAGACCTTACTTTTATTTCTGGTATTTTCAGAGGACTGCTGAATGACCTTAAATATGTTTCCTAAATTCTCTATTTGTCAGACTATGATGGAATCAATGTATGTTTCATGCTTTACATTTTTTTGAGAGAGAATTATGTTTTTAAGATTACTGTTTTCCCCTGATCTTATTTTATTAATTTTTCCTGGTACTTGATGAGCCTCCATTTCTTCATTCACATGAGAAGTATATACTACTATTTCTTGAGCTACTTTTTCTTCTTCTCTTTTTTTTTTTTTTTTTTTTTTTGAGACAGTCTCACTCTGTTGCCCAGGCTGGAGTGCAGTGGCACCATCTCACTGCAACTTCTGCCTCCCGGGTTCAAGTGATTCTCCTGCCTCAGCCTCCCGAGTTACTTTTTCTATACTTGATTCTTTCCTCCTGGAATTACCATGTTAAGTTTGTTAATTCTCTTGAATTTCCTCATAACGCCCACTAATTTAATTATTTTCATTTTATTTTTGTAAGAATTCTAGCTTTAAGTCAAATTTTCTACAGTAACTTCTCTGTTGAAGCTGTCACTCATTACATTAAAAAGTTTAACAGGTTTGTATTTTATTTAAGAGAATTTCGTGATCACCAATATTTTCTCTTCCCCAAATTATTAAACTGTTTGCTATTTAGTATTTCTGTGTCTTACTAAGGTCCAACTACTATATATTTAAATTAAATATTCTAAATGTATTTTTTCTCTTTTTCTGATTTTAACTATTGATGATATTGAACCTCTAATGCTATTTCCTTCTTATGAGCCTGTGATTTATTAAATAATTTCTATCGTTTATTGTACTTGTAAATAAAAACTTATATTTATTGGCAAATGGTGTGGATTTTGACTAGAATGTGGGTCACTGTTTCAAGTATCTGCTTCATATAGATTTTTGCTCTAAATAATAAACTTTTTGTCCATTGTTAATTTATTTTCTTCCTTCATTCCTCCTTCTTTCATTCTTCTTCATTGATAAATTTGGCTCTAAAAATTTATTTGATAGCAAAATCTAATTTGAATTGACATGAAGATAAAGGACACACACACACACACACATTCTACCAAATGAATAAGCATGAACTTCCTGTTTCTGGAATCAATTTAGATAGTTTTAAAAGCCCTTTTTTGTTTATATTAAACTTAATTCTTCTCATTACTCATTTATTAAGGAACATTCCTTTTCCACATAGTAACTATACTGCTTCTTTCTGTAAGTCATTGTGTTTTATAAATTTATAAGCCATGAGAATAATGTTGTTAATTTCAGAATTCAGTAGGGATTTCTGAAAAAAACATGAGCTGAAGCACAAGCTGTTATCATTAACATACCCTCTAGAATGATGTTCTTACTAAAATTAATTGACTTCTTTTTATTTTTACAGTAATAGCCTTATTATTTTACTGCAAAGGATGACACCACCAATAAGAAAAACTTAACTCTTTATCCACATTCCAGGAATTCACTTATTTTAAAATATGAGCAAACTAGTGAAAGAATAAAAGGACAGTTATAGACAATATTATTTCTCATGGATAAAAAAATAGTATTGGGTAAATTAACTTGATTAAAATAAGCCTTTCTAATGATAAGAATATTAAATAGGATATATTCCATTTCAAAAATACTTTCAGAATTGTAATAAATGCAAGAGAAAATTTACATATCATATACAATTTTCCAATTTATTAACTTGATTACATTATAACAAATTGATAGCATAGGATTAAATTATAATTTAAAATATTTATATCCAACTTTCAGCCTATGTGTTTTCATATTATTTTAGAAAAATAAATTACAATATATAGATACATGAGTTTGAGGTCCTACCTAATATATATAAATCTCAAGAGTCGTAACAACCTCCAACCTACTTTCTTCCTTTTTTTTAAATTGATAATTTTAAGTCTAAATGTTATTTGTTGGCAAAATATTATTTGAACTGATATGTGGATGTAGGGGATATGTGACCTTCACTGATGTTAGTTGGAATGAATTTATATATTTATCTGCAAAAGTATAATTGATGGCTTTAATTACAGCATGCTGTCCCAAACCATTCATGGCATTGTTGGTGATACACAGCTTATGTGCTCCTTACTATTATGTACTGTGAGTTTAGCTATTTAATGTTTCCTCCATGCATGCGAGAGTTTAAATTGTTATAACATCATAATTTGATAATTGTGATGGAGAATTACATGGTGTCAAGAAATTATGCTAATAGAATAGACTTAGGAATTCAAAGATAATTTAGCTAAAGCCTAAAAGATAGGAATTAGCCACTTGAGTGGAATTTGGGAAGATTATGTAAAAAACAGTTTTGAGGCCAAGTGCTGGGGTTCACGCCTGTAATCCCAACACTTTGGGAGGCTGAGGCGGGCATATCATTTAAGCCCAGTAGTTCAAGACGAGGCTGGGCAACATGGCAAAACCTCTTTACAAAAAAATACCAAAAATTTGCTAGGCACGGTGGTGCACTCCTGTACTCCCAGCTACTCAGGAGGCTGAGTGGAAGGATCACCTGAGCCCAGGAAGTGGAGTCTTCGGTGAGCTGTGATCACACCACTGCACTCCAGCCTGGGTGATGGAGTGAGACCCTGTCTCAAGAAATAATAATAGTAGTTTTTAAAAAGGAGTTTTGAATGATGAGTATAGCATGTGTCACGGTCCTGTAGCTTAAGAAAACAGAGTGAGTTCAAGAGTTACAGGAAGATAAGTACGCCTATATTGATGATCATGAAGGTGAACAGGGTATAAATTGAGGCTGGCAAAAAGGGTAGGCTGAATATACAAGAATTGCTATATTATGAAGTTATTGTTATTGTAAGATCAATAGGAGGCCTTTGGGATGTTAACAAAGTTGAATTTGGCTGATTTTGGAATTAGGATTTTGCATGGCAGTTAGTGGGAAGTGCAGTAGCTAGATCAGTTAGAAGACTGTATAAATAGTTTAGGAACACAAGCTGCAGTCTTAGATAATCTAAGACTGGGATGGAAATGGTGGATACTGAAAATAGTAAACAGATTCAAGAGAGATTCAAGATATGTGTTTAAGAGAGGAGATATCAATAAAAAAAAGTTTATTTCTTGAATGAGTAGAACCCTATTTGCAGATGGGAAATTGGAGCAGGTTTGGCTAAGAGGGAGGAATTGTGACTTCCATTTTAGACATGTTGAGTTTCAGATTCCTTTGTAACAGCCAAGTGGAGATTTTAATATAACAATTGAATATATGAGTCTAAAGCTTAAATTAAACTGCTACGCTAAAGATGTAAATTTGTGAATTATCTATTTATATGTGGCCATTAAAGCTATCGATATAAATAAATATACCTAGGAAGCCAGAGAGTTGAAAAAGAACGGGGCCTATGGTTAAGTACAACACTTTTTAAGAAGTTGAATTCTCAAAGTAAAAAGACAAGAACCAAAAATATAAAGTGAAAAATAAGGAACATACTGACTCATGATATTCAAGAAAAAAATATTTTCAAGAAGGGGAGCCATAAGAAAAGTTTCTAGAAGCCAAATAATGTGTTGAAATATGTACTTTGTGTTTATGAAATTAAGGTCTTTGACAGAAAAGATCATCTGAATAGTTAACAATTGTCTATCATGGACAATGACTGATCAGACACTAATTATAAAACTAAAACTAGACACTAGAAAACCCCTGGTATGGCAAGCCCAACATAAAGTCAGTGAAGATAATGAAAAGGAGAAGAGGTGTTGTCTGATAAATTATTTATTTATATATTTATTTTTTATGTTTTGAGATGGAGTCTTGCTCTATCGCCCAGGCTGCAGTGCAGCGGCAGTGATCTCGCCTCACTGCAACCTCCACCACCCGGGTTCAAGCAATTCTCCTGCCTCAGCCTCCTGAGTAGCTGGGACTATAGGCACGTGCCACCACGCCTGGCTAATTTTTTGAATTTTTAGTAGAGACGGGATTTCACCGTGTTAGCCAGGATGGTCTCAATCTCCTGACCTCGTGATCCACCCACCTTGGCCTCCCAAAGTGCTGGGATTACAGGCCTGAGCCACTGTACCCGGCCAAATATTTTTACATAGTATACTGAGAGAAATAAATATGTAACTGGGTGAAAATAAACAGTGAAATGGAGTTGTTTTGTTTAAATAAGAATATGTTTTATAATCAATATGACTTATGGGGAGACATGGGGGGAAAATAAGCAATAAATTGCACACAGTGGCTCATGCCTGTAATCCCAGGACTTTGGGAGGTCAAGGTAGGTGGATCAACTGAGGTCTGGAGTTTGAGATCAGCCTGGCCAACATGGCGAAACCCCGTCTCTACTAAAAATACAAGAATTAGCTGGGCGTGGTTGCACACACCTGTAATCCTAGCTACTTGTGAGACTGAGACAGGAGAATCTATTGAACCCGGAAGGTGGAGGTTGCAGTGCCATTGCACTCCAGTCTGGGCAACAAGAGCAAAACTCTGTCTCCAAAAAAAAAAAAAAGAATAAACAATAAAAAAAGAATAAATTGATCATTGTGCATAAAAACAGAGTAAGTTAACAAGTGTACTCACTTGATTACCAAGCTTTGACATTTTGATTATGGATTTGAAGTTGAACCAATTTGTCATGCTTGTGCATTTCTATAAAAGTATGATGCATGTCTCAGTCTCTTTGGATGTATCCATGAAGAAATGGAATAATTGAGTTTATCCGTGGACGGAGGGTAATGAAGCAATAGAGAGTAATGGAATTTAGTGTCGTGTTAAAAGATCATCCTTTGTCGTGAACCCAAGCATTGTGAATCAAAGTAAATGAAAGGCAAATATTCCAGGACAGGAAAAATGAGTGTTGTCAACATATCTAAGCAGGAACATTGATTTGATGGCTGTATGCTGGCTTCTTAGTACGTTTTCAATCAGCTGCAGATCAATAAGAAAGAGTATGGTTCATCCAAAACCTATATCAAAAATACATCTAAATTGATATTCTTGCATCACACCCTCCCTTGGCAAAATTTTACTGAGCAAAAATGATATAAAAATGAAAAGGGACTATTTCTTTGTTTTTAGAATAAAGCAGAGTTTTTAATTTGCAGCTATAAATTTGAGGAGCTGGTTGTTGAAAAGAACATCTCTCATGCTCTGTAAATCAACCTATAATTTTGTAGTAAATTTTTCATTTCAAATATTATGTATTATTTAGCTTGAAGATTCACTTGTTCCATGAAGTTTTCTCTAAACACCATAAGTTAATTATTCAAATAAGTCTAGATAAAGGATGGATAATATCATTGCCTTCAGTTATTTTACACAATGACTGAATTAGTCCATGAGGGTTTATTTTTCTCTTTACCTCTTACCACTTCTACCAGAAAATGAAGAATCTGCATTTTCTCTTCCCATTATATAAAGTGAGTGCTTTCAGAGCTTAGTTGAAAAAAGATTTAAGCCAGATCCAAAAATTTAAAAAAATGAAATTTTACATAAGGGAAATATATTTTTGTAATTCTTATTTTTAATTTTTGTGGGTACACAGTTGATGTTTATATTTGCAGGGTATATGAGATACTTTGGTACAGGCATACAATGTGTAATAAACAAATTAGGGTAAATGAGGTATCCATCACCTCAAGCATTTATCCTTTGTGTTACAAACAATCCAATGATGCTCTTTCAGTTATTTTAAAATGTACAATTGAATTATTATTGACTATAATCACCCTATTTTGTTATGAAATACTAGATCTTATTCATCCTATTTTTTATACCCATTAACTATCCCACCTTTTATACCCCCACACTCCCTACTACTCTCCGCAGCCTCTGGTAAGCATCATTCTACTCTCTAACTTCATGAGTTAAATTGTTTTAATGTTTAGCTTCCATAAATAATCGAGACCATGTGAAGTTTGTCTTTCTGTACCTGGCTTGTTTTACTTAACATAATGACCTCTTCTTCCTTCCATGTTGTTGCAAATGACAGTATCTTCTTCTGTTTTATGGCTGAATTTTCTTTATCCATTCATCTGTTGATGATCACTTACGTTGCTTCCAAATCTTGGCTGCTGTGAATAGTGTTGCAATAAACATATGAGGGTAGATATCTCTTCAACATACTGATTTCCTTTCTTTTGGGTATACATCTAGCAGTGGGATTGCTGGATGATATAGTAGTTCTGTTTTTAGTTTTTTTGAGGAACCAACCTCCAAACTGTTTTTTATAGTGTTTGTACTAATTTCCATTCCCACCAACAGTGCACAACTTTTCCCTTATCTCCTATTTCAATAGGAATTTCATTAAATCTGTAGATTGCTTTGGATAGTATAGACAATTTAACAATATTGATTCTTTTATTCAATGAACATAGAATATCTTTCCTTTTATATGTGTCTTCTTCAAATTCTTTCATCAATGATTTACACTTTTTATTGTAGAGATCTTTCACTTCTCAGGTTAAGTTAATTTCTAGGAATTTAATCATGTTTGTGACTATCACATTTTTTATTTCTTTTTCAGATTGTTCACTGTTGACATATAGAAATGCTACTGATGGTCAGGCATGGTGATTCATGCCTGTAATCCCAGCACTTTGGGAAGCCGAGGCAGGCAGATCACTTGAGGTTAGGATTTTGAGACCAGCCTGGCCAACATGGTGAAACCACATCTCAACTAAAAATACAAGTATTAGCCAGGCGTGGTGGCACGCCCTCTAGTCCCAGCTACTTGGGAGGCTGAAGCAGGAGAATCGCTTGAACCTGGGAGGCGGAGGTTGCAGTGAGCCAAGATCGCTTCGCTGCACTGCAGCCTGGGTGACAGAGTGGAACTCCATCTCTAAACAAACAAACAAACAAACAAACGAAAATGCTACTGATTTCTGTACGTGGATTTTGCATCTTGCAACTTTATTGAATTTGTTTCTCTTTTCTAATAGGTTTTTGGTGGAGTCTTTAGGTTTTTCCAAATGTAAGATTATATCATCTGACAACAAGGATAATTTGATTTCTTCTTTTCCAGTTTGGATGCCCTTTCTTTCTTTTTCTTGCCTCATTGCTTTACCCGGGTCTTCCAGTATTATGTAAAATAACAGTGGTGAAAGTCAGCATCTTTGTCATGTTCCAGGTCTTAGAGAAAAGGCCTTTTATTTTTCACCATACAGTATGATACTGTCAGTCTCTAGTGTATGGCTTTTATTATATTGAGATATACTCCTTCCATGCCCAGTGTGATGGTTAATATTGAGTGTCAAGTTGATTGTACTGAAGGATGCAAAGTATTTTTCTTGGGTGTGTCTGTGAGGGTGTTGCCAAAGGAGATTAATATTTGAGTCAGTGGACTGGGAGAGGCCGACCCTCAATCTGGGTGGGCACCATCTAATCAGCTGCCAGCACAACTAGAATAAAGCAGGCAGGAGATGATGGAACAGCAGACTTGCTGAGTCTTCCAGTCTTCACCTTTCTCCCATACTGGATGCTTTCTGCCCTCTGACATTGGACTCCAAGTTGTTCAGCTTTTGGACTCTTGGAATCACACCAGTGGTTTACCAAGGGCTTGCGGGCCTTCAGTCACAGACTGAAGACTGCACTGTCAGTTTCCCTATTTTTGAGGTTTTGGGACTCGAACTAGCTTCCTTGCTCCTCAGCTGGCAGACAGCCTAGTGCGGGGCTTCATCTTGTGATAGCGTGAGTCAATACTCCTTAAAACTTCAATTTATATATACAACTATCCTATTAGTTATGTCCCTGTGGAGAGCCCTGACTATTACACCCAGTTTTTTTAGGTTTTTATCTTTTTGATCGTGAAAGGATATTCAATTTTCTCAAATGCTTTTTAGCATCAATTGAAATGACCCTAAGGTTCTTGTCCTTCATTCTGTTTATATGATGTATCACATTGATTGATTTGCATATGTTGAACCACTCTTGCATCCCTGGGATACATCCCACTTCATCATGATGATCTTTTTAATGTATCGGTGAATTTGGATTGCTGGTATATTGTCGAGAATTTTTGTGTCAATATTCATTGGGTATATTGGCCTGTAGTTTTTCTTATTTGAATGTGTCTCTATCCGGTTTTAGTATCAGGGTAGTATTACTGGCCTCATAGAATGAGTTTGGAAGTATTCCTTCTTCCCCTATTTTTTGGACTAGTTTGTGTAGGATTAGTGTTAGTTTTTTTAAATGCTTCAGAAAATTCAGCAATGAAGGCATTGGATTACTTTTTTACTGGGAGACATTTTATTTCAGCTTCAATCTTATTACTTGTTATTGATTTGTTTAGGTTTTAGATTTCTTCATCATTCAATTTTGGTAGGTTGTATGTGTCTAGAAATTTATCCATTTCTTCTAAATTATCCAGTTTATTTCCATGTATTTGTGCATAATAGCTACTAACGATTCTTTGAATTTCTGAAGTTACCAGTTGTAATTTCTCCTTTTTCATCTCCGATTTTATTTATTTGGATCTTTTCTTTTATTGTTAGTGTGGCTAAAGGTTTGTCAATTTTGTTTATTTTTTCTAAAATTGATATTTTTTCCATTAATCTTCTGTATCTTTTTGTTATAATAACCTATTTTCTTCACTTTACTTCAATTTCATTTATTTCTACTCGATCTTTATTATGTCTTTTCCTCTATCAACTTTGGGTTTGGTTTGCTGTTGCTTTTCTAGTTCATTATGACGTATTATTATGTTGCTTAGTTGAAGGTTTTTTTTTTTTCTTTTTTTATGTAGGCATTTATACCTATAAGCTTCCTTCTTAGTATTGCTTTCCCTGTGTCCCAAAGGTTTTGGTATGCTGTGTTTCCATTATTGTTTGCTTCAATACATTTTTAAATTTTCTTCTTATTCTCTTCAGTGACCCACTTGTCATTCAGGAGCATATTGTTTATTTTTCATTTATTTGTATAGTTTCCAAAATTCTACTTATTATTGATTTTTAGTGTTATTCCATTGTGGCTAGAGAAGATACTTGATAATATTTCAATATTTTTATGCTTTAAGGCTTGCATTGTTGGACGTGGCGTGGGAACCCAGCCCGAGTCAGCGGTCCCAATTGGCTGCTCTCTCTCAGATACAGTTCCCCTTCCTCCCTCCAGGGGGCGCCATGGAACGCAGGGCCCTCCCTGGCCCTGGGGACTGGGTGACGTCAGGGGTGAGCCTCTCGTGATTGGCTCCGTCACCCTGCGTAAGATCAAAGGGAAGAAAGGACAGCCCCAACACCCGGAGCCACTGTGGCTCCGGCCGGTTGCGCTGGCCCTCGGGCCCTCAGGGAGGCGAGGGTGCGAGGGTACGAGTTTGAGGCCAACCTGGTCCACATTGGTTGAAAAAAAAAATTTTTTTATCGTTCCCTATATAACAACAAAACATAAAGGGAGGATGCCTTGATAGGAAGAAATGACATCTTCCTAAGTGTTTTTAAATTACTTCAATGTATCTTTTTTTTTTTTTTTTTTTTGGGAGACCGAGCCTTGCTCTGTTGCCCAGGCTGGAGTGCAGTGGTGTGATCTTGGCTCACTGCAACCTCCGCCTCCTGGGTTCAAGCAAGTCTCCTGTCTCAGCCTCCCGAGTAGCTGGGATTACAGGCCCACGCCGCCGTGCCTGCCTAATTTTGGTATTTTTGGTAGAGACGGAGTTTCACCATGTTGACAAGGCTGGTCTCGAACTGCTGGCCTCAAGAGATCTCGCCCCTTGGCCTCCCAAAGTGCTGGGATTACAGGGGTGTGCCCTCGCGCTCGGCCGTCTCCCGTCTTTCCTAGACTCCTTGATCTCTGTCCTGGCCCCCGGGATCTTTGTCTTCGTCCCCTCTCTAGTTCGCTCCCATCAGATTCACTGTCTTCTCTCTCTGGTCCTCTCCCCTTTGCCTCGGACTGTATCCTCTTCGTCGCTGTTGATCCCACTTCTGCACTGTCCTCGCTGCTGTCTTCCCCCAGTCCTGTCGCCATCCCCATCCCCTGCCTCAGTCTCCTGTGCCGTCGGCCGCTCCACCTGTGACCGTGGAGTCTTTTTCTGTCACTTCCGTCTCTGTCACATCCTCTCTGGTCGCTCCTGGTCGGAGGCCCTGCCTCCCTCGCCTCAGGGCCCTTCCCCGTCTCCTTCTCTTCCTGTCATCCCTGGCTCTTTCCCAGCGTCTTTCCTTCCTTCTCCGAATCGTCCTCTGCTCCTCTGGGTTTGCGCCTGCTGGGAGCTCTGCCCCTGGGAGCTGTTTCCTCCGCTCAGTCTCTGGGTGTTTCCTAGGGGGTCACATGCTCTTCTAGGCCTGTCCTGGGGCAGAGGGGCCACCCTGAGGTCCATCAGTCAGTCTGACCATCCCCTTAGAACCTCGAGCCTCTCGCCTCGCCTCGCCTGACGCCCTTTCCCGCCCTTTATCTTTCCCTTCAGGATAAAAAAATAAAAAGAGTCGGAACAGCTCCCTGAGGAAAAAAAAAAAAAAAAAAAAAAGACTTGCATTGTTGCCTAATGTGTGGTCTACAATTGAGACTGATTCATGTGCTGAGGAGAAGAATGTGTATTCTGCCGTCACTGGATGAGATGTTTTGTAAATATCTATTATGTCCTACTGGCCTGTAGTGCATATTAAGTCCAAATTTTTTGTTGTTGTTGATTTTCTGTCTGAATGAGGTTTCCAGTGCTGAAATGAGTTGTTGAAGTATCCAGCTATTATAGTATTGAGGTCTATCTCCCTATTTAGCCATAATAATATTTAATTTATATATCTGAGTGCTCCATTGTTAGGTGAAAGTGTATTTATAATCATTATATCCTCTTGCTGAATTGACCTCTTTATTATTATATAATGATCTTTGTCTCTTATTACAGTTTTTGTCTTGAAATCTATCTTGTCTGATATAAGTATAGCTACTCCTGCTCTTTTTTAAACTTCCATTGGCATGGAATATCTTTTTTCATTCCTTTTTTTTCAGTCTATATGTGCCTTTATAGGTGAATCATGTTTTCTGTAGCCAATGGATCATTGGGTCTCATTTTTTAAAATCCACTAAGCCATTCTATTTGTTTTTATTAGAGGTTAGTCCATTTACATTCAATGTTATTATTGATAAGTAAGATCTTACTCCTGTCATTTTATTATTTTTTTTTTCTGGTCTTTTTGTGTTCTTTTCTTTTTTCTTTTCTTTCTTCCTGTCTTCCTTTTAATGAAGGTTATTTTCTCCAGTGACATGTTTTAATTTCTTGCTTTTCATTTTGTGTAGCCCTTGTATTATTTAGATTTGAGGTTACCATAAAGCTTGCAAATAATATCTTCTATGCCATTATTTTAAACTGATAACACTGCCAATTAACAAACAGGCAGAGAAAACTAATAGAAACTCTACACTTTATCTCCCCACTTTCTAACTTTTTGTTGTTTCTATGTATATCTTACTGTACTGACTAAGTCTTGTAAAATTGTTGCAGTTATTATTTGTGATCAGTTCATCTTTTCATTTCTCTACTTAAGATATGACTAATTTACAATTACAATGTTATAAGATTCTATCTTTTTCTGTGCACCTGCTATTACCAGTGAGTTTTGTACCTTCAGATGATGTCTTCTAGCTCATTATGTCTTTTTCTTTCAGATGAAATAATCCCTTTTAGTATTTCTTGTAGGACAGATGCAGTCTTGATAAAATTCCTCAGGCTTTCCTGGGAAAGTCCTTTTTTATCTTTCATGTCTGAAAGATATTTTCCCCAGATATGCTCTTCTAGGGTAAAAGGTTTTTCCTTTAGCCCTTTTACATTTTATGCCAATGTCTTCCAGTGTGTAAGATTTTCAATGAAAAAAAAGTGCTGCCAGACATGTTGGAGCTCCATTTTATGTTATTTGTTTATTTTCTCCTGCTGCTTTTAGGATCTTTTCTGTATCTTTGACTTTGGGAGTTTGGTTATGAAATGCCTTGAAGTAGTCTTCTTTTGGTTGAATCTGCTTGGTGTTTCATAACTTTCTTATACACGAATATTTATGTCTTTCTTTAGGGTTGTAAAGTTCTCTGTTATTATCCCTTTGAATAAATTTTTACCCCTATCTATCTACTTTTAAATTAAGGTCAAGAACTCTTTGATTTGCCCTTTCGAGGCTATTTTTAGATACCATTGGCATGCTTCATTATTTTGTATTTTTTGTTCTTTTGTCTCTTCTTTTCAAATACCCTGTCTTGAAACTCACTAATTCTTTTTCTGCTTCATCAGTTCTGTCATTAAGCGACTCTGATGCATTCTTCAGTATGTCAATTGCACTTCTCAACTCCAGAATTTCTCTTGATTATTTTTAATTATTTAAATTTCTTTGTTAAGTTTGTCTGATAGGATTCTAAATGATTTCCCTGTGTTATCTTGAATTTCTTTGAGTTTCCTCAAAACAACTATTTTGAATATTCTGTCTGAAAGGTCACATAACTGTTTCTCTGAAATTGGTCTCTGGTGTCTTATTTAGTTCATTTGATGAGGTCATGTTTTTCTGTATGGTCTTGATTGTTGTGAATGTTTTTCAGCATCTGGGCACTGAAGAGTTGAATGAAGCCAGTGAAGCTTGTGTACTTCACTTAAGGGTGGCGAGTTTCCTCAGACCCTAAGCACATACAGAGATGCCATTTGAAAGCCAGGGCCTGGAGTTGGAAATCTTAGAAATCTACCTGGTGCTCTATTCTCTTGATATTGAGCTAGTGCCAAAACCACTAGAAAAAGTCCTTCCTATTTTTCCCTTCCGTTTTGGCAGGCAGAGGAGTCCCTCCCTGTGTCCACCACCATCACAAGCCCAGGGCAAGTACTGCTAGAGGGCTGCCTATGATCAGATCTTCTGAGAACATCAGAGAAAGACTGTCCTTGCAATCTACACTACAGCAAGACTTCAGGACCTTGAACTTCAGGTTCATAATCTCACAACTGAGAAGGATCCTTCCACACTCTTGGAACAGTGCACCCATTGGAACTCTGAAGGTTAAGCTCACCAGGAAAGTTTCTCTCCAGAAGAAGATAACACCCTTAATGTGAACAGCTTTTCCCAAAATCACGGATTGAAACTTCTCTACACTCACGAGACTCTTATCTTTGAATATTTTCCCTTGGTTATGCTTCTGTGAACAATAGACGTGAAAAGGGAGTCTGTTGTGTGCACTTATGGGGCACACTTTTATGTGTGAAGGATTTTTCAGCCAGCCTTATATATGGATGACCTTATAGTTTAAGAGATAAAAGACAAAGACCCAATGCAGGTAAGAAACTTTGGTGGTACATATGTTGCCTGATAGTCAGTAAGAAACAGAACATTGATTCATTCCTCTTAACCCACATTATGGGTTAAAGAGAACATTGCCAGGAGGCCTTCACTCTTCTAGAAGGGCACAGCATCATTCATTAGGTTCTTTTTCCATGGTTTAAAGTAGAAGAGGCAATGATTAAAAAATGTATCCCTTATGATAGGCTCTATAGCAGATTCTACTGTAAAGGCTATGATTTCAAAATAAAATTTAAGTTATGTAAAATGTTGCTAAATAATGGAATTGGCTAAACAGAAAAATATCTGTGCAGCTGCTGGCACTTATGGCCTGTGGAGAAAACATCGGGTATTGTAGAGATTCGGGTGTCGGAGATTAACAAAGAGACCACCTAGTTAAGCGAGTAGACCCTTTATCTAACTCATTCTTTGATCTATTTGATTTTAGGTGGTTTGGTTTATGGGAACCCTGGGTAAGGAGCATACTCCAAACTCTTGGTGTTATCCTCTTGATAGTCATAATAGTAGTCTTTCCGGTGCTCTACATTCTCTCAAATGTTTGCATACAGCCATCTCTAGAAAGTCAAATGGTCTCTCTTCAATTGAAATCACAAGACCTGAAAGAAATGTACAATCATGAGGACGCCATACCCTATAAATGATATGCTGAGAACAGAAACTCAAAATGATGGTAACAGAGTGGCGCTAAGGCCCTAAGTTTTGATCACACTCTCACCTAAGTGAGAACCTAGCCAAAAAGGAAGAATTAAAAAAATATATATCAGAGGCTATTGTTTTGGGCTGAGCTTAGGCACTAGACCCCAAAAGACCAAATCAAACCAAAATAAATTCGCTTGTGTTAAATGTCACATATTCAAACTAAGACTTTAAGAAAATATGTAGATCCTAGATCAGAAAAGGAAAAGTTGTGTTTTTCTCCTGAAAACAGGATGTTCCAGCATAAAGAGGTACCCTCTACTCAGTCCTCACTCCCAACTTACATAACCTACTGTTTCAAGACCAATGACAACATCATAACTAAAGTTTTGGTCAATCTCTAAAAACTGAGAAAATGACAAAAAGGGGGGAATTGTTAATCAAGTGTAGCCTCAAGCTGCCTCCTTACATATTTAAGTTGGCCTAAAGGTTTTTCTGTACATGATGAACTATAACAGGTGGAGGCGTAAACCAATCATAGCCTACGCCTATGCCAATCACTGAGCTTTGGCCAATCAAATGTAGCCAACTGTTTGAACCATGTTCAAATAAGGCAAACCAATCCAGCTGTTTCCGTACCTCACTTTGTATTTTTGTACATAATTTCACTTTTTTTTTTTCTACAAATCTTCTTCCCACCATGTGGCTGTGTTGGAGTCTCTCTGAATCTGCTGTGATTCTGGGGACTGCCCAATTTGTGAATTGTTCATTGCTCAAACTCCTTTAAATTTAATTCAGCTGAAGATTTTTTTTTTAATACCAAGAAGTTCAAGAAAGCACCCTATGAAATTAACAATCTTCTTAATCCATAGAACGTGAAGAAGTCAGGGTAATGGGTGCCAATGAAAAACAATTATGTACTATTTTGTAACTCTCCTCCTTCCCCATTTCAGCCAAAGATGGGGTCAGATAGCCTCTTGCCATTTGGAAAGAAGATGAGCAAAAATGTAGAAAAAGCAAACGCAACTCCTATCCCCAACATTGTCAGCACCATTGCTGTAAACTGACAAAGAGATGTGTCCCTAAAGTAAGCTACATTTACCATTAATTCTTCACTCCCCCACGGAAGCATTCTGGTCTAATGAATGCCATCACGAACATTTCTGATCACTCCAATCTTCCCAGGAAGAATCCTCCTCCCTTCTATTTTATCTTTCAGACTGTTTATCTCTGGCTCTTTACAGCGGATCATGTGACTCAATCACTAACCTCTTATGAACCCCCAAATACTCCAGTTTGTAACTCATGATCAAACGATCCTGTAACATCTTTAGTCCCATCTTTGAAAGTTTGTTTCCCCCCGCCACTACACTGCTTTTAATGACTCTCTCAAGAAAATACTATTTTATATACACTCTACATACAACCATGTCTAGAAGCGAGGCAGTTGTTGTCCTTGTTCCATGTAGCATCTTTCTACCCCTTCCTATATATGAGAATATAATTCTCATATATTCACTAAATTACATTTCCTCTGTAATAATATCCCACTTTACAGTATAACCTATACTTTTCTTTCTACTTTTTAAAATCAGTATAATAATAACTGTAATATTTATGGTCTTAAAGAAGAAAAATCAGTCTTTTGAACCTAGATTCTTTACCAGTTGGTTTCTTACTTTTATGCTGTCTTCTATGGTGAAACAACTTAAATACTTAGTGTTTTGCTTTCTCTACTATCTTATTTCCCACTCTGTTTAATAGTCATATCAGTCAAACTTTTGTCTCCACAGTGTATTTTTTATTCTGTGTTCAAAGATCACCAATGAGATTCCCAGTTGCCAAATCCAATCTTTAGTTTTCATCTTAGTTCCTCTGAGCAACATCTGAAAAAGGTAGTCATTTCCTTTTTGTTTGTTTGTTTGAAACATGTGAAACAATTAAGAATAAAAGAATAGCAAGTAAGCCAGAATAATAGTAAGTTTATTTTAGAATATTTTGAGTTTAGTTTAAAATATGTGTGTGTAAATCTTTATCTCTGTAGACTAAGCTCTGTCTTGGAGTTTATTTTGCATGTTTATTAAGGTATATCCCTTGTTCCATTAGAGATCCCAGCTAAATGGATAGCATATGATAAACGTTTGTACATTTTGATGTGACTTTGGATTACCCAAGAATATTTGGATAGCAGAAAAGCCTTGGTTGATAATACCATTTGGGCATTGCACAACTCTTAGGTGGCAGTTCCATAAGAACGGAAGAGAAATCATGTAGAATAAGAAACAACAAAGACAAAGAAGAGAGGACTAGGAACCAGTAGCCTGCAAGAGGCGTGCATGGTTAGAAAACAGTATTAGGCTGTAAGAAATGCTCAAAAATATTCAATGTTCACCATTATGGGAAAATGAGTAAATTATATAAACAGAAATAGTAAATCAATTTTTACTGCATTATTAATGAACTTAAAATAAAAATTGATTATGTTATCTGATAAAGCATGCTAATCACATGTAAATTATTATTTTTACCTAAGCTATTATTTGAAATGACCACATATTATGTGTACTTAAAAATATGTGTAGGTATCACTATGTAAGAATTTAGTGCATCTAAAAATAACTTCTGCTTCCACCAATAAATTACCCTAAAATGAAGAGAAAAGCAGATTCCAGAACTTGTTTCTTATTATTTCTATAATGATAGGACTGAAATGGCAGTTTAATGACAGTAGTCCCAGTAACCCCATTCAGAGAAAGAAGTGAGAATTGCACATTTATTTTAGCAAATAAGCATGCAGTTAATTACAGGTCTTGGCTTTAGTCTGCCTTTCTCTTGCATTTTTGGAAGCTAGATTCACATAGTTCATTAAAATAGCAGTTTTTGTAAGAATTACAATGTTTCTTTAAAAAATACAGATATAAGAACTCATCTGCTACCTAAGGGGAAAATGCTTCCCTTTTATTGTAGTGAGCCAATAACTATTTATTGCCTAAACAAATGGACAATTGAATGGTGGAGTATTACCAATATTGATGTTCATCTAGCTTTCAAATAACTTTGTGCTAACCACCATATTTGTTTTCCATATATGCCTTAACTGCTTGCACTCTGAATGTCCTGTGTTTTTGTGTACTGTTCATTGGAATTATAATAGATTTTTAATCTTAAAATGTGGACCAAAAATGGATATTTATGTTATATAAATATGGTAAAAGAAGTACAAGTTGCTTCAAAACCCTGTGATGACAATGCAATGGGAATTCAGGGGTCCCCTGTAAGCTTAATATGAAGAAATGAGGAACATAGAAGCAGCCGTGGTCTCGTGGTTGGCCACCTAAGGATTTCACAAAGAACGCATAATATATATAAATATCACAAGGAACAAATAATTTCCCATAGGTAAAGATAAAAGGGATTCTAAACAAAAGCGATAGAAAAGCTCCACATAGCTAAATGTGGCCACATCAATGCAGTCTGTACAAGGAACTGAGTAGCTGCGAACTCTCAGTCCAACTCCAGTAGCAAAAGGTGTTAAACTAATCCCTTTAAGGTGTCACACTAGATACTTGCTGTGGTGAACTTTTGATCATCCCAAAGCACACAGTGAGATCGAATAGCATCCTTTTGTATTGCTCCTGAAATAATGGGGTCTAATGAACATTAGGTCCTATGGAAATTGGTCCTTGTGGAGTTCATATTGTATTTACTCCACTCTACAATTAATAAGGAATAGAGAAAAAAAGAAGCCTACTCCAAACTACCTATATTTTTATTACAACACCCAAATAAATGAGACTGTGCTTTATGGGTCTGAATTGAAAAATACTTTAATAGTACTTTTCCAAAAATGGAGGAAAATTGGGAGTTTTATCAAGTGTTGTGATCTTTAAATTTCAACAACAGTAAGATCCTAACGTGGAAACATATTTCATATATGCTTCAGACCAATGTTCTCCTGTTATCTTTGAAAAATCTATAATTACAGTCTAGGAAGTTCAGAACTACTGAATCAGATACTAGTTTTATATGCATAATTTTAAGAGTTTTTTGACTATGTGTTGCAGAGAAAAACTTTAGAAGTAGATACCACAAGGGATACTGCAAGCTAAAAAATATGAGTACATTTATGCAAAAATAATGAAGTCACTCCTTCTTCAAGAATGAAAGATCTCCCACAATTGTCTCCCAGTTCAGCCAATTATCACCTTAACAACCCACCTTTCACATTAAGGTGAGCAGTTACACTGCTGAGAGAAAAGTAATAGTATCTTCACAGATACGGCATTACCCATATCTGGCAGTAGGGTTGTTTGCCATAAGTAACTAAATAAGCTCATGCTTCAGGAACCTCCAGTGGAATTCGGTCATCTTAATCACCTCTGATAGATAAAATGCAATAACCTTGTCTTTGCCAACCCCCAGAATTTATGAAATATAGCAATGTGCAATTAGCATTCACAAGTCCCTCATTATAAGTGATCAATCCTGGACCCTGGAGCCAGGATACTACTGTATTTATTCTCCTCAACATCCAGCATCAATAATACATCAAAATTAAGCAAACAGAACATTAAATATAACCTGCATGGCAATTTTGGGAAAGGTAAAGTATTGAACATCTAACTTTGTTCAATAATATGCACAGATACACATCCACATGTGTACATGAGACTAGTAAGGATATACATGGTTAAACAATGCTTCACTAACTAGAATATTAGAATACCTCAGCAACATAAATGAAAGAAAAACAAAAATCTAGAGGGAACTGCAAGCTGATAGGCAGAGTCTTTTGTGCAAACCTTAGTATTTTACTGACTAACAAAATTAAAGTAGTTCCTGTCCTGTTTGAATAACCTATTTTAATCACATTAACATGTTCATTTTAATGTTTTTTTTTTAATAATATGGCATAGTACACCAAAAATCTGGTTGCTCGTAAACGATAACCATTTACTTAATATCTAAAGCTAAAAATTCTAGTGTCATATTTTATTCTTCTCCCTTTATTACTCATGCATTCATGATTTCACCACATTTTGTGAACGTTAACAGAAAGGAAGTTCCTGATACAGATAATTTTTATCCTAAATAGGGTTCCATTGAGGCACATATTTGTGAACAATAGATAATCTCTCTTTCTGAGGTATACAAACAGCACCCTAATATATTTCCCTGCCACGTTCTTGAAATTCCAATCTACTCTCTACTTTGTAACCAAAGTTGTCATTCTCAATATTGAAATTGCTCATACATTACTATGTTAGGCTGAATACAACTCTTCACCACACACCCCCCAATGCCCATTCAGATATGATTATGTTAAGGATCTTGAGGTGGGGAGATCATTCTAGATTATTCAGTGGGCTCAATGTATTCACAGGTGTCATTATAAGAGAGAGTCAGAGGAAGACTTCACTACAATAAATAAATAAATAAGATGTGATGCTGGAACCAAAGGTTGATATGACATGCTTTGAAGGTAGTGGAAGAACACCTGGGCCAAGAAATGCAGGTGGTCTTTTGAGGCTGGAAAGACAAGGAAATAGATTCTTCCCTGAACTCTCCAGAAGGAATGCAAACCTACCAACGTCATAATTTTTGACTTACAAACCCCGGAAATGAAAAAGAATCAATTTATGTTGTTTGGAGTAAGCTAGTAAGTTTGGGGTATTTTGTTACGGTGGCAATAGGAACCTAGTACAAATTTTAGTACCTGAAAGTGGAATGTTGCTGTGATAAATACCCAAACATGTAGAATTGGCTTTGGGATTGGGCAATGGGTAGAGTCTATAGAAGAATTTTCAAAAACACAGTGGGAAAAGTGTCAGAATCTTAGCTGAATTGCTTCCTAGTTACAAGGAAAGCAGAATTTGTAAGCTGAGATTTCCTAGGAAAATATTAAGGATGTGCCCTAGTTTCTTCTTGATGCCTGTGGTAAAATGGGAGAGGAAAGATAAATTGAGGAAAACATGCTATGTAAAAGGGAATCAGGACTTGATTATTTGGGAAGTCCTCAGCTGATTTAAATTGCAAAAGACAATAACATTGGGAAATGTACTGTCAGAAAAGCACCTTCAGGAAAGAAAGCCAAGAGGGTGATTGACAACCTTTTTAATGCCTGAGAAGGACAAAAGTTCACAATATTCAGTCACACAGAAGACTCTTTGAAGGGATCATATAACACATGGATCCCCTCAGCCAGCTCAGCAGAAGCCAAAAGTAGAAATGATATAATCTAGGAAAAACCTGTGGAGAAACTTCTTGTCTAATGGCAGGAATCCCTAGGACATACATGGGGACTTTACAATGTTCTTGAGGATAGCAGCAGAAATATTATCAGCATCAATCGAAAGAAACAGACGGGGCAAAATGAATGGAGGTCATCAGAATACCAAAATTCTGCAGACAGGAAACAGGTTCATAAAACTACTCAGCTGCAAGCAGATGCTACCCTTTATGAAAAAAAAAAGAATGACTCAGAGGTCAGAGACTTGGGCACAGAGGATTAAGCTGAGGGCCACAGCGGTGAATCTTGGTGGGTGAAACTTGGACACGGGATGAAAATGAGAGCTACAGATTATTTCTAGGCCTTAAAACCTAATAGAGTTTATCTGGTTAGATTTTAAATTTGTTTGGGACTGGTGACTCCTTTCTTCCATTTTCTCCTTTTTGAATGGGGATGTCTATAACTCTTATATTATTACTGCCCCATTATTGTTTTTTGGGATCAGAAACCTGTTTTACAGCTTCACAGGTCCAGAAATTGTGAGGTATTTTGCTAGACATTTGTTCATACCCAGATTCTCACCCATACCTGATTTAGGAAAGATGGATAATGAGATTTGGGACTCTTGAAATGACATAGGTGAAGTTTTGGACCGTGAGTTGATGTTATAATTGGTTGAACTGTTCAGGAATGTTGGGATGGAGTGAATGTATTTTGCATTAGGAATGGATCTGAATTTTGCTGGACCAGTGGACAGACTCTATTAGGCTAATTAGTGACCCCCAACATATCCATGAACTAATCCTCATAATCTATCAATATGTTACTTTAAGTAGCAATAGGAACTTTACAGATGTGATTAAATATCTTGAGATGGGGAGATTCTACCAGATAGGACTGATGCATCTAATACAACGACAAGTATCCTTATAATAGAAAGATAAAGAGATTTAGCTGCAGAAAAATGATGTGTTGAGGGAACCAGAGATTGGAGCAATGCACTTTGAAGATGGAGGAAAGATCATGAATAATGGAATGTAGATGGGCTCTAGACACTGGAAAAAACAAAGTCAGGGATTCTCCCCTAAGATGTCCAAAAGGAATGAAATCCTGCAAACATCATGATTTTAGACCTCTGACCTCCAGAAATATAAGACAAATTCATGTTGTTTTAAGCTACTAAGTTTGTGGCAATTTGTTTCAACAGCCTGGGAAACTCATAAAATTACCTTAATTACCAGAAAGCAAATTGGTAACTTTACACCCCTTAAGGACAAAGTCCAAAGGTATCATGACTCTAAGATATTTATACCCTAGTCCAAAAATACCTCACAAATCATGTTTATAATTAAATGCACTTATGAACTACACTCTAATTTCCATTGGTTTTCTAACATGACCTATCAATGTTAGATAAATATATCATGAATATTTTTCTATTTCTTAAGTGCTTTCTGTGAACTTTATCACTTGCTAAATCATCCTTTTCTCTAATTATTAGCTTAAATTTCACTTACCCTCTGTACTCTCCTTTAACTCTAAAAGAGGGATGACCTACTCCTCTCATGTAAGCACTATCATGGCCATACTTGAACTATACAAATTGTTTTCTGTCATTTGCATCAGAAATTACACATCTGGTTCTCCTACAAGATTGAGAAATTCTTCATAAGGAGGTCTGTGCCCTAATCATTTCTCCATCTGTTATTATTAGCAACCTGTCTGATACAAAGTGGTAGGGAAAAGGATTCAATGTATATTATTAGCTGGATCTATGAATTTACAAATGTATGAAAAAAATGAATAGATAAGTGCATGAATGAGAGAAGGAATAATAAAACTTATATGCAGTATTGGAATAACATTGCAGCTAAATGAAATACCATCAAATATGCAAAGGGTATAAAATAATATTTAAATATTTGAATTGATCTTGCTTCAGGGCACATATTTGATGAATGTGATATGCATGAAAGATAAAATGAAAATAACTGCTCGAGGGCATATAAAATAGTTCTTCAAAGAAGAAAGATAACAATTTCCCATGTATTATGATTAGATAATCTGTAAAATGACAGTAATAATGTACATATGCAGGATTTGTAATAAAGTGTCATTGTTCTCCACTGAAAAAGGAGAATAAAAGAAAATAAACTAAAATGTCCTAAGAATAATTTTAAGTTAGACCTAAAACAGAACAAAGAAAAAAAATAATGTACTACCACAGTAATTCAAATGGTCCAAGTAATCCATATACCTGCTCTTTTTTTGTAGAAAACAGGATAGTGATAGTAATTCCCTGCCTACATTTTGAGTTCCATTTCTATTCTAAAAAAAAATGAACTCTGTTGTGTTTTGAAGAATCAATGCGCTTTTCAAGCATCTATTTGTGAAATTTATCCAATTCCTTGAAATAAATCTTTTTCCACATGTAACTGTAAAGTGGCTTTTTCGTTTTTTTGATAATCAAAATTCATGTACTTATTTATTCAGAATGTTTATGAGCATCTTCACATTTCCAAACACTATAATAGATACTGCAGATATTATTGTGAACAAAAACAGGCACAGTTCAGGCCTACAGTCCAGTGGTAAGAACAAAAATTAAACAATTATAAAATGTACCCATAAATATAAATGGGCATAAGTTCTATGAAAGGAAAGGACATAGTTCCATAAAATCTTGTAATAGACAAAACTAATTTTATTTAGTGGGAAGGAAATTTCTATCTGAGAAGTTTTTTTGTTCGTTTGTGTTTTTTTGTTTGTTTGTTTGTTTTGAGATGGAGTTTCGCTCTTGTTGCCCAGGCTTGAGTGCAATGGTGCGATCTCGGCTCACTCCAACCTCTGCCTCCCAGGTTCAAGTGATTCTCCTGCCTCAGCCTCCCGAGTAGCTGAGATTACAGGTGCCTGGCTAATTTTTTGTATTTTTTGTAGAGCTGCGTTTTCACCATGTTGGTGAGGCTGGTCTCCAACTTCTGACCTCAGGTGATCTGCCTGCCTTGGCCTCCCAAAGTGCTGGGATTACAGGCATGAGCCACTGGCCACTGAGAAGATTATATGTGTTTATATGTGAGATTTTGTGGATGAGTAGAAGTTAATTTGGTAAAATCTATATGAGTGTTACCTTTATCTTAGATTGAATAATACTTGTTGAAAAAGTGGCTGTGAAGTTTGATATACTTGTAAGGAAAGGGTTTTTAAAGTAGAAGAAAACAATAGCCAAAGCTCAATAATAAAACAATAATGAATAATAAAAGTATTAAATAATTCAAATTAAATTCTGATTTGGCAATGGAGCTATGGAGTGGGAGAAAATGACAGAGAAAAAAATGGTATATTTTGTTTGGGGTTGTAATATAAATTGTTCATTCCTATTTATTTAGAGACCCAGTCTTGCTCTGTTCGTCAGTTATGGAATATAGTGGAATGATCACAGCATGCTGTAATCTCGACCTTCTGGGCTCAATCCTCTCACCTCAGCCTCTGATTAGCTTGGACTACAATTGTGCAATACCATGCCAGGCTAAATTTTTCTGAATTTTTTTAGAGATGGGGTCTCACTGTGTTGCCCAGGCTGGTCTCAAACTCTTCGGCTTCAGGGATCCCCTTTCCTTGGCCTCTCAAAGATGGGATTATAGGCATGAGCCACCACACCTGACCCATTCCTAATCATTATAATATAAATTAAAATCAGTTTGGTAAAATTTTTAAACAATTATTAGTACAATGTGTCTACAAATAGGACACAGAATATTTTTTCAATGCAAGAATGAAAATTTAATAAACCCAGCAAAAACAGAAGAAAACTCAATAAATAGAATGACAAGATTATTACCTAAAATAAGAACAAGGGATCACTATAGTTGTGAAGAGGGCTAAATGCCCTGTTAAAAGGTAACAAATTTCAGCATATTGCTTAGATTCTGCTATATGCCATTTTCAAGATACTATTTTTCAAACAAAATGTTTTCTCTCTTTTTCCAGTGTGATAGGCAACCTTGAAATGGCCCCAGATAATCCCTGCCTCCAGGTATTCATGCTGTTGTCTAATTTCTTCCCCTTGCAGATGGGCTGGATTTGATGACTTTCTTATATCAAATAGAATATGACAGAAGTGATGGTATGTCACTTTCACTTGAGGTTTTGTTTTGCTTTGAAATAAATATATTAATCTTCACTGGGTAGATCTGTGACATGACAATGCCACTCATCTTTTATGTGGCAGTTTTTTTTAATCACATCTCCATCTCCTTTTTACAGACTAACAAAATGATATTTGTGTCCAGAACCAGTTAAAGAGCTGTGGCAGTTCTAAGGTAATCTTTAGCATTCTTTGCTCATTTTATCAGCTTCATTTGAACGGCTTATGTAACCCTCTTCTGCCACAAGTATATGAGTTAAGGGACTTTTATGGTGGGTATGAGAAGGCTTTACTTTCCTAAAGACATAAAATAATCATAATCATAATAAATGAGTGATGTCCTTCCCTCCTGTTCTTTGATTTTAATGGTGGATGAGCAGAGCCACAACAGCCATGTTATAGATACCAGAGAAAAGCAATGACAGCTATGACATCATAGAGCAAGTTTGTCAAATTCAGCGGCAGCTGTTTTCTAGACATCTCATCATATGAGAAAAAACAAACCTGATTTTATTATGACACTGAGAGTAAGATTCTATAACTTGTTGCCCCAAATATCCCTGATTTGTTACTCATGAGAAATATACATACTTAGTATTGACACATCAGAATCTCAAATATACTTTATAAAGAGCCACCAAAATAATGACACCTATAAGTAGTCTGGGAAGGCAGTCCACTGTCCTACCCTTATCATCCATTTGTCTACCTAAATAACTTGCTCTAAGTATATACTGTGTTTCGGTCCCAAGCGATATGATAGTAGTATTAGTTAGAAGTGATATTTCTGGCTCATTTATCTTCAGAGATTTTATTCCTTAGAATCTTAGTATGTTCTAAATGCAGAATCTGAGGTTACAACCTCAGCCAGAATTCTGAAAATAGCCACCACAATCTATTTTAAAAAGCAGAAAATTATTCTATAGGAACCTCATGTATCTGTGTTACAATTCTATTCTGTTCTAATATAAATTAATATTATAGTTGCAGAATATTTCATTATATTTGTAAAAAGAGTGAGTCTGAGAACCAAGGAAGCAACACATATGCCTGAGTCAAAAATTCTACTAATGTTTTCTTTTCCCTTTGGAAATGTTAAATGGGCTGATTAAATTAAGGATTTTCATGTTCATTAATCGTAAGTGGGTAGCTCATAGCCATTAAATATTTGTGCTTATTTATAAACCATTATAGACTCAGAATAAAGTGAACACTGGTAGTTTTGAAGAATTAAGTATCCAGGTATTAGGTTTAGAATGTTGATTGTTGAGGAGGTTGTTTTATTTGCTAAGTAAATTTGAATTAGATTCTATGTCACAACTGCCTGTTGGACTAGAACTGTATGATGTAACATGGTTTACTGTGAAGAAACCTAATTCAGACGAAGAAATATCTGAGTTTCTTTTTAGTTTCTGGCATTTTTTATATAAGTGATCTTTAGCAAAACATTTCTGAACATTCATTTTCTCATATGCAAAAATAGGTAATAAAATGGTTAACCTGTTGGAATGGAATGTCACTGTAATCATTAATGCTGGTGACCAAATGTATCTGATCTTTCCTTTTTTGAGCACATGGTATTATTGCACTTTTTCACTTCTATGGGTTGGGTGGAGCCAGGTGACTTGTGCCAGCCAATAAGTTGTGAGCCAAGAGCTGTTTCTTTGGGCAGGGGAATTTAATTGCTGTAACCAGATCAGCAAACGTTGTCTTTCCCTCTGTGCTAATGGCAAGGAATGTTATGTGTAGTAGCTATTCCATGTCCCAGAGAAAGGACAACACAGAGAACAATCCAAGCAACCCTCGATGGACATGTAGAACAAGCAATAAGTAAGCCTTCCTTTTTTAAGCCTCTGACCTTTTGGTAATTTTACTGCTTCACAACCTAAAATATCTTTGGTGACAATTCTTAAGATGACTAGAGCTAAAACAAAAAAAGAAAAGGAAACTATGCTAGTTCTGAACATTTGAGGGTGTCTAATAAGACTCACAGTTACTATTGGGAATAGTCATTGTCTTTGTCACTTGGTAATTTTAAAATTTTTCTGGTAACTGCATACCAGAATAAAATGACTAATTTTAATGACCAGTGAGGTAGTTTCCACCTATAGGTTGAAAAGTAAAGAGAATTTTAAAAGATGTGATTGAGGCCAGGGGTTGTGGCTGTCAACTGTAATCCCAGCACTTTGAGAGGCCTAAGCGAGAGGATCGCTTTAATCTCAGGAGTTTGAGACCAGCCTGGGCAACATAGTGAGACCTCCTCTCTACTAAAAATAAAAAAAAAAAATTAGCCAAGCATGATGGCAGGAGACTGTAGTCCCAGCTGCTTAGTAGAGGTTGAGGTAGGAGGATCGTTTGAGCCTGGGAGATACACGGTGCTGTTAGCTTGATCACACCGCCGCACTCCAGCCTGGGTGACAGAGTGAGAGACCCTGTCAAAAAAAAAAAGACATGATTGAATAAAATGACGGAAAAATTCTGCTGTATCTAATAGTGAAGACTGACAGGAGCTTCATTCTCTAAAGCTAGGTTTGATATCTAGAGCCTAGGGTAACTGACAAAGGTGGCAGTATTTTAAAGGAATTAGCTTCTATAGATTTCAGTTGTTTTTCACAGGAAACCAGTAAACCAGTTAATGTTTTCTTGAGACAATAGTAATAAATAATAATAGAAGTCTTCAAGCCAGAACATGAGTAGCAATGATACTTTCACATTTTATGCTTCAGTGGTTTCTATGGCATAAACTGAAAAAAAGTTTCTGTCTCTGGATTTACTATGGTACTTTCAAATGGCAACCACAGTTAAAATTATATATAGTATGAAAATATATAATGCATATATGAAGTCTGTCTCTCTCCCCGCTCTTTCCCTCTCTCCCTCCCCACTCTATGTATAGAAAAACACTCTCACACACCCACACAAATATGTAATTTTATTGTTTCAAAATTAAGAAAATATTTCCTCTGCACCAGGAAGTCATTAGAAAGAATTATTGTATCTCAAAATTGTTTTGTTTTCTCAATAATATCTTCAAATCTCATAAAATTATTTAAAATGCATAATATATTATATTGCATCTTTTAATCTATGTCAAAAAGGACAATTAACACTATAAATTTATGATATAATATTATGTCTTACAAAATATAGATACTATGATATGATTTCTCTATACCCAGTAAAAGAAAAAGCCTGCTCTATTAAATTTCCAAATGAAATAAAACAATGATTTGGATTTTTGCAATTCTCATATTTTCCTAATTTGAGTCTATGTCTAAACTACCAATTTTTCAGGAGTGAAGAAATTTTCCCATGATTTTTTCACTTCTTCCATATTACAAATCTAGCTCTGGTGTTATCAGTAAAATGAATTTTCATCCTGGGATTTAAAAAAGCTTAAAACCAGAACTGTCCTGTTTAAGATGTCTACCTGATCACTGTATTCTAGAATGATTATCACCCATACTGCTTTTCCCATTCCATCATAAATTTATATATAATACTAAAACAAATGCTTAGCTGTTATCTAGTTTCTCTAATTTACATTAATTATTTATAGTTTTTACTATGTAAAAAGAATAGTTTGGACAAATTGTTAGAAGTTTATTTTCCCATTCAGTATTACAATTATATTATTTTTTTACTGGCTTGTTGTAGACATCAAAATATATAAAATTTCTAAGTAGATATTATGAACATCTAAGCTACAGTCATGTTAGGAAATATATTAATTAGATTCTATGAACTCTGTGAGAAAAAATCCCTATGCCCCTAAAGTGACAGTGAAGGAAAAATAAAAATTCAGCTGATAAATTTTTATTTATAAAGCAAGAATGGTGTGAGATATTAATCCATGTGTTTCTATAAACCCTAATCTTCTTAATCTATTATACTGTTAAGTAATATCATCTTATTAATAATGATACCATAAGATATAGGCATATTTAATTGTGTAAAAATAAAAAAATTGGAAGATAAAATAGGATTAATAATTCATTATTTTAATAAGGTTTTTATTGAGATAAAATTTACATAACATAAAAATTGCCATTTTACAGTGAAAAATGCCGTGTCATTTAGCACGATAGTGTTGCACAACCACCACCACTATCTAGTTCTCAAATATTTTTATCGCCCCCAAAAGAACCCCTATACTCATTAAGCAGTTACTCCCCATCCTCCCTCTTCTGAAACACTGGCAAACACCAATAGGCTGTCTTTATTAATCTATCTACTCTGGACATTTTATGTAAATGAAGTCATACAATATGTGACCTTTTATATCTGGCTGCTCTCATTTAGTGTAATATTTTTGAGGCTCATCTGCATTGTACCATGTGTAAGTACTTCACTTCTTTTTATGGATGAATATGGTCTCCTATACATACTATTTTTTGTTTATTTATCTGTTGACGAACATTTGCATTGTTTCTATCTTTTAGCTTCTGTGAATATTCTATGAGCATCCAGGTGTAAGCATTTATTTGAGTACCTGTTTCAATTAATTATATATATATATAATTACATATATATATATAATTACATATACATATATGTAATTTCTGGTTAATACGATAATACTGTTTAAGGTTTTGAGGAATTGTCCAAATGTGTTCCACAGTAGCTGCACTGTTTTACATTCCCACAAGCAAAATAAGAGGGTTCCAATTTCCCTACACGCTTATCAACATTTGTTACTTTCTGTTTTGCTTTTTAAAGTATTATTATAGCCATCCTAGGAGGTTTGAAGTGATATTATTTGTATTTGATTTTTGTCTCCCTAGTCCTAGTTACTAACATTGTTGAGCATATTTCCATGTGCTTGTTAGACATTGTATATCTTTGGAGAAATGTCTAATCAAGTCGTTTGCCTATTTTTTAATTAGTAGTTTGTATTTGCAATATGAGTTCTTTAGACATTCTGCATATTAGATCCTTGTGAGATCTGTAATTTACAAGTATTTTCTTTCATTCTGTAGGCTTTCCTTTTCTTGATAATATTTTTAGATGCCCAAAGGTTTTTCATTTTGATGAAATGTAACTTTTTTTTTGTTGTATCACTGCCTGTATTTTTGTTTTTATATCTAAGAATTAACTTCCAAGTCCAAATCCATGAAGATTTACACCTATCTCTTCTTCTAAGACTTATATGGTTTTAGCTCTTACATTTAGGTCATTGATCCATTTTGAGTTAACTTTTTAAAATGGTGCAGGTGGGGATTCAATTTCATTTCTTTATATGTAAATATCGGTGTGTCCCAGCAATAATTGTTGGAGAGACTTTATTTTCTTATTGATAACCTTGGCATCCCTGTCAAAAATCAATTGACCATCTAGATGTGAGGATTTATTTCTGGACTCTCAAGTCTATTCTACTGGTTTATCATAATGCTAGTACCACACTGTTTTGATTACTATACATTTGTAGGAAAATTTGAAATCAAGAAGTGTGTCATTCAACAATGTTCTTTTTCAAGATTGACTTGGTGATTTGGGGAAACTTACAAATCTATATAAATTTAATAATTGTTTTTTCCTTTCTGTAAAAAAACAAAAAAGCCCATTCATTTTGACAGGGATTGCATTGAAACTATAGACAGCTTTGAATAATACTGCAATCTGAATAGTAGGTCATGTGATCCATGAACACAGTGTGTCTTTCCCATTCTTTAGTCCTTCCTTAATTTCCTTTAGCAATGTTTTATAATTTTTAGTGTACAAATTTTGCACCTCGTTTGTTAAATTTACACCTAGCTATTTTATTCTTTTGAATGTTCTTTTAAAATGGAATTCTTTTCTTTTTTTGTTTTGTTTAACTTTAAGTTACAGGATACATGTGCAGAATGTGCAGGTTTTTTACTTAGGTATATGTGTGCCATGGTGATTTGCTGCAAATATCAACCCATCACCTAGGTTTTAGCCCCACATGCATTAACTATTTGTCCTGATGCTCCCCCTCCCCTCACTACCCTCCCTCCTTAACAGGCCCTGGTGTGTGGTGTTCCTCTCCTCGTGTCCATGTGTTCTCATTGTTCAACTCCCACTTATGAATGAAAACATGCAGTGTTTGGTTTTCTGTTCCTGTGTGATTTTGCCGAGGATGATGGCTTCCAGCATCATCCATGTCCCTGAAAAGGACATGATCTCATCCCTTTTTGTGGCTGCATAGTATTCCATGGTGTATATGTAGCACATTTTCTTTATCTGGTCTATCATTGATGGACATTTGGGTTGGTTCCATGTCTTTGCTATTGTGTATAGTGCTGCAATAAACATACAAGTGTATGTATCTTTATAATAGAATGAGGTATATTCTTTTGGGTATATACTCAGTAATGGGATTGCTAAGTCTAATGGTATTTTTGGTTCTGGATCCCTGAGGAATCACAACACTGTCTTCCACAATGGTTGAACTAATTTACATTCCCACCAACTATGTAAAAGCATTCCTAGTTCTCCACAGCCTCACCAGCATCTGTTGTTTCTTGACTTTTTAATAATCGCCATTCAGATTGGCATGAGATTCTTGTGGTTTTGGTTTGCATTCCTCTAATGATCATTGATGATGAGTTTTTTTCATAAGTTTGTTGCCTGCATTAATGTCTTCTATTGAGAAGCATCTGTTCATATCCTTTGCTCACTTTTTGATGAGTTTGTTTGTTTTTTTCTTGTAAATTTGTTTAAGTTCCTTGTAAATTCTGGATATTAGACCTTTGTCAGATGGGTAGATTGGAAAAATTTTCTCCCATTCTGTAGGTTACCCGTTTGCTCTGATGATAGTTTCTTTTGCTGTGCAGAAGCTCTTTAGTTTAATTAGAACCTATTTGTCAATTTTTGCTTTCATTGCAATTGCTTTTGGTGATTTTGTCATAAAATCTTTGCCCATGCCTATGTCCTGAATGGTATTGCCTAGGTTTTCTTCTAGGGTTTTTATGATTTTGGGTTAATTTTTGTATAATGGGTAAGGAAGGGGTCCAGTTTCAGTTTTCTGCATATTGCTAGCCAGTTTTCCCAACACCATTTATTAAATAAGGAATCCTTTCCTCATTGCTTGTTTTTGTCAGGTTTGTTGAAGATTAGATGGTTGTAGATGTGTGGTCTTATTTCTGAGATATCTACTGGGTTCCATTGGTCTATGTATCTTTTTTGGTACCAGTACCATGCTGCTCTGGTTACTATAGCCATGCAGTATAGTTTGAAATTCGATAGCATGAAGCCTCCAGCTTTCTTCTTTTTGCTTTGGATTGTCTTAGCTATACAGGCTCTTTTTTGGTTCCATATGAATTTTAAAGTAATTTTTTCTAGTTTTGTGAAGAATGTCAATGGTAGTTTAATGGGAATAGCATTGAATCTATAAATTACTTTGGGCAGTATGGCCATAGTATTGGAAGTTCTGGCCAGGGCAATCAGGCAACAGAAAGAAAAAAGGGTATTCAAATAGTAAGAGAGGAAGTCAAATTGTCTCTGTTTGCAGACGACCTAATCCTATATTTAGAAAATCGCATTGTCTCAGCCCAAAAACTCCTTACACTGATAAGCAACTTCAGCAAAGTCTCAGGATACAAAATCAATGTGTGAAAATCACAAGCATTCCTATATACCAACAATAGACAAGCAGAAAGCCAAATCATAAATGAACTCCCATTCACAATTGCTACAAACAGAATAAAATACCTAGGAATACAGCTAACAAGGGGTATGAAGGACCTCTTCCAAGAGAACTACAAATGACTGCTCAAGGAAATAAGAGAGGACATGAACAAATGGAAAAACATTCCATCCTCTTGAATAGGAAGAATCAATATTATTATTTTTTTGCATCGTGCAATTTTGTATAGAAACAACAAGTAATTTTAATGTGTTAATCTTATGTCCTAAAACTTTGCTGAATGTGATCTTTAGCTATAATAGTTTGTATGTGTATATGTGTGAATTCTTTTGGAATATTTGTATATAAGATCATGTCATCTATGGATATATATAGTTTTAGTTCTTCCTTTACATTTTTGATGTGTTTTATTTATTTTTCTTGCCTAATTGTTCTGGCTAAAATGTCAGGTACAATGTAAATGTCAGTGGTGAATTCAGGCCTCCTTTTTTATCTAAAGGGGAATTTTCTTTTTTGTTTTTCACCATTGAGTTTGTTATTAGCTGTGACTTTTTTAACCAATGCCTTTCGTCATGCTGAGAAAGTTCTTTTCTATTACATATATTCTTCTGAATTTTTTTATCATGAAAGGATGTTGGATTTTTACCAAATGCTTTTACTGTGTGGGTTGGGTGATCATGGTTTTGTTTTTGTTTCTGTTTTTTTTGTTCTGTTAATGTGGTGCATTGGATACACTGATTTTCTCATATTGTGTTCTTAGAATAAATGCTCCTGGTGTAGAATCTTTTCCATATAATATTGGATTTAGTTTACTAATATTTTGTTAAGGATTGTCTAATCTAGATGCATAAGAAATAGTGGTATATAGTTTCTTTTCTTGTGATGTTTTTATGTGGTTAGTATAAAGGTTATTTTGGCCTCATAGAATAAGATTTTTAAAAAATGGTCCCTCTTCATTTTGGAAGATTTGAGAAGGATTGGTGTTAATTAATTTTTATTTTTTATTTTTATTTATTTATTTATTTATTTATTTATTTATTTATTTATTTTGAGACAGAGTCTTGCTCTGTCGCCCAGGCTGGAGTGCAGTGGTGCGATCTCGGCTCACTGCAAGCTCCACCTCCTGGGTTCACACCATTCTCCTGCTTCAGCCTCCCGAGTAGCTGGGACTACAGGCACCCGCCACCACGCCCAGCTAATTTTTTGTATTTTTAGTAGAGACGGGGTTTCACCGTGTTAGCCAGGATGGTCTCAATCTCCTGACCTCGTGATCTGCCTGCCTCGGCCTCCCAAAGTGCTGGGATTACAGGTGTGAGCCACCACGCCCAGCTGAATTTTTAAATGTTTGGTGGAATTTACCAGTGAAACCATGTGGCCCTGGGCTTTCCTCTATTGGGAGGTTTGTAAATATTACTTAATAATTACTAATATTATTAATTTATAGTCACAAATTATTTACACATTATTTCACAAATATTTAATTAATATGTAATTTCTTATGTAACTGGTTAGATTTCCTGTTATTCATTGGCTCAGTTTTGTTATTTGGGGGATTTCTAGGGAGTTTCTATATCACTGATGTTATCTAACTTACTGGCATACAATTGTTCATAGTGTCCTCTTATAATCTTTTTTCAAATTTTTGTAAAGTCAGTAGTAATATCCTAGTTACTTCTCTGACTTTAGTTATTTGCATGTTCTCTCTGTTTCTTTGTCAGACTAAAGTTTTGTATTATTGATCTTTTAAGTAAACAGCTTTTGTTTCATTGATTCTCTCTATTGTTTTTCTATTTTTTATTTCACTTATCTCCACTTTAATCTTCTTTTTTCCCTTTTTCCTTCCTTCTGTTATATTTGAATTTAATTTGCTTTTCTTTTTCTAGTTCCTTGATGTGTTAAGTTAGGTTCTTAATTTGAGGTTTTTTTATTTAAATGGAGATAATTATAACTGTAATTTTTTTCTCTGAACATTGCTTTTGCTAAATTCTAGAAGTTTTTGCATGCTGTGTTTTTGTTTTCATTTGTCTCAGAATAATTTCTAATTTTCCTGTGATTCTTTGATTTGTTGATTGTTTAAAGATGTATTTTTTAATTTTCATAAATCTATGTATTTTCTAGCTTACCTTGTGTTACTTATTTCTAGCTTCATTTCATTCTAATCAGAGAAAATAGTTTGTACACTTTCATTATTTTTAAATAAGGAATGTATTTAGAGTTATTTTGTTGTGTAATACAGTGGTCCCCAACCCCCACTCTGTAGACAGGTATGGGTCCATGGCCTGTTAGAAACTGGGCCGCACAGCAGGAGGTGAGCAGTAAGCAAGAGAGCATTACTGCCTCCACTCCCCCTCCTGTCAGATCAGCAGCAGCATTAGATTTTTATAGGAGTGTGACACTGATTGTGAAGAGCGCAGATGAGGGATCTAGGTTGTGCATTCCTTATGAGACTCTAGCTAATGCCTGATGATCTGAGGCTGAAAACTTTCATCCCAAAACCTCCCCACTCACCAAGTCTGGAAAAATTGTCTTCCATGAAGCTGGTCCCTGCAGAATTTTCTACAAGCATTCGAGAATAATATGTATTATTCTGTCTTTGGCTTGAATATTCTGTATATGTGTGTTAGATCTAGTTGGTCATCTAGTTAGGTCTAGATAATCAGGATCATCTCAATAGATACAGAAAAAACATATGTCAAAATTAAAAACCCTTCATGATTAAAAGCACTCAGCAAACTGGGACTTGAATGAAACTACCTAAACACAATAAGACCATAAAAGAAAAAACACAGCTAGCATCAAACTAAATGGCTAAAGACTGAAAGCTTTTCCTTTTATGATCAGGAACAAGTGAAGGATGCCTGCTTTTGCCACTTCTTTTCAACATAATATTGGAAGTTTTAGTCACAGCAATAAGGAAGGAAAAGAAATAAACAAGAAAACTATCACTGTTCACAGATAATATGTTCTTGTACGCAGAAAATGCTAAAGATCCTATATACAAAAAAAGCTAGAACTAATAAGTTGATTCATAAAAGTTCAGGGTACAAAATCAGCACACAAAAATTCATTGTGTTTCTATTCGCTAACAATTAACAATTCAAAAAAGAACTTAAGAAAATAATTCAATTTATAATTGCATCAAAATAAATGAAATAGAGATTATGTTAACAAGAGATATAAAAGATTTGTACACTGAAAATGACAAAACATTGCTGAAAAAAATTAAAGACATTAATAAATACAAAGGCATTCTGTGTTCATGGTTGAAAAACTTAATATTGTTTAGATGTCAGTACTGCCCAGAGTGATCTGTAGATTCAGTGCAAGCACTATCAAAAGCCAATGAAGTTTTTGCAGAAATAGAAAAACCCATCCTAAAATTAATATGAGATCTCAAGGGGTTTCACATAACCAAAACAATTTAGACAAAGAATAACAAAGTCAGAGTTTTCACATTACCTAATTTCAATATGTACTGCAAAGCTACAATTATCAAAACGCTGTGATACTTATATAAAAACAGACATATAGACCATGAAATAGAAAAGAGATCCCAGAAATAGACTCCTGCATAGGTGGTCAAATTATTTTCAACAAGGATGCCAAAACCACTCAATGGGGAAAGATCAGTCTTTTAAATCAATAGTGAAATAAAAATCAAATACTTACATACAAAGGAATAAAGTTGGACCCTTATCTAAAACTGTATACACACATTAGCTTAACTTCTGCACAGCAAAAGAAACTATCAAAAGAGTGAGCAGACAACCTATAGAATGAAAGAAAATATTTACAAAATATGCATCTGGCAAAGTCTAATGTCCAGAATCTATAAGGAACTTTAACAATTGAACAAGCAATAAACAAATAGTCACATTAAAAAATTATCAAAAGACACGAACAGATACTTCTTAATACAACGCATACAAGCAGCCAAAAACATGAAAAATGCTCAATATCACTAATCATCAGAGAAATGCAAATCAAAACAACAATGAGATAGCATCTCATACCAGTCAGAATGGTTATTATTAGAAAGTCAAAAAACAACAGATGTTGGCAAGGCTGTGGAAAAATACTTATACACTGTTGCTGGAAAGTAAACTAGTTTGGCTACTGTGGAAAGCAGTTTGGAGATTTCTAAAAGAACTTAACACAGATTGGGCACAGTGGCTCATGCCTGTAATCCCAGCACTTTGGGAAGCTGAGGTGGCTGGATCTCGAGCCAAAGGAGTTCGAGACCAGCCTGGGCAACGTGGTGAAACCTCATCTCTACAAGAAATACGAAAATTAACCAGACATGGTGGCACCCACCTATATCCCCAGTTACTCAGAGCCTGAGATGGGAGGATTGATTGAGCCTGGGAGGCTGAGGCTGCAGTGAGCCATGATCACTCCACTGCACTCCAGCCAGGATGACAGAGAGAGAACCTGACTCAAAAAAAAAAAAAAAATTAGAACTACCATTTGACCCAGCAATTCCATTACTAGGTATATAGCCAAAAGAAAATAAATCATTTTACCAAAAGACATGCACACATATGTTGATTGCAGCACTATTCACAATAGAGAAGACATGGAATCAACAAGGTGCCCATAAATGGTGGATTGGATAAAGATAATGTGGTACATATATACTATGGGACACTACATAGCCATAAAAAGAATAAAATTATGTCCTTCGGAAAAACCTGTATGGAGCTGGAGGCCATTATTGTAATTGTTTTGTGTTGCCATGAACAGTGACTATATAAAACGATGAACTGAATTGATAAATGTATGTGTTCTGACTGCTCCATGGAACAGCCCTATTCCCATTGTATTAGTCCATTTTCATACTGCTATAAAGAACTGCCTGAGACTGGGTAATTTATAAGGGAAAGAAGTTTAATTGACTCTCATTCCAGCATGTCTGGGGACACACCTCAGGAAGCTTAATCATGGCAGAAGGCAAAGGGGAAGCAAGACACCTTCTTCACAAGGCAGCAGAAAGGAGAAATGCTGAGCAAAGAGGGGAAGAGCCCCTTGTAAAACCATCAGATTTTATGAGAACTCACTCACTATCATGAAAACAGCATGGAGGAAACATCCCCGCTATTCAGTTACCTCCAGCTGGTCTGTCTCTTGACATGTGGAGATTATGGGGATTATAAGGATTGTAATTCAAGATGAGATTTGGGTGGGGACACAAAGCTTAATCATATCATCCATCCTCATCTCTCTCCTCAGAATTCCATATTCCCTAAGACACAAGAATATTGAAATTATGGCAATTAATAACCCTACGGTGACCTCTAAGTTTTCAAATGGAAGAAAGAATCTCATTTATCTGACTTTAAACCTAAAGCTAGAAATAATTAAGCTTAGTGAGGAAGGCATGGCTAAAGTTGAGACAGGCTGCAAGGGAAGCCTCTTGCACCAAACAGTTACCCAGCTTGTAAATGCACAGTGAGAGTCCTTAAAGGAATTCAAAACAGCTAGTTTAGAGAACACACGAATGATAAGAAAGTCAAACAAACTTATTGCTGATTTGGAGCAAGTTTTTGTGGGGCTGTAGAGAGCCCCAACAGTCCCCCAAGCCAAAGCCTAATCCAGAGCAAGCCCCTAACTCTCTTCAACTCTATAAAGGCTGAGACAGATAAAGAAGCTGTAGAAGAAATGATTGAAGCCAGAAGAGGTTGGTTCATGAGGTTTAAGAAAAGAAGCTGTCTCCGTAATATAAAAGTGCAAGGTGAAGCAACAAGTGCTGATGTAGAAGCAGTAGCAAGTTATCCAGAAGATCTAGCCAAGATAATTGATAAAGATGGCTATACTAAACAACAAATTTTCAATGTAGATGAAGTAGCCTTATATTGGAAGAAGATTCCATCTAAGACTTTTATAGCTTTAGAGAAAATGTCAATGTTTGACTTCAAAGCTTCAAATGTCAAGCTGACTCCAGTTAGGGACTAATGCAGCTGGTGACTTTAAGTTGAAGCAATTGTTCATTTACTATTTCAAAAATGTTAGGGCCCTTAATAATTGGTCTAAATTCCCTCTGTCTATGCTTTATCAATAAAACAACAATGTTTCAATGAATGACAATTCAATTTTTCAATAAAGTCAACAATGTTTCCTTAGTGACAGCACATCTGTTTACAACACAGTTTACTGAATATTTCAGGCCCACCGTTAAGATCCACTGCTCAAAATAAAAAAAATTCCTTTCAAAATATTTCTGCTAATTGACAATGCTCCTGGTCACCCAAGACCTCTGACAGAGATTTGCAAGGAGATTAATTTGTTTTCATGTCTTCTAATATAACATCAACTTGGTAGCCCATGGATCAAGAAGTAATTTTGCCTTTCAAGTCTTGTTAGTTAAGAAATATATTTTATTCCTCCGATGATCTGAGCAAAGTAAATTGAAAACCTTCTGGAAAGAATTCACCATTCTATATGACATTAAGAACATTTCTGTTTCATGGGAGGAGGTCAAAATATCAACATTAACAGGGATTTCAAAGAAGTTGATTCTCATGAAGGACTTTAAGGAATTCAAGACTTCAGGGGAGGAAGTAACTAAAGTTGAGGCAGAAATAGTAAAAGAACAAGAATTAAAAGTGGAGCCTGGAGATGTGATGGAATTGCTGCAATCACATAATAAAACTTCCAAAAATGAGGAGTTGTTTCTAATGGATGAGCAAAGAAAATGGTTTTTGAGATGAAATCTAATCTTGCTAAAGAAGCTGTACAAATTGTTTAAATGACAACACAGATTAGTACATAAAGTTGATAAAGCAGCCGTAGACTTTAAAAAGATTAACTCTAATTTTGAGAAAAGATCTACTGTGGATAAAATGCTGTCAAGTAGCATCACATGCTACAGGGATGTCTTTCATGAAAGAAAGAGTCAATCAATGAAGCAAACTTCACTGTTGTCTTTTTTAAGAAATTGGCACAGCTTCCCCAGCCTTCAGCAACCACCTCCCTGGTCAATCAACAGCCATCAACATTGAAGCAAGAACCTCCACCAGCAAAAAGATTATGACTCACTGAAGGCTTAGTAGATCATTAGCATTATTTTAGCAATAAAGTATTTTAAAATTAAGATATATACATTGTTTCTTAGACACAGTGCTATTGCACAATTAATAAACTACAGTATATTGTAAATACAACCTTTATATGTCTGGGAAATGAAAAAAATGTGTTGTTTATTTTATTGCAATAGTTTAGAACCAAACCTACAATATACCTGTGGCATTCCTGTAATTATAAAGAGATTAAGTTTTAAGAAGATACACTAATCTTGAAAGTGTATGCATCTAACAACAGAGAGTCACAACCAATGAGATAAAAAAATGATAAGCCTGGGAGGAGAGAAATTCCGTATCATAGTTGCTGACTTCAGTATCCCTTCGTCAGTAATTAATAGTTCAAGTTGGTAGGAAATTATTAAAGGTATAGATTATCTAAACAGCACTATCACTCTAATTAGTGAATTCAATTTATAGAATAATCCTTTCAACAAGAGTGACGATACATTCTTCTTTACCTCTTATAGAACTTCCACCAAGATAAAGCATATTCTGAAAGCTGGTTGCCAGAGAAACCAATCAGCGATAAAAGAATTGGGACTTTCAGCTTCACCTTCTCTACCTCTGGGGAGGAAAGAAAGGGCAGATATTGAGCTCAATCTCCAGTGGCTACTGGTTTAATCAATAATGCTTACATACTGAAGCTTCCTTAAAAACCCTAAATGAAGGAGTTCAGAAAACCCCAGGTTCACCACAATGATGAAGACATTCATGTGCCTAGAGAGTAGCCCACCCTAACTCAGTGGGGCAGAAACTCCTGTGGTCAGAACCCTTCTGTGTCTTGCTTATGTACCCTTCTTCTGACTGTCTATTTGTATCCTTTATAGTGAACTAATAAATGTAACTTTAAGTGCTTATTTGGGTTCTGGGAGTTGTTCTAGCAAATCATCAAACCTGGAGAGAGGATTGTGGAAATCCAATTTATAGCTGGTTAGTCAAAAATATGAGTGGCTTAGACTTTCTATTGGTATCTGAAATGAGGGCACTCTTGTGGGACTGAGCCCTTGACCTGTGGGGTCTGATGTAAGTCCAGGTAGTTAGGGTCAGAATTGAATTGAATTGTAGGACACCCAGTTGGTGCCTGAAAAGTTGGAGAATAGGTTGGTGTGGGGGAAATGGCCTTAGAATCATTCTGAATAGAAATAGATCATAGTATCTATTCTCTACAATTTTTGACAAAATAACAAAGGCATTCAGTAAAGAAAGAATAGGCTTTTCAATAAATGTTACTAGAAAAATTAAGTTCATGTACAAAGAAAGAATGTAGATGGACTTTACAATTTTACAAAAATTGAAATGCATTGCAGACCTAAATATAAAATGTTTAAAAATTTAAAAATGTTTAGACAAAAACATAGGATAAAACTCCATGTGACATTGGGCTTGGTAATGAGTTTGTAGACACAGCATCAAAAGCATGACATAAGAAATTTAAAAATTGATGAATTAGGCTTTGCTGAAATTAAAAACTTCTACTCAGTGAAAGACAGTTAAGAGAATAAAAAGAGAAGCCATAGACTCAAGAAAGCATTTGCAAAAAAGCATATCTCATAAGGAACTTAGATCCAAAATATAAAACAGCTTTTATGCTTAACAATAAGAAAACAACCCCTAAATTGGCAAATGATCTGAACAGATGCCTCAGCAAACAAGATATACAGATGGCCAATAAGCATAGAAAAAGATATTCAACATCATTTATCATTAGGGAATTGTTCATTAAAACAACAAAACGCATTGCAACTAATTAGAATGACTAAAATCCAAAAATAAAGCAAAATAAAACCAAAGCCCAATAAAGAACAGCTATTCCACTTGCTGATGAGGATGAGAGACAACAGGAATTCTCATTCTTTGACGGTGGGAATGCAAACTGTACAGCTACAAAATGGTGCAGCTACTTTGGAAGACAGTTTGGCAGTTTCTTACAAAGCTAAACATAAATATAGCATACAATCCAGCAATCCTGTTTCTAGATATCCACTGACTAATTTCAAAACTTATGTTCACACATCACACACACAAAAAGTGTCCTGCAAATGTTTATAGTAGCTTTATTTATAATTTTCCAAAATGGAAACAACCGAGACATTCTGTAATGGATGATTGGATCAACTGTGGTATATCAATAAAACAAAATAATATTCATTAATAAAAAGAAATGCATTATCAAGCCACAAAAAAACATAATTATATGTAAATGCATACTACTAAGTGTAAAAGCCAGTCTGAAAAGGCTACATTCTATATGATTCCAGTTATATTACGTTCTGGAAAATGTAAAAGAAGAGAAATGTTTTAAGTAAAGCCCAGTAGATAATTTTTAATGCAGTGAAACTATTCTATTTGTTGATGTAATGAAGACTACATGGCAATATGCATTTATAAAGCACATAGAAATTTACAGCACAAAGAGTGAACATTAATGCATATAAAAATTTTAAAAAGCATTTAGAATAGCAAGAGATCCCAGAAGGTAATGCAGAATGTGACAAAACTATATTATAAATGCATGAAACCCCACTGAATGGGGTGGGTGTAAAGAATGCTGACCTAAGTAATTTTGGAAACAAGTGGATTCCTTAAGACTAAAGTCAAAGAAACTGTAAAAGTACTGTGTTCCAACTGATGAAATATCGGCTATGAGGATAGGGTTTAAGAATTCTGATTCAACTGTATGCATATTCTGAAACTAAAAAATTAAGTAAATGGATGACAGATGGCAGGAGCCTGATTTCTCACTGTTGCAGTGGAAAGTTACAGATGAGCAAAGAGAATTTGCTAGAAAAGTACATGTGGTAATAGACTAGAATTGGAGATATCGATATGAACTCATTTTTATACTATTATAGATGTTGATGACATATAGAAATATTTATATGTATATATATATGGATTGGTAAACACACATATATTTCCTTCTTTGTCAGCTGAGTGGGCCTAGAAGAAATGACACCCAGAGCAATGAGTGTACACCTAACACTAACATCTCGGTTTCTAATACCATCCTCCAACAAAAAGAACCAGACTTGTAAGAAAATGGCTGAGTTTGGCTGGACACAGTTGCTCACATCTGTAATCCCAGCACTTTGGGAGGCCGAGGGGGACCGATCACCTGAGGTCGGGAGTTTGAGACCAGCCCGACCAACATGGAGAAACCCTGTCTCTACTAAAAATAGAAAATTTGCCAGGCATTGTGGTGCATGTCTGTAATCCCCGCTACTTGGGAGGCTGAGGCAGGAGAATCACTTGAACTCCGGAGGCAGAGGTTGCAGTGAGCAAAGATCACACCATTGCACTCCAGCCTGGGCAACAAGACTGAAACTCCATCTCAAAAAAGAGAAAAAAAAAGAAAATGACTGAGTTTAAGATCAGAATATAGACAAGATAAGCCTAGTGCATCTTTTAGTGTAAACACATGCACACAAAATGATGAGGTTATATAAAGTGACACAGAAGCCCACAGAAAGAGCTGCCAATGGCCAAAGATAGAACAATTTGAGCAACAAAATAATAAAGTATTAAATATTTTATTTTACAAAGTTCATAGAAATTTACTGTACAAAAAGTGAACATTAACACAGGCAAAATTTTTAAAAAACATTTTGAATATCAGGAGATCCCAGGATGTCACGCAAAATGTGACGGTATAAAATTAGCTATCTGTGAATCACTATGGTTATAGATAAAAGCAGTGAAAGTCAAAGAAAGTGTGATAGCCAAACGAAACCTAGGAGCAAGATTTGGACTACTTTAAAATGTAGCATTGACGTACAGGTGCATTTATTAGTGTCATTGTTACATTTTGCTATGTTTATTCAAACACAAGTCTAGATTCTGGGCTGCAATCTTTGAGGGTAGTACCGTGTAGATAAAATAATCAATGTGAGCAAAGAGAAAGCCAGGAAAATAAAGCATGCTAGATAAGATGTTGGAGAAAGAATTATGCATTATTCCTGCCTATGTTACGAACATTTAGAAGGCATAGTTTTGATATCCAGCTATCCTTCATATACACCATCATTCTAGATAATAAAAATATATTATGTGGTTTTAATCCCAAAGAGAAATATTTTTCCCTATCCTCACCTTCATTGAGTTAGCTCAGTAGGCTATACCGTTCCAATTAAATCACAAGTAGATTTATGGTCAAGTTGTCTGGTACATGATTTTTTTTTCATAATATGTTTTCTACAGGGTATCTTTTATCATACCATGATTTATTTGTGAAAAGAACCAAAGAAATTCCCCTCTGCCTCTTACATCAACCTGTCCCTTTGTCTGAGCAGTCAATAAGTTATTAGCCCAGGAGTAATATATTATTTACTTTTCCCTTCATATGGGTATGTATTGTATTTGTGTGTATGCATGTGTTGTGTGTGTGCACTCGACATTATTACTAGGTAATTGTTTATTAGACAACATAGCATACTCTATACCTTAATGCAAAAATGTGGGATTTCATGATGTTGTCCCTCAAGGAAATTTAAGGATTTATTAGTAGAAGCGCCTCATTGAATACATAATTATTTGTCTTGACCCTACAGAATTGCCTTCTGTGGCATTTTAAGGAAATACTAGTCAGAAATGTCTTAAAAGGCATTACATAGCACTGTTTAAAACCCCCACTTCTCTTCACTTGCAAAAGAAAATTTCTTTTCAGTCATATTCTTCCATTGCCTAATAAAATTCTTCATCTGATGAAGTCAATGAGGATAGAATTTAGATAGCTTTGTATCTTTTGTTTCAGGGCAAAACGTGAGATGTAACACCAAGGTACTTACTTAGAGAGGCGGAGAGACTGCTTTCTCTGCTCTCTTTCCCAAGAGGCCACTCACTATTGATAATCGAGATTATTCTTCCATTTTAATTTGGTAAATTTTTAATGAATTTCAAGATTTTTCTGTAGCAGATAATACTGCTAGGTGAATTTGTGAATTGGGCCCAGGTATATACTGAGTAGATCAATACTAAGTTCTTTAAATACTATTATTTTTTTTCTTTCTGCTCTGGCATCATAAAGCCAGTTGTCACAGCATCTTCTAATAATCGTCTAGAAGAAAGTGAAGCTTTTTACCACTGGTTTTACCTTATATTTGACTATCTGGTCTCCTGCATCTCAAATGATCCCCAATCACGTTGACAGTTTGAGAATAATTTAATCATTGCTAGTACTAACCTCCAGTAACTGAAAATGTTAGTAAACCTACATACAATTTTTTTAAAAAAGAAAAAAAAATGCTTCTTTTGCTTTCTGGTCTTATCAATAGAAGCAGTAGGAATTAACTTCATGTTGGTCTTACCTATCTTTTGGTTGAATTGCTTTTCTTTAATGATGCTTAGCAGAGCTCCTCTCTATTTTTGGTCACAATCTAGAATGTTTGCATATTCCATTGGACACAATGCAATGAACTATTTATATTAGCATCCTGGCCTCTGATTATGCCTCAAACATTTTGCCCAGTATTTTCATTACTTCATATCCATTGATGTATTTTTTATGTACTCCAGTGTGCAAGATATTTAAAATCTGGAGTAAATGCTGATGAACGTTTATGAATGCATCATTGTTTTCACACTATATTCCACATAGCTAGACATCAACAGTAGAGGAATAAATGAATTGTGGTGTATTCATACAATAGAGATTATTCCCTAATTAAAATATGTGTGTCAGACCTCACAGAGTATAAATCTCACAGGTGTAATACTGAGCAAAAACAACAGACATAAAAGAGTATATATTGGGTGCAAGCATGTGCTTAATGTGCACAGGCAGAATTTATCTGCTCTAATTAAAAAAAAAAAGTTAATTTGGAGATGAAAATTCCTAGAAGAGGACAGAAGAGCCTTCTTTGGTACTGTCAATTTCTGTTTTTTTGTCTGAGTGGCTGTTGTATATGTTTTTACTTTGTAAAACTTTTTGGAACTGTAAATATATATCAGTTTAATTTTTTTATGTATGCTGTGCTTAAAACAATTTAAGTAAAATAAAATGTAGGAAAATAGAGGACTGTAATTGTTGGAATAATCCCCAGATCAGTGCCAGTGTATGTGTTATCATGTGCGAGTGTTGTATTTGATTGTGAGATGGGCATGATGTTAGACTAGAGATTTCTGGTCAGGCGCGGTGGCTCACGCCTGTAATCCCAGCATTTTGAGAGGCCAAGGAGGGCAGATCACGAGGTCAGGAGTTTGAGATCATCCTGGCCAACATGGTGAAACCCCATCTCTACTAAAAATACAAAAATTAGCTGGGCATAGTGGCGTGTGACTGTAATCCCAGCTACTCGGGAGGCTGAGGCAGGAGAACCACTTGAACCAGGCTGGTGCCAGAGCAAGACTCTGTCTCAAAAAAAAAAAAAAAAAATAGAGATTTCTGTAACCCTCTCTAGAATAGGTCCCACTGTGAGAAAGCTGGAGCTAATTATTTTTTCAAAGTCTGAAGTATGCATGTTTTATTTCAGTCTCATCATCTTTATACTTTCTGAAGATTTAACCTAGAATTTTCCATTAAACAAATTTTGTTCAAGAATTTAGGTGGTCCATCGACCTTGGTTTTTCTTATTCTCCTCTCCAGGCATGCTAACCTTCTTTCTATTTTTACACCTACTGTTTTTTTTGCCTGGATGCCTATCCAGAGGGAGATGTGAGACTCCATTAAACAACTAGCTCTCAGGTGCACTAATGGAGCCAGAACTCACTTTCTACCACGGTAAGCACACAGAGCCATTCATGAGGGACCCGGCCCCATGACCCAAGTACTTGCTACCAGGCCCCATCCCCAACATCAGGAATCACATTTCAACATGAGATTTGAAGGGGACAAATACCCAAACCATGTCAATAACTGGAATATTCTGTTTATCATTCTTCTACATGTTTCACTCACTAGAGGCAGGGATCCCCACACCCCTGCACCCCTTTTTTTTCATTGCTATTTCCATAACTTCACAAAGTGCCTGGCAAAAGGTAGATTCTCAAGAAACATTTGCAGAAATAATGACTAAAATATGTCAAGAAGTATTTTTTTTCCACTATGAACACCTTGGTTTCTTTTTAGGTGTATAGACAAATGTAAAATTAATGAAGAGACAATTATTATCTATACTGACATGAGATGCAAATCTGTTTTTATTCCTTGTTGTGTAGAAATTATAAATTGATAGATGAAAATAAAGTAAGTTCACAACACCTTTGAATATATTTCTCCTGATAAAATTAAAACCATTTATAGCAAATGTTATCTTAGAATCTGGTATTTAAATGGATTATTTATGCAAATATAAAACAGAGACAAGAGGAAAATTTCAGGAAAATAATGCACTTTATTATGTCATAGCATCAAAATAAGATTTATATTCCTGATTGCGATTAAAGAAATATTGTATTCACCACACACGTAGGCATATGATCAAATCTTCACAGCCTTTTGTTGTTGTTTTTTCTTTCTAGTCCTCTGCCACATGATATATTTTCTTCTTAGGTAGGCATAGTAATGGCATTACTGATGAAGTAAGTAAATGAGGTAAGATTGCCTTTCTCTAAAGAATTCCCAGTTGTGAAAAGGCTGTGAAAAGAAACGGTGGCTCATATATTCAAAGCATTAATAAATCTGAAATGAGGAAATAGATAAAATGAGAAATAATAAACATATAATCAGAATAAAAATAATGATAAATGAGAATGTAA